>NC_000011.10:107778485-108081515 GCF_000001405.40 Homo sapiens
GAGTTCGAGATCCAGCCTGACCAACATGGAGAAACCTCATCTCTACTAAAAACACAAAATTAGCTGGGCATGGTGATGCATGCCTGTAATCCCAGCTACTCAGGAGGCTGAGGCAGGAGAATTGCTTGAACCCGGGAGGCGGAGGTTGCGATGAGACGAGACTGCACCATTGCACTCCAGCCTGGGCAACAAGAGCAAAACTCCGTCTCAAAAGAAAAGAAAAGAAAAGAAAAGATTGCTAGAAGAGGAAAGTATTTAAACCGAGGATTAAGGTACATTGTAAAAGTTTGAGCATTGGGAGAAGAAAGCTTGGAACATTAAATCCTACAGGTTTGTGCATGAAGGATGGGTAAAATTTTGTCGTTCTGAAGAGGCTTTGCTTCCTCTAATGCACCATTTATATATTGCCAGACTTCTCAAAACACCCTTTAAAGGACTACTAGAGAACTGCATGGTCAGCATTATCTAATTTCCTCATAAATCTCTTGCCTTTTAATCAGCTAAGTGGCTATCTGCTAAATTTCCCTGATTTATTGATGTATTTTGAAGGCTGAGGATATGTCCAGATACTAAGTGATTAAATGTAGATGAAATGGCACATCACCATAATTATGACAGAAAAGAGAATCGTGACTAGGCATACGTAAGACCTCACAGAGACAAACTGTAGACAGCTTCTTAAAAGGGCAGCCCCCAGCGTTGCAGATAAAACTGTATTACCAAGCTAGTTTTTCCAAGAAAATCATCCCAACAGCTCTCATTAGAGATGCATTTGTATTTGCTGTCTCAGCAGTGCCACAGCAACCATGACCCCTTCAGAATTTACAGAGCGGAGACTTTGGCTGCTGACTAAACTGAAAGGTTAAAATCCTGGTTTCTGTTTTTACCTTAGCCACCAAACTCTGTGTGACCTGAGACAGATATTTCAACTTTTCTGAGACCCCAATTCTTTGTTTGTTTTTGGTTTTTGGTTTTTTTTGAGACAGAGTCTCACTCTGTCGCCGAGGCTGGAGTGCAGTGGCACTGTGTTGGCTCACTGCAACCTCTGTCTCCTGGGTTCAAGCAATTCTCCTGCCTCAGCCTCCCAAGCAGCTGGGATTACAGGCACGAGCCACCACGCCCAGCTAATTTTTGTATTTTTAGTAGAGACCTGGTTTCACCATGTTGGCCAGGCTGGTCTCGAACTCCTGACTTCAGGTGATCCACCTGCCTCAGTCTCCGAAAATGCTGGGATTACAGGTGTGAGCCACCGCGCCTGGCCGGGACCCCAGTTCTTCAACCGTTTTTTTCTAACCGACATAGTCAATGTTTATTTTTTTTCCCAGTAGATGTCCAGTTGCTCCAGAACCACTTGTTGAAAAGACTATCTTTCCTCCATTGAACTGCTTTTGCACTTTTGTCAAAAATTAATTTCAGCATATTTGTGTGAGTTTTTTCCTAGGTCCAATTGATCTATGTGTCTGTTCCTCTGCCAGTGTACCCAGACAGAACGAGGGGTCCAGCTGCTTGTTCTCATAGTTCAATAATGAGATGCAGACAGACTGAGAAAGAAGGGAGTTTATTTCTGCAACCGGTTTCAGGCAGGTCAGAGTAACTCACCCGACCAACTCAAATTTACAAGGTTTTTTTTTTTCAGTGCTTATACATATTCTAAGTTATTTGCCCATGTGTGGTAGTGCACCTAAAAGTGGCAGTGTTTCATTCAATCTATATCTAATCTTTATCTAGGGTCTAGGGTCTGGAAAGCTTTCTCTAGAGTCTTGGAAAGTTTCTTCATCTTGAATGAGCTCTGGCACGAGGTGTATGTGTAAGAATGCCTTTATTATTTGATCAGACTTTAGGGCCGGAGAAAACCCAGGCCAGGTCTTAATGGGTTTGTTTTTGCATTCCAGCGCTCACCCTCAGGCACCAATTTCTTCAGTTTTTTTATGTTTAACTTACACATTCATCAGAAAAGGGTTAGTGAACCTGACTGTTCTGGTTGATAATGGAAACCTGGCCTGACATACCAGTGCCACAGAGGCTTAAAAAAAAAAGGGAAAAAACAAGAAAAAATAATATATATAATATATATTTTATATATATTATATATATTTATGACATATATATGTGTGTATAAGTGCAGGTTTCTTACACGTGTATATTGGGTAGTGGTGAAATCTGGGCTTTTAGTGTACCCATCACCCAAATAATGAACACTGTACACAACAGGTAATTTTTCAACCCTCACCTCCCTCCCACCCTGCCACTTTTTGGAGTCTCCAGTATCTATTATTACACTCTGTATGTCCACGTGTACCCATTGTTTAGCTTCCAACAATTATTCATCTGTTAACCAAAGGTAGCCCCTGATGAGGACAATCTTTATAATACCCTTTTTAAAACAAAACACTTTGATTTACAGGACGTTATGGAAGCACTATAAAATGTCAACACTATTGTTTATGCAAACGGTCTTTAGGTTGTTACAATTGTTAAAGTGCCACCTGCTGGAAAGTCCACCCATAAATATATACCAATTCCTTAAGAGGCTGAAGACAACTTTGTTTCAAAACACAAATAGTGAAAGTGACACCAGCAAAATCCTCTCTTCTTACAGTGTTGCCCCAGTCCAGTTGCACAGTATACTTCATCTACACAACACTATGGAAAATGTAGCAACTCTGTTATACTATTCATCAGTAGAGTTTGGGCTTTTTTTAAATACTTTTTTTTTCTAATTTAATGGGGGGTAGGGGACGGCTATGTTGCAACTATGTTGCCCAGGCTGGTCTCCAACTGTTGGGCTCAAACAGTCCTCCCATCTCAGCCTCCCAAAGTGCTGGGATTACAGGTGCCAGCCACCAGCAGTGCTGTTTGTTTGTTTGTTTGCTTGTTGTTTCTTTTTCTTTTTTGAGACGGAATTTTGCTCTTCTTGCCCAGGCTGGAGTGCAATGGTACAATCTCGGCTCACTGCAACCTCCGCCTCCCAGGTTCAAGCGATTCTCCTGCCTCAGCCTCCCAGGTAGCTGGGATTACAGGCATGCGCCACCATGCCCGGCTAATTTTGTATTTTTAGTAGAGCAGGGTTTCTCCATGTTGGTCAGGCTGGTCTCGAACTCCTGACCACAGGTGATCCGCCCACCTCGGCCTCCCAAAGTGCTGGGATTACAGATGTGAGGCACTGTGCCCGGCTGGGTTTTGTTTTTTTTTTTTAAATGGCATTAATGTCTACAAAAAAATTTTAAAATCAATAAATATTGTTCCAATAGGCTCTTAAAAAGCATTTAGAGGAGGTTTTCTTTTTTCTTTCTTTTTTTTGAGATGGAGTCTCATTCTGTTGCCCAGGCTGGAGTGCAGTGGCGTGATCACGGCTCACTGCAAGCTCCGCCTCCCAGGTTCACGCCATTCTCCTGCCTCAGCCTCCCAAGTAGCTGAGACTACAGGCGCCCGCCACCACACCCGGCTAATTTTTTTTTTTTTTTTTTTTTTTTTTTGTATTTTTAGTAGAAACGGGGTTTCACCGTATTAGCCAGGCTGGTCACGAACTCCTGACCTTGTGATCTACCTGCCTCTGCCTCCCAAAGTGCTGGGATTACAGTTGTGAGCCACCGCGCCCGGCCTTAGAGGAGGTTTTCAACTAAAGAAGGTGTGTTTCAAAAGCTTGTGCTTGATCCTGATTTTTAGCCTCAGGGATCAGCACGCATTTAGATAAATAATTTCTTATCTTCATGAATGGAATTTTCTAGTAAAATACTCACTTAAAGATTCTTTATGAAAATGGTTGTTATCAAATGTATTTCTGATTTTAAATGTTGTGATAACTTAGATTCAATCTCTGTAATAAGACAATTTATATCAACAATCCCTAGGAGAGTCTTGTGAGCAGCCGTGATTCTGTATAGGTCTGCAGCAACTCGATTCTTGCCTCCTCAGAGGAAATAATTAGTCTAAGAGTCAAGGCAGAGTGAGAGACCAAGGCACGTTTTAGAGCAGGAATGGAAGTTTATTAAAAAGCTTTAGAGCAGGGGCCAGGCGTGGTGGCTCACACCTGTAATCCCAGCACTTTGGGAGGCCGAGGCAGGCGGATCATTTGAGGCCAGACTAGCCAGACTAGCCTGGCCAACATGGTGAGACCCCCCAACACTACTAAAAAACACAAAAATTAGCTGGGCGTTGTGGTGTGTGTCTTTAATCCCAGCTACTCCGAAGGCTGAGGCAGGAGAATTGCTTAAACCCGGAAGGCAGAGGCTGCAATGAGCCAACATCATGCCATTTCACTCCAGCCTGGACGACAGAGTGAGGTTCTGTCTCAAATTTTTTTTGAAAAAAAAAGAAAAGCTTTAGAGCAGTAAAAAAAAGTAAAGTACACTTGGAAGAGGACCAAGCAGGTGACTTCAGAGATCCAAATGGAGTTTTGAGTCTCTCCTCCCTTGATTATTCCTTGGGGTGGACTGTCCGCGTGCGCAGTGCCTGCCAGCACTTGGGAGGGGTCGCATGCGCAGTGTGTTTACTGAAGTTGTGCACATGCTCATTTGAGGCATTTTTGCCCTTACCAGTCCAGGCTTCCTGGAGGGATGTCATATACCAGTTAAACTCCGCCATTTTGCATCTTAGTGTGCATGGGTGAGCACACTCACTCAGCTCCTAAGATCTTATTGGGAAGCTGCTGATAACCAGCTTCAGGTGTTTTGTATCTATTGGGAGACCGCCTTTCCCTGGTGCTAGCTGTGACCAGTTATTATTTTAGACGGAGAGTTTAAAAAGCGCCTGACCATCACCAGATGGTTGCCTAAGGTTCCTTAGGGAGAGCCCTCTCCTGTGGTGTTCATGTTTGCCTGCCCACCTACTCTAACAGTCTAATTTGAAGAAGTTAAGAGTTCATTGTTCAACAGGGTAGTCACCAGCCACATGCGGCTATTGGATACATGAAATGTGGCTAGTGACACACTGAAATAATATTTTAAATATATTGATTAAAATATATTATTTTTAAAAAATTTTTAAGATCTCATGTAAGCCAGATGTTTGAAAATAAATTTTTCAAGGAAGCAGTGTTATACAGGCTGGTTAAATTCCCAGTTCTCACAAATTTCTTTAAACCAGGATGCATAGCCTTGCACAGTATTATGATATAATAGCTGTCATTCATACCATTGCTTCTCTGGGACATTGTTTTTTAACTTGGGATGCCCTGATTGGAATTCCTCTGCCCCTCTCCAGATGAGGAGCAGGCAAAGGGAAAGACTAGGACTAAAAGGCCCAGCAAGAAAGAGAACAGAGCAGGGTAGGACAACTTGCTAACCACATGTGTCTGCATAGAAGGCTTTACTTTAGGTCAGTGTCCCCTTCAGTGTTCTCTACTGAGACAAAAGGTAAAGTTTATTTAACCCAAGAGGTGAGCTGACCAATGGGCTAGAAAGATGAAGAAAGGGGCCGGGCACGGTGGCTCACGCCTATAATCCCAGCACTTAAGGAGGCCAAGGGGGGCGGATCAACTGAGGTCAGGAGTTCAAGACCACCCTGGCCAACATGATGAAACCCCGTCTCTACTAAAAAATATAAAAATTAGCCAGGTGTGGTGGTGGGTACCTGTAATCCCAGCTACCCAGGAGGCTGAGGCAGGAGAATTGCTTGAACCTGGGAGGCGGAGGTTGCAGCGAGCCGAGATCATGCCACTGCACTCCAGCCTGGTGCAGAGCGAGACTCCTGTCTCAAAAAAAAAAGGAAAAAAGGCCACTGTTGACCTACAAGAGCTCCAACTGGGGTGAGGAAGGG
Source organism: Homo sapiens (assembly GCF_000001405.40). Classification (NCBI taxonomy): domain Eukaryota; kingdom Metazoa; phylum Chordata; class Mammalia; order Primates; family Hominidae; genus Homo; species Homo sapiens. The sequence continues at coordinate 107,784,243 of NC_000011.10, forward strand.
CAGGTGGATAAACCACAAGCACTGTGGTAAGTGCTAAAAGGAAGATATGAGCAAAGACTATGGAAGCTTAAAGGCGGGTGGGACCCAGGCTGAGAAAGGGTTCCTAAGAGACTACATTTGAGATCAACCTTGATGGACAGATGAGATTTTTGTCACCTGAGATTCTCTACTTCACCATTACACCATTATCCCTATAGAGATAGAGTTTTATTTTTAAATTTTATTTTATTTTATTTTTGACACAGGGTCTTGCTGTCACCTAGGCTGGAGTGCAGTGGTGGCAATCATAGCTCACTGCAACCTCAAATGTCTGGGCTCAAGTGAGCCTCCTATCTCAACCTCCTGAGTGAGCTGGGACTACAGATGCATGCCACCATGCCTGACTAATTTTTTTTTCTTCTTTTTTGTACAGACAAGGTATCACTGTGTTGGCTGACCTTGAACTTCTGGCCTCCTGGCCTCAAGTGATCCTCCCGCCTTGGCCTCCCAAAGGGCTGGGTTTAAAGGTGTGAGCCACCACACCAAGCCCAGGTTTATTATTAAGCAAAATATTTTAGGAAATGTGTGCTCAGAGATCCCTGGCCTCCACCCCTGGAGACTGACTCAGTAGTTCTGGGATAGGGCTTGATAATCTCTATTTTTAAAAGCATCTCCAGTGTTTCTGACATTCTGCTAAGTGAGAATTAGTAATGAACTAGGAATCCAGTAATGAACTAAGAATCCATTTTCGTTTGGCATAAAACTCAGACAAATCACATCGCTTTCCTGTGCCTTCCCTTATTTATCTTTAAAAAGGGAATTGGGCTAGATGATAATTAAAGTGAGAGGTCAAGGTTTTCAAATTCCTTGATTATTTACATTATTGGGAAAGTTGAAACTACTTGTACACAACTCATAACGTCCAACAGTAGGCGGAGAGATATCCTTCTTAGAGTAATAGAGAAGTAGAATGTACAATTGAAACACTGGTTGCCTAAAGCAGGGGAGATAAAATTATGAACGGCTGGCTTACACACATTCACGAGTGTGTGCTCACACTCAAAATGAGTGGAACTAGAATCTCCCGCACTAGATTTTTTTTTCTCCTTCTGGTTGATCTGGGGAAGGGGGGCTGGCGAGGATGTTGGTAATGACTATACAATTCTTGCCAAGGGAGGGATACACTGGTATAATGACTATAATTTTTTCTTTCTTCCCCAGATTGTAACCGCCCAGTGGGTTCACCTTGCCTGTTGCCTAGAGAGAGCTGATTTATCAAAACAGGAGAATTGCAATAGAGAAAGAGCAATTCACGCAGACCCAGCTGTGTGGGAGAGTAGAGTTTTATTATTACTCAAATCAGTCTCCCCAAGCATTCGGGAGGACAACTTGGTGGGTGGGGAGAAGCCAGTGAGCCGTGAGTGCTAGTTGATTAGGTAAGAGATGAAATCATAGGGAATTGAAGCTGTCCTCTTGCACTGAGTCTGTTCCGGGGTGAGGGCCACAGATCAGATGAGCCAGTTAGTCACTCTGGGTGGTGCCAGCTGATCCATCAAGTGCAGGGTCTGCAAAATATCTCAAGCACTGATCATAGGAGCAGCTTAGAAAGGGTCAGAATCTTGTAGCCTCCAGCTGCATGACTCCTAAACCATAATTTCTTATCTTGTGGCCGATGTTAGTAGTCCAGTCCCCAGGCAAGGAGGCTTCTTTTGGGGAAAGGGCTGTTAGCAATTTTGTTTTATTTTTATTTTTTGAGACAAAGTCGCATTCTGTCACCCAGGCTGGAGTGCAATGGTGAGATCTTGGCTCACTGCAACCTCTGCGCCTCTTGGGTTCAAGCGATTCTCCTGCCTCAGCCTCCCAAGTAGCTGGGATTATAGGCACCCACCACCATGCCCTGCTAATTTTAGTATTTTAGTAGAGACAGGATTTCACCATGTTGGCCAGGCTGGTCTTGAAATCCCAACCTCAGTTGATCTGCCCGCCTTTGCCTGCTGAAGTGCTGGGATTACAGGTGTGAGCCACCATGCCCAGCCTCATCTTTGTTTTAAACTATAGCCTATAAACTAAGTTCCTCCCAAAGTTAGTTCAGCCTATGCCCAGGAATAAACAAAGACAGCTTGGAGGTTAGAAGCAAGATAGAGTTGGTTAGGTTAGAGTTCTTTCATTGTCTCAGTTATAATTTTGCAAAGGTGGTTTCAAAATCACCTCAAAAAAAAACTTTTTTTTGTTTTGAAATGGAGTCTTGCTCTGTGGCCCAGGCTGGAGTACAGTGGCACCATCTCAGCTCACTGCAAACTCCGCCTCCCAGGTTCACGCCATTCTCCTGCCTCAGCCTCCCAAGTAGCTGCGGCTACAGGCACCTGCCACCACGCCCAGCTAATTTTTTTGTATTATTAGTAGAGACAAGGTTTCACTGTGTTAGCCAGGATGGTCTCAATCTCCTGACCTCGTGATCCACCTGCCTCGGCCTCCCAAAGTGCTGGGATTACAGGTGTGAGCCACCACGCCTGGCCAAAAAAAATTTTTTTTCTCTCCACTACCTAATGCAGTGGTCCTAGGACCAGGGCTGTAACTACAAGTGCTGCAAGCAGGAATTATTTCTAAGCAGGAAACTGTCACTATGTTTTTAAACTTTGTCAGAATTCCTAAGGGACCGATGAGGGGTTGGTTGTGCCTTCACCCCATCTGGAAAAATTGGGATTAAGAATAAATACAGGCTGGGTGCGGTGGTTCAGGCCTGTAATCCCAGTACTTTGGGAGGCTGAGGTGGGTGGATCACCTGAGGTCAGGAGTTCGAGACCAGCCTGGCCAACATGATAAAACCCCGTCTCTACTAAAAAAAATACAAAAATTAACCAGGCACGGTGGTGTGTGCCTGTAGTCCCAGCTACTCAGGAGGCTGAGGCAGGAGAATCGCTTGAACCTGGGAGGCAGAGGTTGCAGTGAGCTGAGATCACACCATTGCACTCCAGCCTGGGTGACAGAGCGAGCAAGACTCTGTCTAAAAAAAAAAAAAAAAAAGGCTCACTAGTTCAGATCCTATGTGACCCTTCCTTCTATGAATGGGCGTGGACTGAGGGGGAGGCACTCGCTAGACAGGTATTGCTACCAGCGACATGAATCAGCACAGTGGCCAAACCTAATGTCCCTTCCAAAAGTGGAAAAATTGGGGTAAAATTAAATGACAAATGGAAAAAAGGAGGAATAGCCAAGAATAAATAAATGAAAAAGTGCGTTATAAATTGAGGAAAATCCAATATCATATTAATGACTCTAAAGAGACTCAGAGCAAAAGATGACACTGTCTCTTAACTCGATGATCCCAGATGCCTGAAAGGGCGAAGCAGTGTGCCTGCCGAGACCACTCCTGCTTTTGGAGTCTGACAAGATTAAAAGGAAGCTTGCAAACTTGAGTGGCCTCTGCCTGGGAGACAGTCACACAATATGATGGACTAAAGTAATTATTAAAGATTCTGTATATTTGTTTTGCTGTAAGGGATCCATGGTTGAAAACCAGAGGTGGCCTATGGTGTCATGATATATATTAGTTTGCATACAGTTCCTGGTTCCTAACTCCCATAGCCTCATTACAGTCTTTTGTTATGTTGGGTTAGGCCTCAGGAAACAGAATTTTCTCCTGCCCTCCTTTCACCTGCCCCGAGCCAGGACTTGCCCGCTTTTCTGATTGTGGGTCTTCAGACCCTCCCCAGAGTGAGTCCCGCCCTATACCCTGGGGGAAGGAATGCTGAATCAGGAAACTTCCATAAAAACACAAGAGGGCCAGGCGCAGTGGCTCACACCTATAATCCCAGCACTTTGGGAGGCCAAGGCGGACAGTTCACTGGAGTGCAGGAGTTTGAGACCAGCCTGGCTAACATGGTGAAAACCAAAAATACCAAAAAAAAAAAAAAAAAAAAAGTTGGGCATGGTGGTTCACGCCTGAGGCTGAGGCACAAGAATTCCTTGAACCCAGGAGGCAGAGGTTGCAGTGAGCTGAGATCGTGCCACTGCACTCCAGCCTGGGTGACAGAGCCAGACTTCCCTCAACAAAACAAATCCAAGAGAAGTGAGTTTGGGGAGCTTCTGGATAGCTGAAGCCATGAAGGTTCCTGGAAAGTGGTGTGCCCAGGGAGAGCATGGAAGCCCCTTGCCCCTTCCCCCATGCTTTGCCCTACACATCTCTTCATCTGTATCCTTTAAAATACTTAGACACGATAAACATTCAATATCTGTTTAGTGAGGAGGGACACAAATCATATTAGTTGTAAGGGGTGACTTCAGGTTTCTCTTAGAACACTCAGACTCAAGTGAGTAACTCAATTATGTTAAAACATTAACCTTCACTTGTGGTGTATTTTCTAGTATAATACATACATCAAAAATTATTCTCTAAAAATGTTTAATTTTATGTTTTGAATATATAAACAAAGCATATCTCTAAAAGTTAACAGAGATGGCCGGGCATGGTGACTCACACCTGTAATCCCAGCACTTTGGGAGGCCGAGGTGGGCAGATCACGAGGTCACGAGTTTGAGCCCAGCCTGACCAATATGGCGAAACCCCGTCTCTACTAAAAATAAAAAACTTAGCCAGACGTGGTGGCGCATCCCTGTAGTCTCAGCTTCTTGGGAGCCTGAGACAGGAGAATCGTTTGAACCCGGGAGGCAGAGGTTGCAGTGAGCCAAGATCAGGACACTGCATCTCTCAAAAAACAAAAAAAGTCAACACAGATAAGTTGAGATTTGGATGGTTTCCTAGGGTTCAAAAAATGCTATCTCCTTTTTCTTTTTCTTTTTTTTTTTTTTTTTGAGACAGGGTCTGTTGCCCAGGCTGGAGTGCAGTGGCATGATCTCGGCTCACTGGGGCCTGGACCTCCCAGGCTCAAGTGATCCTCCAGCTTCGGCCTCCAGAGCAGATGGGACTACAGGTGCATGCCACCACACCCAGCTAATTTTTGTGTTTTTTAGAGACAGGGTTTCAGCATGTTAACCCAGCTGGTCTCCAACTCGTAGCCTCAAGTAATCTGCCTGCCTCAGTTTCCCAAAGTGCTGAGAAACAGGACTAGCTGGATTTCCTTGGCTAAGAATTCCTAAGCCTAGCTGGGGAAGGTGACCTCACCCACCTTTAAACACAGGGCTAGTAACTCAGCTCACACCCAATCAGGTAGTAAAAAGGGCTCACTAAAATACAAATTAGGCTAAAAGTAGGCAGTAAAGAAATAGTCAAATCATATATCGCCTGAGAGCATGGGGAGGGGACAATGATCGGGATATAAACCCAGGCATTCGAACCGGATCGGGCAACCCCCTTTGGGTCCCCTCCCATTGTATGGGAGCTCTGTTTTCACTCTATTAAATCTTGCAGCTACACTTCTTGTCCGTGTTTGTTACGGCTCCAGCCGAGCCGTCCACCACTGCTGTTTGCTGCCGTTGCAGACCCACCATTGACTTCCACCCCTCCGGATCTGGCAGAGTGTCCACTGTGCTCCTGATCCAGCGAGGCGCCCATTGCTGCTCCTGATCAGGCTAAAGGCTCGCCATTGTTTCTGCATGACTAAGTGCCCAGGTTCATCCTAATCGAACTGAACACTAGTTGCTGGTTTCCACGGTTCTCTTCCGTGACCCACGGCTTCTAATAGAGCTTAACACTCACCACATGGCCCAAGGTTCCATTCCTTGGAATCCACTGAGGCCAAGAACCCCAGGTCAGAGAACAAAAGGCTTGCTGCCATCTTGGGTGTGGCCTGCCCCATCTTGGGAGCGGCCCACCACCATCTTGGGAGCTCTAAGAACAAAGACCTGCACGTAACAGTGCTGGGATTACAGGCTTGAGCCAGTGCACCCGGCCTACTTCCTTTTTCTAAAGTCCATCCTGGTGTATATGTATCCTAAACACCCAAATATGTAACCAAAGACTTTGTGAATGACCCTGCTCACCAAACAGCAACCTTGCAGGATCAGCAACTGCAGTTCTGACTGCGGCTGTCGCTGGTGTAAATAAAATGAAACAATGAGCAAAATAGCACAAATTTAAAACTAAACCATCAGTGTGCTAATCAAACTGAAAGTCTTCCTAAAAGAGCCAAACATTTTAACATAACCTTTCCCACTCTCATAGTTGTTAATGTTAGGGAGCAAAAACCAAACATCGATTGAAAAGGCAGTTTTAATTGGTTGCAGAAAATGAAAGGTTACTTCACTCAAAAAAGTAAAAAAAAACTCATTGTGGTAATTCAGAATTGGAAAATGTTTATTCCTGCAAATGATCGGTAAGCTTGCTCTGAATTCCCTGGAATCCCAGCATAGTCCCCAAATAGACAGGCTTGCCTCACCCCACAGAGGATACGACTCTGAAAAATTGAATATGAAGAAATACTGAATATGTCAAGTCATTCAAAATCCACAAGGAGGCCAGGCGTGGTGGCTCATGCCTGTAATCCCAGCACTTTGGGAGGCTGAGGTGGGTGGATCACTTGAGGTCAGTTCGAGACCAGCCTGGCCAACATGGTGATACCCTACTAAAAATACAAAAATTAGCTGGGCATGGTGGTGCATACCTGTAGTCCAGGTAGGAGAATTGCTGAACCCAGGAGGCAGAGGTTGCAGTGAGCTGAGATGGCACCACTGCACTCCAGCCTGGGCGACAGGACAAGACTCAAACAAAAAAAAAAGAAGAAAAAAAAATCCACAAGGGTTTTGAAGGACGGCTTTACTGGAAAAAAAATCCACAAGGGGAAATGGTTAATCAAAGAAACCACACAGTTGATGTATTTCCATGAATTCAAAGCCTTTTAATGATGTGAACACTTACTCCCCATTTCTTTTTTACATTGTTACAAAAAATTTACATACAGTTTTCTGAAAGTGGCATTTTGTTGGTTGTTATTATACTGATGACACATATTAACACTTTGTATTGAAGAAGTATCATAAAAATCACAGGGCATTACAGATTTTTGATAAGAAGTAGTAATAGCATTGTCTTTTAACAGCTGGAGGCTCCCAGGCATACTCTTTGGTGAGAAATGATTAATTTTATATTTTCATTTTGATGAGAATCTTTTCTTGTTTTTACCAGTTATAAAAACAAAGCTTTTTCTTTGTTGTGATACTGTGCACTAAGACTTAGTTTCTTGAGCTGATGCTAAATAAAATGAGATCAATAGGAATATTCCAGGAGGTCGTGAGAAGTTTTTAGAAAGGATGGCATCTACATATATATGGAGCTCTGAAAACTGTTGGAGAGTATGACCTGGGACTGAAACTGTGGAGCACATAGCCAGTGTCACAGGCTCCGAGAGCAGAGAGAGTTTGCTCTGGGACCTGGAATGAGTGATGGAGAAATGTTTTAAACAAACAAACAAACAGGCCAGGCACAGTGGTTCACATCTGTAATCCTAGCACTTTCGGAGGCCGAGGTGGGCAGATCGCTTTAGCTCAGGAATTTGAGATTAGCCTGGGCAACATGGCGAAACCCCATCTCTCTACAAAAACAAACAAAACAGGCCTGGCACGGTGGCTCAAGCCTGTAATCCCAGCACTTTGGGAGGTCGGGGCAGGCAGATCACTTGAGGTCGGGAGGTCAAGACCAGCCTGGGCAACATGGTGAAACCCCATGTCTACTAAAAATACAAAACTTAGCTGGGCGTGGGGCCACATGCTTTTGTAATCCCAGCTACTAACACTTGAATCCAGGAGGCAGAGGTTACAGTAAGCTGAGCTTGCACCACTGCACTCTAGACTCTGCATCTCAAACAAACAAAAAAACAATTGTGGGAAGGTTCCTAGGTTTACTGCACTCCAGTTTAATGCTTGTATAGTACTCACACTTATATCTCAAGACTTTTCAAGGGCTGACCCACCCGTTTTCTGCCACATGCAGTCAGCCCCAAGGCCTCATCTGTACCCAAAGGCCTGTGGACAATAACTGCCTCAGCAAAAAAAAAAAAAAAAAAAAACCTTGAAGCATCTGACAGAGGAAACGTACTCCAGAGCCACCGTGAGCTGCCCCTGTTCCTGACCACCAAGCCCAGCCTGGACAGCCTGCTTTCCCGCCCTGGCCTGAGGCTGGCTCAGTCCTGGATCTCTCCCCAGTCCTGCTTTCCCACTGGTGCCTCTAAGACCCCAGTGTGGAGTCTGCACCTCATCTCCTCAACACGAACAGATATTGGTCCTCAAACACAGAAACACACTCTTAGCTTGGTTTCTGCTCTATTTTGGTATTTCTACTTTTGAACTTTGTTCAGTGTTCCTTTCTAAAACCTAACCACTGGATCCAACCCAGGGTTGTAGAGTGTCCATTCTGAGTCTGCTATTTCCCCAAGTGTCCCCTCAGCAGGCAGCAGGCTCTGCTTTATCCTGGTGGGGGATGGGTGCGCCATCTTCTCCAGCTACAAGACAGCAGAGTGGGTCTCCTGGAGGTTCTCCTCCAGCTTCAGCCCCAGGTTGTCAATCCCAATGCTGGTGACTGGAGGCACGCTGCTTTCAGCCGGCTCGGCCGTGCGAGTAGGGGTGGAGCAGTACAGGATAAACCCCACCATGATGACAGTGAAGGACAGGATGTAGAGTCCTGAAAACTAGAAGGGAAGAACAGGCAGTGAATTGTGCCCCTCACATACACATCTTTGCTGCTGGCTTTTGCCAACTGTGCTTCGAGGATTACCCTCTCATAATCTTTTTATTTTCTTTCTTTCTTTCTTTCTTTCTTTTTAAGACAGGGTCTCGCTCTGTGGCCCAGGCTGGAGTGCAGTGGCACAATCTCGGCTCACTGCAACCTCCACCTCCCAGGCTCCAGTGATCCTCCCGCCTCAACCTCCAGAGTAGCTGACACCACAGGCACTCACCACCACACCCGGCCAATTTTTGTGTTTTCTGTAGAGACGGGGTTTTTCCATGTTGCCCAGGATGGTCTCGAACACCTGAGCTCAAGCAATCCGCCCGCCTCAGGCTCCCAAAGTGCGGGGGATTACAGGCGTGGGCCGCCATGCCTGGCCTCATGATCTTTTTTCTGAAAGTTACCTAAGGAGATGCTAATGCACAAAACCTTCCCATGTATGCTGGTGAATGATGGGACTCTGCCAACAGCACCCGGCACATAAGCCACCTGGATCCTTGGATCTTTAGGAGAAATGGACCTTTGCTTTTCTCTGTCATAATCCAGCTACACCCCACTCTGCATATAGTCCCACTTAGTGGAGAAAATAAAAGGTCATCATGGATACCACAGAGAGCCCCATTCAGACCCTAGACACTGCTTACAATATTGGTATGAAGCAGAGGAACGTAAGACTATGATGAAATGTGGAAGTACAGAAGGGGCATCTGCTCAACAGCCTCTCAATGTGTGCTATTCAATGAAATTCATTTTGCTAAAATTTAATACATTATCTTGTCTCTGTGGGCAAGTATTACATAGTAAAATTTATGGTGGACTGAGCAGATTCAGAATTGTAGAGCTAGAAAGAGCCTAAGATACTAGAAGAGTCCAAAGCCCAAAGAGGTGACTGAGTGTAAGGTCCGGTGAGGACAATCATAGGAAACAGAGCCCTGTGAGAGGCATCTCATACACTCTCTGTTCCCAGAAGGACCAAAAAGAGCAGGAGCCCATTCTGACAGAAATTTTAAAAGTATGGATGGAGTTTTTGGTGACCTTCCCCAACTTTCCCCTTCCTAAGACTGAAAACCACCACCCAGAGCAAAATGCAATGAGGAAAGAACACTAATTCATTGGGTATATATATGGAAAAATGATATACCCCAAAAGTCTAAATAAATTCTATTAAGAATTTTGTATATTTCCTCTTGAGTTGAAAATCCATACAAAAGTTGAAGTATTAAAGAAATCAGTCTGTATTTTTTCTTTTTTTTTTTTTTTTAGACAGAGTTTTGCTCTGTCTCCCAGGCTGGAGTGCAATGGCGCAATCTTGGCTCACTGCAACCTCTGCCTCCCGGGTTCAAGCGATTCTTCTGCCTCAGCCTCCCGAGTAGCTGGGACTACAAGCATGCACCACCATGCCTGGCTAATTTTTGTATATTTGGTAGAGACGGGGTTTCACCATGTTGGCCAGGCTGGTCTCGAACACCAGACCTTGTGATCCGCTCGCCTTGGCCTCCCAAAGTGCTGGGATTACAGGCGTGAGCTACCACGCCTGGCCATCAGTATGTATGTTTAGCAGCATGATAAAGCACAGAAAGAGAGTGGCTAAAGACTGACCAAGAATGGTGTACTAAAAATTAGAGAAACTATGTACTGTAACTAATGTGTAATCAAATACCCAGGGCCTTATTTTTCCTTTCAACTGGAAAAGCAAACTCAACTTATGATTAATCCTGCTAACCTGATTTTAAAATTAGGAATGGAGTAGCTAACATCATACTGAATGGGGAAAATATAAAAGCCTTACTTTTAAGAACTGGAAAAAAACAAGGATGCCCACTTTCACCACTCCTATTCAACATAGTACTGGAAGTCCTAGCCAGAGCAATTAGGCAAGAAAAAGAAATAAGAGGCATCCAAATTAGAAAAGAAGAAGTTAAATTATCCCTCTCTGTAGATGACATGATCTTATATCCAGAAAAACCTAAAGATGCCACAAAATAGCTCTTAGATCTGATCAATAAATTAGGTAAAGTTGTAGGATACAAAATCAACATATAAAAATCAGTAGCCTTTCTATACACTAATAATGAACTAGCTGAGATAGAAACCAAGAAGGCAATCCCATTTACAACAGCTACACAAAATAAAATAGGACTAAATTTAACCAAGGAGGTGAAAGACCTCTATAAGGAAAGCTACAAAACCCTGATGAAAGAAATTGAAGATGACACAAATGGAAACACCCATGCTTATGGACTGGAAGGATTAATCTCATTAAAATGAGCATACTGCCCAAAGCAATCTATAAATTCAGTGCAATCCCTATCAAAATATCAATGTTATTTTTCACATAAACAGAAAACACAATCCTAAAATTCATATGGAACCACAAAAGGGCCCAAATAGCCAAAGCAATGCTGGGCAACCAAAACAGCATGGTATTAGTATAAAATGAAAATGAACTCCTATCTCTCACCATATAAAAAAATCAACTCAAGGTGGGATTAAAGACTTAAATATAAGACCCAAAACTATAAAGCTACTAGAAGAAAACACAGGGAAACACTTTAGGACATTGGTCTAGACAAAGATTTTATGGCTAACATCTCAAAAGCACAGGTAACAAAAACAAAAATAGACAAATGGGACTATATTAAACTAAAAAGTTTCTGCACAGCAAAGAAGACAATCAACAGAGTGAAAAGATAACCTCCTGAATGGGAGAAAATATCTGCAAACTATTAATCCAACAAGGGACTAATAACCAGAGTATACAAGTAACTCAAATGACTAAAGAGTGAAAAACAAATAATCCTATTAAAAAGTGGGCGAAGGACATGAATAAACATTCACCAAAAGAAGACATAAATGGCCAACAGGTATATGAAAAAATGTTCAACATCACTAATCATCAGGAAAGTGCAAATCAAAGCCACAATAAGATATCATCTTACCTCAGTTAGAATGGCTATTATTAAAAAGTCAAAAAATAACATGCTGGCAAGGATGTATAGAAAAGGAACTCTTAGGCCAGGTGCGGTGGCCCACGCCTGTAATCCTAGCACTTTGGGAGGCTGAGGCGGGTGGATCACCTGAGGTCAAGAGTTCGAGACCAGCCTGGCCAAGATGGTGAAACCTCATCTCTACTAAAAATACAAAAACTAGCTGGGTGTGGTGGTGGCACCTATCCAGCTACTCGGGAGGCTGAGGCAGGAGAATCACTTGAACCCAGGAGGCGGAGGTTGCAGTGAGCCGAGATCATGCCACTGCACTCCAGCCTGGGCAACAGAGCAAAAACTCCATCTCAAGAAAAGAAAAAGAAAAGGGAACTCTTAAATACTGCTGGTGGGAATGTAAATTAGTATAGTAGAGCCACTATGGAAAACAGTACGGAGATTCTCAAAAAACTAAAAATAGAACTACTATACAATCCAGCAATCCCACTACTGGGTATTTATCCAAAGGAAAAGAAATCAGTATATCAAAGGGAGATACCTGCACTCATCTGTTTATTGCAGCACTATTCACAATAGCAAAGATATGGAATCAACCTAACTGTCCGTCAGTGGACAAATGAATAACGAAAATATGATATATAAACACAATGGGATACTATTCAGCCACAAAAAAATGAAATCCTATTATTTGCAGCAACATGGATGGAACTAGAGGTCATTATGTTAAATGAAATAAGCTAGGGCACAGAAAGACAAATAGTGCATGTTTCACTCATATGTGAGAGCTTAAAAAGTCAATCTTGTGGAGGTAGAGCATAGAATGACAGATATCAGAGGCTGTGGAGGATGTGTGGATTGGGGGTGGGAGATAAAGAGAGGTTAGGTTTTTGTAGTGGTGGTTGTTTTGAGACAGGGTCTGGCTCTGTCACCCAGGCTGGAGTGCAGTAGTTCAATTTCAGCTCACTGCAACCTGTGCCTCCCAGGCTCAAGCAATCCTCCCACCTCAGCCTCCCAATTAGCTGGGACTACAGGTGTGCACCAACATACCCGTATAATTTTTGTATTTTTTTTTTGTAGAGACAGGGTTGTGCCATGTTGCCCAGGCTGGTCTCAAACTCTTGAGCTCAAGCAATCTGTGTGTCTTGGCCTCCCAAAGTGGTGGGATTACAGGCGTGAGCCACCATGCCCAGCCTAAGGGACGTTGTTTAATGGGTACAAACATTTAGTTAGATAGAAGGAATAAGTTCTAATGTTTGACAGCAGAGTAGGTTGACTACAGTTGAAATGATAAATACTCGAGGTGATGGACGTCTCAAATACTCTGACTTGTACACAGTCTATGCATGTAACAAAATGTCTTATGTATCCCATAAATATGTATAAATATTTGTATCAATAAAAAATTAAGAACGGGGCATTCTATTTTATTCACACCAATAAATAGTTTTAAATTAGCTTAAGTTTCATATTATGCCCAATAAAAAGTTCAAATAAGGAGATGACAGCAAAAAACAGTAAGAAAACAGAATGGGCTAGGGAAGGAGGGAAAAGGAAGAGAAAGAAGATGAGAAGGAAGGAGGGGGTGGAAGGAGTGAGACAGAGAGAGAAGAAAAAGCAAGCAAGCTAGCTTGGCACAGTGGTAGGCACCTGCAGTCCCAGCTACTCAGGAGGCTAAGGTGGGAGGATCACTTGAGCCCAGGAGTTTGAGGCCAACCTGGGCAACATAGTGAGACCCTATCGCTAAAAAGAAAATTAAAAATTAAAAAAAAGCAAGATACACTCCCAAAGGTAAAAGAAAAAACTAAGTAATTTTTTGAAATGAGTATTAAGTAGATTGCTGGTCACATCCAGCTGTGGGCTCCTTGGGTCACCAACAGCTTTAATGTGCTAACTTGTTATAGATGCTCAATTATTTCTTAACGTTAAACCTTAAGAATTCCTTAAGGAATGTAATAGCCACAGCCCTCCCCAAGACAGGAAAATGCTTCCTGGATTAAATGATAATGCAAAACCAATAATAATGTCAAGCTAAGCAGACAACTATAATTTCCTACCACTGATTTTCATTCTTGGATCTAATACATAGCACAGGGCCCAACACATAGCTGGTGTTTAATAAATGTTTGTTGAAAAAAATTGATTCAGAGAATATTAGGGGAAGTTAGAGCTGTTTGGAGTACTCTAAACTTTTTAAGTTGGTATTTTTTATTTTTTTTTGTTATTTTTATTTATTTATTTTTTGAGACAGAGTCTTGCTCTATCACCCAGGCTGGAGTGCAGTGGTGCAGTCTCAGCTCAGTGCAACCTCTACCTCCTGGGCTCAAGCAATTCTTGTGCCTCGGCCTCCCAAGTAACTGGGATTACAGGTGCCCGCCATCATGCCCAGCTAGTTTTTGTATTTTTAATAGAGATGGGGTTTCACCATGTTGGCCGGGCTCGTCTCAAACTCCTGAACTAAAGTGACCCACTCACCTCAGTCTCCCAAAGTGCTGGGATTACAGGTGTGAGCCACTTGCGCCCAGCCTTAAGTTGGTATTTTGAAAGGTAATCTTGCTGTCCCATAAAATGTTTACTGTTACCTGTGAAAACACCTATATAACTTGTTCAAAACCTGTTATATTTGGTTTGGTGGCTTTTAAATGTTCAGAAGAAAAACTATCATGTCTCTCTTAAGAAGGCAGGTGATTAAATGGAGTCACTTTTATTAGGATGGAGAGACTAATAAAGAGATTAAGTCTCCTGAATTAGAGGCGCTTACTTCTTTGTCTTGTAAAATTCTTTGTGTCTGGATCTATACAGGAAGTTTCTTGCGATTACTTTATTCAGCAAATATTCACTCAAGATCAATTTCAGGAGAGGCAGAGTGCTTAAGGGACACGGATGAGCGTAAAAAATTCTGAGCCTCTTTTTCAACTGTCTGCTTCAAAAAATTAGAGCCAAAGTTATTTTAGACACAGTTTTTAAAACTGGTAGTGTATCAAGCTTACAATCTGCCTTTAAAAACTACTTCTTGGCCAGGCTCAGTGGCTCATGCCCTGTGGTCCCAGCACTTTGGGAGGCAGAGGCAAGCGGATCACCTGAGGTCAGGAGTTCGAGACCAGCCTGGCCAACATAGTGAAACCCCGTCTCTACTAAAAATACACAAATTAGCCGGGTTTGGTGGCAGGTGCCTGTAATCCCAGCTACTCAGGAGGCTGAAGCACAAGAATTGCTTGAACCCAGACTGCAGGGGTGGCAGTGAGCTGAGATCACACCACTGCACTCCAGCCTGGGTGACAGAGCGAGACTCTGTCGCAAACAAAACAAACTACTTCTAAAGTGCTAGGTGTCTTCATTATGCTCTGAGTTTTTTCTACCTCTGTAATTTATTCTGAAGATTTCAGAAGACCTGCTCTTTGCTCTGTAAGTCTTGAAACATTTGACCAAAAATAGTAAAAATCTGATCTAAGAATGTACTATTAGACATTCAGGGACAAAGGAACACAAAATAACTGGAAAGGAATTTATCAACTGCATGCTCTGATTCTGAGAATAGTAGTTTAAAGTTATGTGGCCAAAAAATGACATAAGAAAGGGATTTTTCATTTTAAAGTTGAAAGCAGTTGAAGCCAAAGCCGGCCACCAACTGGCCTGCAACTGCTATATAGAAACACCAGCACCCCTAGTGGTGGCCAGATGAAATGCAGCCACGGCATCACAGAAAAACTTAAGGCTGACATTGTAGTCTATGACAATTTGGCTCTCAGAAAAAAATCTGCACCCATCAGGATGACTTCTCTGATTCACTTTGACTTTATTTATTTATTTTACTTTTTTTGTTTGTTTGTTTAGACGGAGTCTCACCCTGTCACCCAGGCTGGAGTGCAATGGCATGATCTCGGCTCACTGCAACCTCCACCTCCCGGGTTCAAGTAATTCTCCTGCTGGGACTACAGATGCACGCCACCACTCCAAGCTAATTTTTGTACTTGTAAAGACGGGGTTTCACCATGTTGGCCAGGATGGTCTCGATCTCTTGACCTCGTGATCTGCCCGCCTTGGCCTCCCAAAGTGCAGGCGTGAGCCCCTGTGCCCGGCACACTTTGGCTTTTTTTTTGTTTTTGTTTGTTTTTGTTTTTTTTTTTTTGAGACAGAGTCTTGCTCTGTTGCCCAGGCTGGAGTGCAGTGGCGTGATCTCGGCTTATTGCAAGCTCTGCCTCCCAGGTTCATGCCATTCTCCTGCCTCAGCCTCCTGAGCAGCTGGGATTACAGGCGTATGCCACCATGCCCGGCTAATTTTTTGTATTTTTAGTAGAGACAGGGTTTCACCGTGTTAGCCAGGATGGTCTCGATCTCCTGACCTCGTGATCCGCCCGCCTCGGCCTCCCAAGGTCCTGGGATTACAGGTATGAGCCACTGCGCCCGGCCTGGCTTTTTTTTAATGATGTTACTAGTAAGCTATAAATACTCCTTCAGTCTTAGTTCAGGAATACCTTAACCAGCAAGTCTGCAAAGATAACAGCTGGTTCCTTCACATGTAACCTTGCAAACCAAAGGTTTACACTCCTTAAGCAGAAATTTCTGAGAATCCACTGAGCTTAATGTATCAGTAATTCAGCTAAGTGTTGTGAGTTCATGGCCGACTTCTGGGAATAGCATAAATAAGGATTTGTCTGGATACAAAATTCTACAAGGACGAAGAAAGATAGTTAATAACCTCTACTGAAACTAAAATTATCAGGTAACAGCCAGCATTCTAACTATCTGCTCAAATGACTGTCAAGAAAATAGGAAGCAGGTCAACAATCCTTTACTGAAGGCACACTGAGAAAAGACAGGTCTCGCTCTGTCAGCCAGGCTGGAGTGCAGTGGTGTGATCAGATCATGGCTCACTGCAGCCTCGACCTCCCTGGCCCCAAGTGATCCTCCCACTTCAGTCTCTCTCTGGAGTGGCTGGGACTACAGGTGCACATTACCATATCTGGCTCATTATTTTTGTATTTTTTTGTAGGGATGGGGTTTTACCATGTTGTCCAGGCTGAAAAGAGGTATTTCTAAAGCAGGGGTTCTCAAAGTATAATCCAAAATCCTTGAGGGGACCTAAAACTCTGGGGAAGAATCTATACAGTGAAAGCTATTACTACTTTTTTTTTTTTTTTTTTTTTTGAGACGGAGTTGCTCGTTACCCAGGCTAAAATGCAATGGCACAATCTTGGTTCACTACAACCTCTGCCTCTCAGGTTCAAGCGATTCTCCTGCCTCGGCTTCCCGAGTAGCTGGGATTACAGGCATGTGCCACCACACCCTGCTAATTTTTGTATTTTTAGTGGAGAGGGGGGTTTCCCCATGTTGGCCATGGCTGGTCTCGAACCCTTGACTTCAGGTGATCCACCCTCCTCAGCTTCCCAAAGTGCTGGGATTACAAGTGTAAGCCATTGCACCTGGCCCTCAAAACTATCATTACTATAATACTAAAATGCTATTTGCCCATTTCGCTTTCATCGTCTTGCAAGTGCACAATGAAATGTTCTAGAAGCTACATGATATGTGATATCACAAGGCAGAAGGAAGAAGCAGATGTGAGAATCCAGGTGTTTTTTCTAGTAAGCCACAGAGTAAAGAGATTTTTTAAATATAAATCAATGAAATTCTTCTCACTATTTTTTTATTTTGAAAAATACATTTTTTCATAAAAATGATAACATGATGAATTTATTATTTTCTTAATGAGTTAATAAGTATTTTTTAATTTCTCAGTTTTCAGTTATAATATGGTAAATAATAGGTATAAATGACTGGGGTTCCCAATTTTTAAGCATTTAAAAGGGGCTTAAAATTTTAAAAAGAGTGATCAGCAAGCCCTGGATCTAAGAAAAAAAAAAAAATAGATGAGAACTGCTAAACTGCTGCCCTAGGAATTTTCAAATTAGCTGTGAAGTTGGAAAAAAAAAATCTATATACTTGGTTCTGTCTGATTATGAGACTTTAACATGATGCAATCATAAGCTTGAGACTCTTATCTTAATAATGAAATTAAGGTGGAAAGTGCAGTGGCAAGAAGCCTGGACTGATAGAAGACTGACAACTAAGACTTAATATTGGCTTTACCATTAACCAGCTGCTGACTAAGGGTAAGTCACTGAGCTACACATCACCTCCCTGGGCCTTTGTTTTTCCATGTCTAAAATAAATGGCTCCGCCAGGCATGGTGGCTCACACCTATAATCCCAGCACTTTGGGAGGCTGAGGCAGGCAGATCATCTGAGGTCAGGAGTTCAAGACCAGCCTGGCCAACATGGTGAAACCCCATCTCTACAAAAATACAAAAATTAGCCAGGAATGATGGAGGGTGCCTGTAATCCCAGCTACTCAGGAGGCTGAGGCAGGAGAATCACTTAAACCTGGGAAGCAGAGGTTGCAGTGAGCCGAGATCACACCATTGCACTCCAGCCTGGGCAACAGAGTGAGACTCCATCTCAAAAAAAATAAATAAATAATAAAATAAAATAAATAAAATGAATGGCTCAATCAATTCTCAAGGGAAGGTGTATCAGACTCTCTGAGGATGTTATTTTTTCAAACTCCATATTTGCTCTCTTGCTTCCCCTGAAGACACTGATATATTCCCTTCCACCCCACCTGCCTTGAGAATTAGTACAGGTAATAGGACCCATTGCTGATGGCAGCAGGTTACGCTTGTAAATGCTGTGATGATGTGGATAGAAAAAGTCTGAAAAACCACTGGACTGAATTACCTTTAAGATATAAAATTACTATCAAAGACAGAACCATTCCAATCATGCATGCATGATAAACTGGCCATCTCTCTTTCCTTTCCATCAGGTACTCCAGACTTTTTGTCTCTATACCAAGGCAAAAAGAATGAATGGAAAAGTTCCTAGTGCTCAGGTTAAGTTACACTGTCCCTCAAGGTCAACAGCAGCTCTGGGCCAGCTTGTTTATCACCTGAAAACATGCGTTAACAATTCCATAAGCTAGTGCCCTGGGCCATACCATCGAAGATGAAATCCATGTATTTCACTCTTTAGAAAAACCCTAGAAGGACAATTCTTACGTGAACCCATTTTGTAATTCAGAAGCAGCAAAGGGAGGCCTGACCAATGAAATTCTTGCCAAGAAGATGAGAAGGTTTTATTTTTTGATCTAGAGTCTTGAAGAAACCTGCTACGTTTTTTGGATCCAAGCAAGTATTCTTATTTGAACGTGATCTATTTGTTTACCTTATAGCCAAACAGAAAGAGTCCAACAAAAAGGCTGTAGAGGTCCGCTGTCAGGATGCCCAGGTTGACGGAAGTGGCACTAGTGACTTTAATCACCAATGGCATGAAGCTGTACAGGCAAAACATACACAGGGCAAATGCCACGAACAGCAGGGCTGTGGAAAAAAACATGGAATATCTAATATTAGGGCAAGAAAACATAAGACAAAGGAGTTTGAGGCTTAGCTGTCATATAAAACTCCCTAACCCTTTAACATATTATGTACAAAGCCCCTTGTTAACAGTCAGCATTGAAAATGAGACCATAAAGCTCTCTCGAAAAAAGAATATAAATAGCAAGTTGTGATGTAGATAAAGGACCTCAAAAAATCCAACAAGGTATTGGATGATCAAGGTCAGAAAATCCTGCTTATGGTGTGACAGTCCATTGCTCTTAATCACCCCTTGCTATGCACCCTGCCAGGACAGCGATGCCTGTGATAAAAGGCCAATAAAGGCAGAATCAACATCTCATGTCAAGAAAAATCACTCATTATGTTTTCTTTGCTTTTGTTTGGTTGGACATGATTTGTATAATTGGATTCAGAATAAAGTATCTTTAAAGACATCAAAGACAGTTATTAGGTCCATTGTATTTTGTTCATCTCATTAAATTAAGTGCTCCGAGGCAGCACAATATAATTATCCTTTTTAGGACAGTGCTTGCCACGTGGATGTTGACTACATTAGCAGTATCTCTGCTTTGCAACTACTTCTTTAATCTCATCCCATACTCAACACACACACACACACACACACACTTTCTAGCAATCTAAGTTATTTTTATTTTTATTTATTTTTTTTGAGACGGAGTCTCGCACTGTTGCCTGGGCTGGAGTGCAGTGGCGCAATCTCAGCTCACTGCAACCTCCGCCTCCCAGGTTCAAGTGATTCTCCTGTCTCAGCCTCCCGAGTAGCTGAGATTATAGGCGCCCGCCACCATGCCCGGATAATTTTTTTTTTTTTTTTTGTATTTTTAGTAGAGACAGGGTTTCTCCATGTTGGCCAGGCTGGTCTCGAACTCCTGACCTCATGATCCACCCACCTCAGCCTCCCAAAGTGCTGGGATTACGGGCGTGAGCCACCGCACCAGGCCTGCAATCTAAGTTATTTAATTGAATTAAATTACCAACCATGGTAGACAATCTTCCATGACACCTATGTACTGTTTAACTTCTCCCCACCCCATCATTAAACCAGGTTCCAATCTTTTCTGACTGTCCCATCACCATTTTCTTTTCCTTTATTTATTTATGCAGATGCCTAGGAATATCAGATGACAGGAGCAATGGGAGGTGAGGGAGATTTCACACCATTGATGATTCAGGTTAATGCTTCACAAATTATATCAAGCAGACAACCTTCGCAAGAAGTTTGAGGACCCAAGATACAGATCTAATTGAAAGCTGGTTTGACCAAAGGTCAATCTCCAGTCTTGTTCAGGATTCCTAGTAACCAAAGGCTATTCCTGCAGGTAAAGATTAAGAATTAACTTTTATGGAAGCTTATCTACCAATTTTCAGAGAAAACTCAATGTAAACCACTATAGTTGATATGTATTAAATCACTCCTGGATTTTACAAAGACGTCTAAATATTATTAAAATAAAGCACATATTTCTAGATGTTCATTTGTTTGTTAAAGAATGCTGACTAAAAGGAATTATTTCTTTACATACCAATTTTCCAGTCCCAATGAATGCTGGCAATATCCTTATATTCCACAATCAATCTAAGATTAAAACAAGAGGTCACAGAGAGGTCCACATACTAATTTTCACTATTTTATAAGCATTTTAGTCACTATACTTCAGCTAAAGTGAGGAATTACATGGACATTTGAATTTGTCTTAGAATATAAAAATAACGATCTTTAATAAAAATGACAAAGAATAAAACCAAAGGAGTTCATAAAGATATGTTTGACTCCCTTACAGGTGCTCTGAAATAATAGTCAAGTATAGGAGGAAAATATGATATTATGCTTTGTTTTTGAATAAGCTTAGGAAGTTAATGTGTTAATATTTTCTGGAAATAACTAAAAAAACTCCTTACTGGCAAATGCCTCTACCACATGGTAATCAGGAATCCTAAGCAACACACATGTTTAAGAAAATAGGAAGTAATTCTTGATGTTTTAACAATCCTCTAGTAGACACTCAGCAAGTTATTAGGTAATGGCAAAACCACAATTACTCTTGCATCCACCTAATACTAATTCCAAATGTGAATTTGGGCCAAATAAACAATGAATATTAGTAGTTATCATCTATAATATATTTGCTTATTTTGTCTTTAGAAAAAAATTGTAGAATCTTACAGCTGTATACCACTGATAATTGTTCCAAACAGGCCCACCATTCCTAAAAACTCCTGTCTGCTCAGCTTCTTCACGATGTATTCCTCACAAACATTTGAAATGGCATAGAGGGAAGCCCCAAGAAGGACCAAGATGTCACCAATCAATACATCACTCCCTGCAGGAAGACAAGCCACAGAAAGCAAAACACTGTCAACAGATGAACCTCCACAGCGTGCCTCCAGGCGGTCATCTGACTCGTGTTCATTTAAATGACACTAAAGAAGAAGAAACTGGTTACTAGAAGTTTATGTGTGAGAGTGTGTGTGTGTGTATGTGTGTGTGTGTATGTGTGTGTTTGAGACAGTCTTGCTCTGTTGCTCAGGCTGGAGTGCAGTGGCGCAATCTCAGCTCACTGCAACCTACACCTCCGGGTTCAAGTGATTCTCCTGCCTCAGCCTCCCAACTGGCTGGGATTACAGGCACCCTCCATCATGCCTGGCTAATTTTTGCATTTGTACTGGTCTTGAACTCCTGACCTCAAGTGATCCGCTCACCTTGGCCTCCCAAAGTACTGGGATTACAGGTGCGAGCGACTGTGCCTGGCCTAATTTTTGTATTTTTGGTAGAGACCGAGGTTTCACCATGTTGGCCAGGCTGGTCTCGAACTCCTGACCTCAGGTGATCCACCCACCTTGGCCTTCCAAAATGTTGGGATTACAGGTGTGAGCCACCGCACCCAACCTGGTTACTAGAAGTTTAAAATCTCTTACTCTTCTCACTTTCTGGTGCAATTCTGCTGTAATTTTTCATAATTTAACTCCTCAGAAGTCTAACAGGCTAGAAACTGATGATATATATCATAATGTAAGGCCTCAGAAAATGATTCCATGACATGACAAATTAATGGAGTTCATTGAAGGGGTAGGTCAATTTGAAAAATGGGAACCTGCTTTCAAAGTAATTTTCCCTCTCAATCCAAAGAGACACTTAACTCACTTGTAGACTGGGTGAATTCACAGACCTTAATTAGATTTTATACTATCAACTATAATTTTCTCTCTCAATCCAAAGAGACACTTAACTCACTTGTAGACTGGGTGAATTCATGGACCTTAATTAGATTTTATAGTATCAACTGTAATTTTCTCTCTCAATCCAAGGAGACGTTTAACTCACTTGAAGATTGGATGAATTCATAGACCTCAATTAGATTTTATACTATCAACTGAATTCAACACAAAGTGTGGCAAAGTGTTCTCACCTACACAGTGACTTAAAAAGAAATACTCCAGTAAACAAGTTTCTTTGTTGATATAAAAGTGAAAACATAAACAAATTTGCTGTGATTGAAGCACAAACATGTGACACCGTCTCACCTGAATTGTCTTCCCTCCCTGCTAGTATGTCTGCACCAACCATGGTTCCTACACCCAACAGACAGACAGCCACGGCGATGAAGTGGATCACTCTGTATCTTGCATGAAGAATAAACCATGACAGAGCCATCAACACAGGAATCCCAAAGCAATCCAAAAGCTGCATGGAAAGAGAATCAACAGTTTAAAACATATCTCTCATTAGCTAAAAGATGGGTAATTAAGAAATAATAGGAGTCAGTATTTATAATAGGAGTCAGTATTTATTGAGCATTTATTATTGCCAGCCCTGTACTAAGAGCTTTACCTGGATTCACTCATTTAATCCTCACAATTCCATGAGACTGAAATTACAATCCAATTTTATACATGAGAAAATGAAGATACAGAGAGGTGAAATGAGTTGCCAAAAACACATAGTTAAAAATGGGATGACAGCTGGGCACGGTGGCTCACGCCTGTAATCTTAGCACTTTGGGAGGCTGTGGCGGGCAGACTGCTTGAGTCCAGGAGTTCGATATCAGCCTGGGCAACATGGTGAAACCCTGTCTGTACAAAAAAAAAAAAAAACAACAACAAAAAAAAACCTTGGGTGTGGTGGTGCACTCCTGTAGTCCCAGCTACTTGGGAGGCTAAGGTGAGAGGATCACTTGAGCCCGGAGTTCAAGGATGCAGTGAGCTGTGATGGTGCCACTGCACTCTAGGCTGTACAACCCAGAGAGACCCTGTCTCAAAATAAATGAATAGATAATAAAATACAATGGAAGAGTCAGTTGCTGTATACAAGAATTCTGCTGAGGGCCTGTGCACTTTACCTCTATGCTCCCACCTGTGTATATCTTTTCTTTTATTTTATTATTATTATTTTTTTTTTGAGATGGAGTCTCGCTCTGTTGCCCAAGCTGGAGCGCAGTGGTGCAATCTCGGCTCACTGCAACCTCTGCCTCTCGGGTTTAAGCAATTCTTCCTGCCTCAGCCTCCCAAGGAGCTGGGATTACAGCCATCTGCCACCATGCCCAGCTAATTTTTGTATCTTTTAGTAGAGATGGGGTTTTGTCATGTTGGCAAGGCTGGTCTCGAACTCCTGATGTCAGGTGATCTGTCTGCCTCGGCCTCCCAAAGTGCTGGGATTACAGGCGTGAGCCACCACGCCTGGCCCTGTGTATATCTTTAAGTTCAGTAGACAAACATTCCTTCCTACCTGCAACCATTTACTCAGTCAACAAATATTTGTTAAACACCTTGCATGTGTGAGACACTGTGAAAGGAGCTAGGAATAGCGGTGAACAGGACAGAGCAAGCTGTGTCCTTAGGAGCACACAAAGCTAGAAAGGACATGGAATAAATAATCACACCACCAGATATTTCACTGGAATCGGGCTAAGCGCTACAAAGAAGCATGGGTTACTGTGAGAGAACAGACACCATCTCCCTGACAAAGCGTCCAACCCCACCATGTGAGACACACTCGTGCTCATGGCAAATACTCTTGCTCATCCTCCTCACATGCTCCCCCTCACCTGTTGATACTGGGTCCAGAAAACACTAGCTATACACCTGATATTGCTCATCTGGAAGGCAGAGGGATTAAGTGTGCCAAAATTACAGCAGGTCCAAAATTGTTTGCAAGATAAAAGATAAAAAAGAGAGTGCACTCACTCAATTCTTAAATTCACAAATTTAATGTGCATTCAAGGATAAAATATATTCAAGAGATTCTTGATGCATTCCAATGTATTTCTTTCAAGGAAGAAATATATTCCTTATACCAGTAATATTCCCGAAACTGCTGTTTTATTGCTCACCCTTTTGTTGTTTCAAACCTTGTCCCTGATTCTCTCTGTATCTGTTTGGTCTTGAACAAGACAGGCCCCTAAATCTCCAACAGCCCATTCGATCCTGTCCACAGTTGTTTACTGATTGCCTTTCACTGCAGTAGCATCAGTGGAGTCCAACGCATCATGTGTAGGAATGGGCATCTTGCCTTGTTATTTATTCCAGCTGCAGAACTCTAATCTCCTAAGTGCTTTATTGAGCCTGCCTGAATAACAAAACATTAAACGATGCAAATGATAATACCCTGTCCCTGAAGACACCAGCAGAATCCAGCCATAACGGCTTAACAAAATCTCAACTACATTCCTTAAACAAAAAAAGTAGAAAAAGACATTCTAAGAACTACCACAGAAGAGTCCCTTGTGTCTTAAAATCAAACTTAAATTTGCTCTATCTTTAACAACTTTTGTTGGGCAATGAGGGAGATGCCTATGTCATGATCAGAGCTCCAGAAACCTCAGGCCCCGGCCCCACGCTGACCAGCTAGCTGTGTGGCCCCAGCCAGTCACTCTCCAAGTCAAAATATAAAATAAAAAGATCAGACGAAATGATCACACAGTTTCCCTCCGACTCTAACATTCCATGACTTCTCATCTGATATCTATCACCTTTAGTCATGTGAACCTTCTTTTCAAAATGTATTCTTGGTGGCCGGGAGTGGTGGCTCATGCCTGTAATCCCAGCACTATGAGAGGCCAAGGCCGGAGGATCACTTGAGGTCAGGAGTTCGAGACCAGCCTGGCCAACATGGCAAAACCTCGTATCTACTCAAAATACAAAAAAAAAAAAAAAAAAAAAAATCAGCTGGGCGCATGCCTGTAATCCCAGCTACTCAGGAGGCCAAGGCTGCAGTGAACCAAGATTATCCCACTTCACTCCAGCTCGGTGACAGAATGAGACTCCACCTCAAAAAAAAAAAAAAAAAAAAAATTAGCCAAGTGTGGTGGCGCGTGCCTGTAATCCCAGCTGCTCAGGAGGCTAAGGCAGGAGAATCACTTGAACCTGGGAGGCGGAGGCTGCAGTGAGCCAAGATCATGCCATTGTACTCCAGCCTGGGTGACAGAGCAAGACTCCTTCTCAGAAAAAAAAAAAGTATTCTTGGTGATGGATGTCTTCTCTGTTTCAGTTCGAAGAGTATCAATTTTATTTTTAAAAATTATTGTATAGTCACAGTAAGCAGAGTACTAAGACAGACCCTGCGACATGGGTATAAAAACAAGTTAGATCATATTAGAGGTACAATAGAGTATAGAAGAGAAAATGAAAATTGAATTAACCTTTGACAATGAGGGGAGCAGGCTTCAAAAAGGACTGCATTCTAGGAAGAACAGAGCAGCACAGGGGAGAAGGAGCAGGCCATGAGTGGGAAATGGGTTGATGT
Source organism: Homo sapiens (assembly GCF_000001405.40). Classification (NCBI taxonomy): domain Eukaryota; kingdom Metazoa; phylum Chordata; class Mammalia; order Primates; family Hominidae; genus Homo; species Homo sapiens. The sequence continues at coordinate 107,809,934 of NC_000011.10, forward strand.
GGCAGTAAAGTGGGAAGGGACATGAGCAGCAACCTGGGCCACATCATCATCTTCACGTGAACTATCCCATGACTGTTGGTAATTACAGAACCTTCTAAGGAATCCTTAAGAAGAAGGTTCAAAGACCACCTAATCCAGATTTCCATCCTTTTGGACTACCCAGGCCAGAGATTTACTCAGTTGGAGAACCAGCTTGAATCATTCCTATCACAGCTGTCGCTGCTGCTGGAGAAAACATTACCTTGTTAGATGCCTTTTTTATAATATATTCTTTGCTAGGACCGTAAGTGCATGACTTTTGGCAACCAAATGCTTAGGTTTTTCTAAGAGGCTAGCGTGAAAGAAATTGTTTTCAATTTCTTTGAAATTGAAAGAAGGCATGAACTTCAGTCGCAACTATCCAACTGTAAGTGTTCTGTTTAACTGTGTTTAGGCCTTGCACCAATTCAAAACTTTTTATCATTAGTTAGAGATCAAAGTTCCTGGGAATTGTAATCAAGTAATTAAAATGTAGGTGAGATTATGAGAGTAGATGTGACAAGAAAATACCATTTTCTACATACTTATGTATACTTCATTAACCAACGCTAAAAGTACACTTACTCCTATTAGTGATAAACTTCATTCTCTAGGTAACTGCTGGGTTTAATTTTTACGAAACTTTAGGTTCTTTTTGTGCCTCCTATAGTGTCTGTCTTAATAAATCATTTCCTATCTCAGCTTTTTAACCCATACTGGTCAAAATCCAAGAGGTTTCCTGAGAACAATGCTTAGCACAATGTTACAGAAAAGAAAGTAGTTAATATAATGGTAGTAACATTTAATGTAGGTTCACACTGGAAAAATACTGAGTTCTCATCAATCCTTATATTTTCTATGCGAAATAAGTCTAATTTCAATTTTTCCAGTCCCTAAAATTTGGAGTCAAGTAAGAACATCTCTGTATTTTGTATAGTGAGAAAGGGACATATCAAAAAGTTATAAACTTCAAATCCCACATCTGATACACACTTTTTTTTATTATTTAAAAAAATGAAAAAAAAGTTATAAACAAACTGTGACATCTAAACCTGGCATTTGAGTCTATCTCACTTTCACCTCCACTTATAAAACATTTTGTAGTCAGTAATGGTGAGTCAGTGTTAGGAAACATCCCATAGTTTGCTAACATTAAGACAACTGAAATCAGTTGTCTTCAACTTTACAAAGTTGAAAACCTCTGCAATGTAGGAATATTTTTCTTTCAATGCAGCAAGAATAAACCTAACAAAGAAATAGGGATGGGAGTTTTAACTCTGGCTACCACCTCTCCCAAAAATGTCTACTGGGTTTCTTCCAATGGTTTCTTTGTCATGAATATCTACTATGCTTGCAAAGCTTCAACTTTCCTATAGAACAAAGGTATACTTTCATATGCCATGTTTGAGCAGCATATAAAACAGAACACGTGTCAACACCACAGCATCAACTGCCAACTAAATATTTATGCTTATTTGGTAGGAACTGTTCTAATCTGCCATAGCAGTTTGGGGGCAGCTTAAGTTGTATACATTTTCACTAATTCTAGGAAACATTACTCATTAGAGCATATGCTCTACTAGAAAACAGCATCCACCTGTGTTTAGGTTTTCTTCAAGTGAATAGATTTTCAATAAAATTAGGTCAACACATATGACTTCGTGTTCTTCTTTTGAAGCTATAAAATCCAAAGTGGTCAGAGGGCTCCCTCTTACCTGGACACTGGTTAGAGTTGTGTACTGGTAGGCTCTGACGATCACATAATTAGCTTCCACATCTGCTAGTCCCAGCAGGATGTACTTCCACCATTTTCTTTTCAAGATTACTAAAAGGTTATCACTGCCTGGTTGAAAGAAATATGGGTTAGTACATGTTACTTGCAAATGATACCATACATGTTGATTTGAAGATAAAAGAGTAGAAGCAAGAGTTTCTTGTTTTTTTTTCTTTTTTCTTCTTCTTCTTTTTGAGATAGGGTCTCATTCTGTTGCCCAGGTTGGAGTGCAGTGGCACAATCTCGGCTCACTGCAACCTCTGCCTCCTGGGTTCAAGCCATCCTCCCACCTCAGCCTCCTGAGTAGCTGGGACCACAGGCGTACGCCACCATACCCACCTAATTATTTTTGTATTTTTAGCAGAGATGGGGGTCTCACCATGTTGCCCAGGCTGGTCTTGAACTCCTGAGCTCAAGTGATCTGCCTGCCTCAGCTTCCCAAAGTGCTGGGATTTCAGGCGTGAGCTACCACGCCTGGCTATTGTGTATTTCTAATGTGGCCCCCTCCTAGTTTCCATTCTTCATAACCCAAACTCCTGCAACAGCTCACCAGAGTTAGATTTTTTTCTAGCATGAAACCCTAGTTAAAGTATCATCAGAGACCAAGTGTTCAATAAAAGCACCAGAATGAAAGTAAGAGAAAAGTGGTTAAATTCCCTTTCCCAAATGGGCACAGTGGTGTGCACCTGTAATCCCAGCTACTCAGGAGGTTGAGGTGAGGGCAGAGGACAGCTGGAGCCCAGGATTTCAAGACCAGCTGGGCTTACATAATGAGACTCCACCTCTTTAAGAAAAAAAAGAGGGAGGGCAGGGCGGGAGAAGAGCATTAAGGAAAAGAGCTAATACATGCTGGACTTAATACTTAGGTGATGGGTTGATAGCTGCAGCAAACCACCATGGCACGTTTATCTATGTAACAAACCTGCACATTCTGCACATGTATGCTGGAACTTAAAAAAATAAAATAGTTTTTTTTTAAAATCCCTTTCCTATCATAACAGAAACAAAATTTCTGGATATGAGCTTGTATGTCGCCACTTCTGACAAGCCACGGACTATCCTAGGAAATGAAATGTTTTCCTAGAAATTAATTGGTTATTTAACTTCTATTCATGGGCTTCTTCAAAGAAAAGTCTGCAGGTGATCATTCTTTTGGAAGAGGTGTGCTTTCAAGTGAAAATTAAGTCCTCGATAAGCTTGAGAAAAGGCTTAGTGCACACTGAAGAAACACCTTTTATTCCTCCAAATTATATGTATTCAAATTAATTGGATTCACTACTTTGGAGAATCTGTCATCACAGGAGATGCAGAGTTGGCACATATATGAGAAGGTTTTATGGCAAGATAACTCACAAATAAATAAAAGTAGTGAGAATCATAACCAAATAATTATCAGTAAAATCCAGTTAGCAGGAACATCTTGAAAACACAGAATTAGGCCGGGTGCGGTGGCTCACACCTGTAATCCCAGCACATTGGGAGGCTGAGGTGGGCAGATCACCTGAGGTCAGGAGTTCGAGACCAGCCTGGTCAACATGGAGAAACCCCATCTCTATTAAAAATACAAAAATTAGCTGGGCGTGGTGGCAGGTGCCTGTAATTCCAGCTACTAGGGAGGCTGAGGCAAGAAAATCGCTTGAACCCAGGAGGCAGAGGTTGCACTGAGCCGAGATTGTGCCATTGACCTGAAATCGTGCCACTGCATTCCAGCCTGGGCAACAAGAGCGAAACTCCGTCTCAGAAGAAAAACAAAAAACAAAACAAAAACACAGAATTAGTCTTCCTCAGCATCAAATGGCATAGGAAGCACCTAACAACCATCCCTTAGGGAGACTAACTGCACTGATACATTTGGGAGTCTCACCAAATTCCTGAAGGCCAATGCTTCCACAAAGAGCAAAGTCCAGGGTTATTAACCATGTACAGTTCCACTCCCAACTCTTCTTTTTTTTCCTTTGGAGACAGGGTCTTGGTCTGTCATTTGGGCTTGACAGCAGTGGTGTGATCTTGGCTCACTGCAACCTCAGCCTCTTGGGATCAAGCCATCCTCCACCTCAGCCTCCCAAGTAGCTGGGACTACAGGGACATGCCATCATGCCCAGCTAATTTTTGTATTTTTTGTAGAGAAGGAGTTTCATCGTGTTGCCCAGGCTTGTCTTGAACTCCTGGCCTCAGGTGATCCTCCCACCTTGACCTCCCTAAGTGCTGGGGTTACAGGTGTGAGCCATCACACCCAGCCCTAAATTTCAATAAAGACTTTTAGATAGCTGGTGCATGGGATGAAATAAATTACTCTAATTTCCTAAGTGTGCACAGTGCTGTCCTTGTTCACTGGATTCACTAACCTTTGCAAGGCTTTTTCTTCTGCTATGTCAGCCACACGATTCAAAAGCAAGTAGTAAACTTAGAATCAGACCTTCAAACCCCTTTACAACAAAGGGTTAAACTAAAGTTTTAAAAAATAATGAAGCTGGACAGGCACCTATAATCCCCGCACTTTGGGAGGCCGAGGCAGACAGATCACGTAAGGTCAGGAGTTCGAGACCAGTCTGGCCAACATCTCCACTAAAAATATAAAAATTAGCCAGGTGTGGTGGCACGTGCCTGTAATCCCAGCTACTAGGGAGGCTGAGGCAAGAGAATCGCTTGAACCCAGGAGGCAGAGATTGCAGTGAGCCAAGATCACGCCACTGCACTGTACTCCAACCTGGGTGACAGAGCAAGACTCTGCCTCAAAAAAAAAAAAAAGAAGAAGCTGCAGCTACCAGGAGTTTGTGGGGAGGGAGGGAGGAATGAATAGGTGGAGCAGAGGGATTTTTAAGGCAGTGGAGCTGTTCTGTTTGATACTGTAATGGTAAATGTATGCATTGTACATTTGTCAAAACCCATAGAATGCACAATACCAAGAGCGACCCCTAAGGTAAATTATTGACTTTGGTTAATAACAATGTATCTGGCTGGGCCCAGTGGCTCACACCTGTAATCTCAGCACTTTGGGAAGCCAAGGTGGGAGGACTACTTGAGTTCAGGAATTCGAGACCAGCCTGGGCAACGTGGTGAAACCCTGTCTCTACAAAAAATACAAAAATTATCTGGGCACAGTGGCTCACGCCTATAATCCCAGCACTCTGGGAGGGCAAGGCAGGTGAATCACTTGAGGTTAGGAGCAAGGTAAGACCCGGACTCCACTAAAAATACAAAAATTAGCCAGGTGTGGTGGTGTGCACCTGTAGTCCCAGCTACACAGGAGGCTGAGGCACAAGAATCACTTGAACCCAGGAGGCGGAGGTTGCAGTGAGCCAAGATTGTGCCACTGCACTCCAGCCTGGGTGACAGAGTGAGACTCTGTATAAAAAAAAAGAGAGAGAGACCTGAGCTACACGTGCAACTGACGTTCCATTTACCATCTTTATTTAGTTGGAAGTAAATATTTTGGAGAGTAAGGTTCTTGACTTTAAGTGTTTTTAATATCATCTTAATATTTTAAAATATTTTTAAAATTGGGGGGGAAACCTAACTTGTAATGACATTTACACTTTTTAGGTTGGGTCCAGTGGCTCACACCTGAAATCCTAGCACTTTGGGAGGCTGAGGTGGGCAGATCACTTGAGCCCAGGAGTTAGAGACCAGCCAGCGCAACATGGCAAAAACCCATCTCTAAAATAAAAAAAAAAAAAAAAAATTAGCCAGGCATGGTGGCACACTCCTGTAGTCACAGCTTACTAGGGAGGCTGAGGTAATTGGATCACTTGAGCCTGGGAGGTCAAGGCTGCAGTGAGTCGAGATTGCACCACTGCACTCCAGCCTGGGTGACAGAGTGAGACCCTGTCTCAAAAACAAACAACAACAACAACAACAACACACACACAAAAAAAAAAACACTTTTTTTTTGGACAACTTCTGTGTTACAAACAGTATGGTGCTACTTACTTTAATCAACAATTTCAGAGAATTGTGCATAAGTCTCCAGTCACTACTTTCACAGAATTTAGAGGTGTCATACTTTTCTAGTAATTTTTATGAAGATAATTTTGTTGAAAAGATAATTTCCACATTTGACATACCTGATCGAAATGCCAGCATCACTGTATAAATTAGGAACAGCAAGCAATAATTGATAAAGCTCTGAAGCATGGGGGTGTTCACTTTGTATCTTTCTGCCAAATACTGGCTGGTGATGGCTGTCCCACATATACACAAGGACAACATCTGACCCAGGGCAATTGTTTTCAAAATATTCCTAGAAAATAAGGGAAGAAATCAGAACAGCATGCAAATAAGTTATACCTTACACACACACACACACACACACACACACACACACACACTGCTAAACACAAAGGGAAATGCTAATTATTCCAGGTGGTTCTTCATTTCATGAAATAAAAATTAAAATGTTAGTTACTGAAGGACTACATTTTTATTCTCTATTTTTCTGATCCCCTCCATTCCCACAAAAGCATATTCCCCCATTTCACTGAACATCCATTTAGAGATCATTTTGATTACTCAGCTATAACATATACTTTGTAAAGTGCGCACGTGTGTGTGTGTGTGTATGACTTTTTTTTTTTGAGACAGGGTCTTGTTCTATTGCTCAGGCTAGAGTGCAGTGGTGCAATCACAGCTCACTGCAGCCTTGACCTCCCAGACTCAAGCAATCCTCCCACTTCAGCCTCCAAATAACTGGGACTATAGGCACATGCCACCATGCCCAGCTAATTTTTTTTTTTTTTTTTTTTGTGGAGATGGGGTTTCACTATGTTGCTCAGGCTGGTCTCAAACTCCTAGGCTCAAGGGACCCTCCCACCTCAGCCTCCCAAAGTGCTAGGATTTCAAGGGTGAGCCATCGTGACTGGCCCTTACCCTGCATTTCTAACATGGAAACTAATTAAAGAAACAAGTTGACTGAGACAGAAGAGGCTAAAATAATACGTATTTTCTGGATCAGATAATTGGATAGATAGCAATATGGTTAACCAAGATCCTAAATGCAGAAGGAAAAGGCATATTTGGAAAAGATAATAGCTCCATTTTGGACATGCTGGATTTTGTTTAATTATGAGACAGCCAAGAAGAAATGTCCAGTAGGCAGCTTGGAGCTGGAAGAAAGGATTGGATTGGAGAAATAAACTTGAGAATCATGAGCATAAATGTGGTGGCTGAATGTGGGAACATAATGAGATCACTAAGGCGTATAACTAAAAATTGGGAAGAAAAGAGCAAAAAAGAAATACTGTGGGAAACAGCAATATTTAAAGGGCTGGAGAGGCTGGGTGCGGTGGCTCACACCTGTAACCCCAGTACTTTGGGAGGCCGAGGCAGGCAGATCACTTGAGGTTGAGTTCGAGACCAGCCTGGCCAACATGGTGAAACCGCGTCTCTACTAAAACTACAAACATTAGCGGGGTGTGGTGGCAGGCGCCTGTAATCCCAGCTACTCGGGAGGCTGAGGCATGAGAATCACTTGAACACAGGAAGCGGAGGTTGCAGTGAGCCGAGACTGTACCACTGCATTCCAGCCTGGGTGACAGAATGAGACGACAAAAGGAAGAAAGGAAAGAAAGAAAAGAAAAAAAAAGAAAAGAAAAGAGCTGGACGGGAAAGACTCATTAGAGATGGAGATAAGAGGGCATGGCCAGAGAAGTAAAGGGAGAACTAGGAAGGAAGAAACAATCTGGAGGCCTAGAGAAGATGGCGTTTCAAAGAGGAAACTTTTTCTAAGCATTCTTCCTATCCTACTCTCATTCTACCCAAATCCAGTCTCCACACTGCAGCAGGAGTGATGTTCTGAGTGTTAATATGATGAGATCATTTCTCATGTCTAAAACCTTTCGGTGGCTGGTTCCTCTCTGGCCTTAGGTGAAAGCCACACTTTAAAATGGCCTACAGGCAACCCACCCTCTGAATCTCCAGCCTCACCTTGAACTACTCTCACAGCTTATTTCATTTTTAATTTTTACTATTTCTTCTATCTAACACACAACAAAGTATGTATAATGTATAATCAACATGTATCCGTGTATCTATCACCTCAAAAAATAAACAATTTGCCAGGCACGGTGGCTCACGCTTGTAATCCCAGCAACTTTCGGAGGCTGAGGCAGGCGGATCACAAAGTCAGGAGTTCGAGACCAGCCTAACCAACATGGTCAAACCCCATCTCTACTAAAAATACAAAATTAGCCGGGTGTGATGGCATGCACCTGTAGTCCCAGCTACTCAGCAGGCTGAGGCAGGAGAATCGCTTGAACCCGGGAGGCGGAGTTTGCAGTGAGCCGAGATCGTGCCACTGCACTCCAGCCTGAGTGACAGAGCAAGACTCTGTCTCAAAAAAAAAAAAAAAAAAAGAAAGAAAGAAAGAAAGAAAGAAAGAAAGAAAGAAAGAAAGAAAGAAAGAAAGAAAGAAAAAGAAACAATTGTCAGCTGGGCATAGTGGCTCACGCCTGTAATCCCAACACTTTGGGAGGCTGAGGCGGGTGAATTACTTGAGCCCAGGAGTTTGAGACCAGCTCGGCAACATGCCAAAACCCCATCTCTACTAAAAACACAATAATTAGCCAGGCACAGTAGTGCACGCCTGTAATCCCAGCTAGTGGGGAGGCTGAGGCACAAGAATAGCTTGAACCCAAGAGGCAGAGGTTAGAGTGAGCTGAGATCATACCACTACAAAAAAGAAAAAAAGAAAAGAAACATTTGGCAACATCGAGGTATCCCACCTGTGTTCTCTCTAATCTCTTAGCCCTCTTGAGGTAACTAATTAGAACTTAGTATTTATTATTTTCATGCTTTTCTACATATTTTAATATTTATGTAAGTATCCCTAAGCAACAAATAGTATTGTTTCAAAATTTTATACAGGCGGCATCATACTGTATATACTTCTGCAATTGTGGTTTTGATCAACATGGTTTGAGAGGGCCATCCATATTGATACATGAGTTCTTGTTCTTCCTTTTCAGTACTGTATAGTACTCTACCACATGACTACATCATGCTTTATTGATCCATTCCACTGTTGATGAATATTTTGGTTGTATTCCTTTTTCTTTTTTGTTTTCATATGTCTCTTGATGTAATTTTCTAAGAGTTTTTTCTAGTTTTTAGCCAGGTGGTAGAAATGGATTACAGATGGTGAGGCGTGGTGGCTCACGCCTGTAATTCCAGCACTTTGGGAAGCTGAGGAAGGAGGATTGCTTGAGCCCAAGAGTTCAAAACCACCCTGGGCAACAAAGAGAGACCCTGTCTCTATTTTAAAAAAGTGGGGGGGTGGTTATAGATATGCTGAGATTTAATCTCCTCAGTACTCAGGATGACCTGATGGGAGCCATCTAAGGCATCTGGAGAGATTCCAGCCAGTTGCATTCTGCTGGGAGCAGGAAACTCAGAGTGTCCTACAAATATAATGACTTTCTATTTCTATAGTAAAGTTTAAAGGAATCACTTGCTCTGGAGATATATCCAAGAACAGAATTGGACGAGATGGTGTTTGTTCTTAGGGCATGAGCATCTTCAGTTTCGTTTTCCTAGATTGCTCTCCAAAGGGTTATATTACTTCATGTAGCTGAGTCTGGTACTCTCAAAAGTAAGGAATCTCCACTCTCCAAAGGGAAGGTGATGATGTCAAGAACTGGCCAAATCCAAGGACACTGTGTTAGGTTACTGGAGGAAATTTTCACCAAGATGAGCAAAACGTTAAGGATTTCCTCCCCTACAGGTAGCATTCTTTCTAAGCATGCTCTACCAGGCACCAGCTGATGAGCTAAACCAGATCCAGAGTTGCTATCTCCTTCTCTTGTGCACACTTCCTCTTGAAGGAGTCATGGTTTGCATTGATTCGGGTCTGAGGCTGCCCTATCCTAGACAAAGGAAATTCACCACTTAGTCCGGTATAGTGCACCAGGAGTCTCCAGGAATGTGGGGCCAAAGCCAAAGGCTGAAAAAGTTCATTCATTTTGTGTCATTATTCCCAGCCATATGCTTCTCTCAGGAACCATGTGGGGAGAGGTACCTGGCTGAGGAAATGGTTCCGATTTCCCTATATTTCATTGTTCAATTAATACCTATCACAGCTCACAATCTCAATAACATGATCCTGACAACAGCCCTGAGAAAAGTACTATTGCACTCATGTTACAGATGGAGAAGATGACTCAGAGTGGGTCCAGAATTCACCCATTGTCATACTGTCCGTAAAAGGCAGAAGAGATCAGTGCTCCTATTAAAAGACCAGATCACAGGATTCAAATTTGCTTAAAGGTGGCTCACACCTGTAATCCCAGCAATTTAAGAGGCCAAGGCGGATGGATTACCCGAGGTCAGGAGTTTGAGACCAGCTTGGTCAACATGGTGAAACCCAGTCTCTACTAAAAATACAAAATTTAGCTGGGTGTGGTGGTACACGCCTGTAATCCCAGCTTCTCGGAGGCTGAGGGAGGAAAATCGCTTGAACCTGAGAGGCAGAGGTTCCAGTGAGCCGAGATCATACCACTGCACTCCAGCCTGGGCAAAAGAGTGAGAGTTTGCCCAAAAAATAAAAAAAAAAAAATTGGGAGAGAGAGAAAAGAAAGGGAGGGAGGGGAAGGAAGGAAGGAGGGAGGGAGAGAGGGCTCTAAGGAAACTTCCTCTCTTCCCTGGAAGTCTCAGAATTGCAGAACCTTGGCACTAACCCACTTTAATCAAGGAGACTGGGGCCCAGAAGAGAGTAGTGTTTTGCCTAAGATCACACAGGAGCAGTGTTAATGCCCAAATTTCCTGGCCATTAAACATCTGCTATCCCTCCTACAGCACACAGTCTTGGGATAACAGGTGGGTCATCCCTCACAGTTGGTATCTTCCTACGTTCTATATCTCTTTCTCCTTCCTGTCCTTCCCCTCATCCCTCTCTTCCCCTCCTGTATCTCTCCATTATGATTTTATAACAGAGTTTATATTAGAAAACCCCTTCAGGCTGGGCGCAGTGGCTCACGCCTGTAATCCCACCACTTTGCAAGGCTGAGGCGGGCGGATCACTTGAGGTCAGGAGTTCAAGACCAACCTGGCTGACATAGTGAAATCCCGTCTCTACTAAAAATACAAAAATTAGCTGGGCATAGTGGCAGGCGCCTGTAATCCCAGCTACTTGGGAGGCTGAGACAGGAGAATTGCTTGAACCTGGGAGGCAGAGGTTTCAGTGAGCTGAGATGGCGCTACTGCACTCCAGCCTGGGCAACAGAGCAAGACTCTGTCTCAAAACAAAACAAAACACCCTTCTTCAAAGCATCCCTGTACCTCGCCTTGCTGTCAGGAAAGAAGGAACCTGGCCTGATCTCTCTCCTCCCAGTAGTCACACTGCTTCCCTGTACATCATGGGGGAGTTGGATGTCCAAAGTACCAGGCACAGAAACCCTAACCAAGTGGCTGATAACCTAATCAAATTGAGAGCATTTTTCACATCTCATAATGGACTTGAAAGCAATTATAAATCTGAAATAAGTGAGAATAAAAAGTGTGGAAGCATTAAGCCCTCTTCACAAATTGACAGAATTCCTACAGTAAGCTCATATCTGCATTCTAAAATAGCACAATTAAGCAAGCTGTCCTCCAACTATAAAGTAAAACTATCTTCTAAAAAAAGGAGAGTCACAAATTGAGTATGGAGATTTAAAGTTACAGGAATGCACTTCTCTTGGCTCCAAATCATAATGACCTCATCTATAATAGAGGAGTAGGAGAGCAAGAGTGAGAGAGAAAAGCTGGCGGGGAGGGGGTAGGAAATTGAGCAAAGGAAGAAAGAAGACAAGAACACTCAAACTTATAGACACTGAAGGCCTCAAAACAATTTTTGTTACTTATAGCTCCACTTTCATGTTTGTATAAATTTGTACAAGGTCCTGGTTCATGTGAATTCTGAACAGAGGAACCCTCTATACCATAACAAAACCTGTTCCTGTTTAAGCAAAGCTGCCAGAAGAAACATGCATCTGACCTTGGGATATATCCTGTCCCGGTTTTACTAACGGAACCTCCACTAAAATGAACTTCAATGGCAGGATATGATCCAACTCCAAGACAAATTTCCCCAAGGCAGCTTCACACTGGGGGCCAGGCTACCAGAATACACAGCAAACAAGAGTTATGGATCACTGAGGGCAGGAGTGGACAAACAGGTAGAAGATGGGCTGAGTAAGGTCACTTCCAACCACATTACTATTAGAATCTATTTTATAACTTTAAGAATTTAAGGCATGAGGCCAGGCACAGTGGCTTATGCCTGTAATCCCAGCACTTTGGGAGGCCAAGGCAGGCGGATCACTTGAGGTCAGGAGTTCAAGACCAGCCTGGCCAACATGGTGAAACCCCATATATTTTGGAAAAATACAAAAAAAATTAACTGGGTGTGGTGGCACATGCCTGTAATTCCAGCTACTCGAGAGGCTGAAGCGGGAGAATCACTTGAACCCAGGAGGCAGAGGCTGCAGATCACACCACTGCACTCCAGCGTGGGCAACAAAGCGAGACTCCGTCTCAAAAAAAAAATTTAAGGAATGAAAGAAGAAAAGATCATGTGGCACTTTACTTCACTCCTTCTTTCTTCTAGGAAACTTAAAATGTATATCGTAACCTCCCTTCCATTCCAAAATAGATACTTATGTACCTGATTTCCAATGAAAATATATTTTTATTTACATCTTCAGTCAGTAAGCTCCTCAGTCATATATTCACCAAAGTTCAATGGTTGTTAATATGTGCCAAGCACAAGGAATTTAGAATTAAGACTCACCTATTTTCTAGTCCCAGACCCTCTTTCTTCTCCCCAGAACACATCGGGGAGCTCCACTGTGTGCCCCCACAAAATACCACAACCCTCCATCACAGTACCCACCACACACTGTTCTTTCCCCAAAACTCTAAGCTCCAGGAGGAAAGGGACATTATATTCTCCATGATTAATAGTGCCTGGCAAATAGGGTATTTGCTATTGTTGAACAACCTCAGAAGTTTTCTGTGTGAGGAGTCAGACAGACCTCACAACACAAAACCACAATAAAATGAGAAAGGGTTAAAATAAGAGTTGTGCATGCAGCCAAGGAGAAGGAAAGCTCAAGATGTCCTGGAGAAGGTTCACAGAGGAGTCAAAACAATCACACACCTGAAAGGTATTTTAGGAAGATTGAGGAATGCAGGAAAGGCCATAATACAAGTTTGTGCCTAATTTAAACACTAGTTTTACATTATATATATATATGAGACACAATGATGGGATGCATTCATATACACATATATATAATATATATATGAGACACAATGATGAGATGCATTCATTTCTTTAGCTCTTCTTTATTTACTATTTCAAATTAGATAGGCAGTCCTCTACTGATTATATATTTAAAAATCACTGGGCTTTAAAAATAACACTGACAACAAGACCCCAGCCCAAACCAGTTGGATCAGATTCTCAGAGGGTAGATTCCAAGTATCAGCCTATTTTAAGTCTCCCAGATGAGTCTAAGACATGATCAGGACGGCAAACCACTAAATTATTCTTTTCTTTTTATTTGAAAAAAAGGAGTTCCAAGTGACCGATAAGATGCATTATTTGAATGCAAATTATGCATTCCCTTCACTTTATGTCTCAATAAATCTGTGCTGCTAGGTTGCATGTTGTCAGCTAAAGGCAGGATTTCATATTAGTGCTAAGACTCCTATGGAACATAGTTACTTGGGGGAGATTTTAAAATCCATTACATCTGCCACCTGTAAATACCTGGTAAAGAATAATAACTTCCAGTACGTCTATAAAAATCCTATTATGAACCCAAAAAGAAATATACATTTAGGCCAAGTTCTCGCACTCTGCACATAAGCTACCCAGTTTCTATTTCTAAAGCATTTTAAATTATATCGGAAGCATGTTTAGAAATAAATTATAAGTAGTTTTTGGTCAGGCACTGTGACTCACACCTGTAATTCCAGCACTTTGGGAAGCAGAGGTGGGCAGATCACTTGAGGCCAGGAGTTTGACACCAGCCTGGCCAACATGGCAAAACCCCATATCTACTAAAAGTACAAAAATTAGTAAGGTGTGGTGGCGTGCACCTATAGTCCCAGCTACTCAGGAGGCTGAGGCAAGAGAATCACTTGAACCCAGGAAGCGGAGTTTGCAGTGAGCCAAGATCATGCCACTTCATTCTAGCCTGGGCGACATAACAAGACAGTCTCAAAAAAAAAAAAAAAAAGAAAAAAGAAAAGAAATAAATTATAAGTAGCTTTTCTTTACATAGTGAGTAGCAGCCAAGATGAACTGTTTTCTTTCCATCTCCATAGTCCTACGATTCAAAAGTTTAGCCATCAATGTATCATCTAATTCTAGTAAGCATGAGTAGCTTGCAATTGTGAAGAACCTACATTCTGTTAGTCATATTCAAAACTCAAAGTAGCTAAAAAAGTCAAATTTTAAAAAATAGATAGTGTATTGGTGTATATGATCACCTCACAAAGAAGGCAAGTAAAAGAAAGGAAATCAGTGTTTTCTTTTTGCTCACTGGATGATGTCTTACTCGGAATAGGTGCTCAGTAAATGTTTATTAACAAAAAATGCACTATTATGAAGATGGCATCATGTTAAAATGCAAGGCAGACAATACTGTAGACAAGAGGCCCTCAAAAGTGAACTCAATGAATGTTACAGTGGAAAAAATACAAACTCCAGAGTTAGATAAAACTGGGTTCTGGATTTAAATTTGAAACATGAAAGAGAGGAGAAACAGGTACAGGCAAGTGAAAACAGTGGTTCACACCATGTGCTGTTCTGGAAAAGGCTAGTAGAGAGTGCAATTTGGATGTGACCTTCAAGAAAAGATTATTCCTTCTGAACATAGCAGAAAGAATCCTAGTCTTTGAATCCAAAGATCTAACTCTACTCTTTATTAGTGTTAGGTAGTTCTCTTATGTCTTTTTTAAGTGAGTGTAATACCACCTTTATGCGCCTAAGGGTTAATTGATGTAACCTATAAAAGTACCTAGCACATCCACCCACCTGAGGCACTGAGTGCATTTTATTTCCTTCCTTCCTCTGGCTCGCCCTGTCTTTTGGTAACCTCTTGACCATACCTGTCTATTCTATATATGCACCATCCAATAGAGTAGCCTCTACCCATATGCAGCCATTGAGTGTTTGAAACATGGCTCTATATATGCACCATCCAATAGAGTAGCCTCTACCTATATGCAGCCATTGAGTGTTTGAAACATGGCTAATGTGAATGAGGAATTGAATGTTTAATGTAATTTCGTTTCAACTTAAATAAAATAGCCATATATGGAGAATGGCTACCAAATTAGACAGTGAAGCCAGGGATCAGCATTGTGCAATACTGTAGATGTTACCACAACGATGGAAATGTTTGAAAAGTAGTTCTTGAGCACTTCAAATGTGGCTAGTATAAATGAGGAACTGAATTTTTTGTTTTATTCTATTTTAATTCATTTTCATTTAAATAACCACATGTGGCTGGGGGTTATAGTATTGAATAACACAGCCCTAGCCTGGTGCTTCTCAAACTTTCATGTGATATGAATCATCTAAGGCTCTTGTTAAAGTGCAGCTTCTGATTCAGTAGGTTTGGAGAGAGGCCTGAGATTCCGCATTTCTTTCTTTTTTTTTTTTTTTTTCTTTTTTTTTTGAGATGGAGTCTCGATCTGTTGCCCAGGCTGGAGTCCAGTGGCACGATCGCGGCTCACCGCAACCTCCACCTCCTGGGTTCAAGTGATTCTCCTGCCTCAGCCTCTCCAGTAGCTGGGATTACAGGCGCCTGCCACCACACACAGCTTATTTTTGTAGTTTTAGTAGAGACGGGTTTCACCATGTTGGTCAGGCTGGTCTCAAACTCCTGACCTCGTGATCCGCCCACCTCGGCCCCCCAAAGTTGTTGGGATTACAGTCGTGAGCCACCGCGCCCGACCTGAGATTCCGCATTCCTAAGAAGCTCTCAGGAGATACTTATGCTGCTGGTCCACGGACCAGACTTTGAGTGAGCAAGGGTCTACAGCAATGCTTCTGATTCTGAGGTCTCTCAACTTTTAGGAATCCGTGGAAGAAGTGAATGCAATCCATGGGCTGTTCAGGATCTGTTTTTGACACTTCAAAAACTTAACAGTACTTCTGACTGTTGCTGGTAAAAGCGTAAAATAATAAATCTCTATTTCAGCGGGAGAGTTTGGGGGTGCTGATTTGACAATTTCTAGCAATTTTGTCTCAAGGAATCTACCCCAAGGCAACTCTGGCAAAAATACAAAAAGGTGTATTTACAAAGCTATTCATTACAGCACTATTTATACTAGCAAAAGACTAAAGGAAAAAAACAAAATGTCTAACAATGGGAGACTAGCTGAATAAACACACAGGAGTACTACTGTACAGCTATAAAAAGCAAGGCACATATTTATATGTACTGTTATAAAGTGACTGCCAGGTATACCTTTTTTAAAAAGGAAGCAAATGTGGAGAAAAATGGGTATGGAATGCAAATATTTATCTATAATTTGTTAATTTTTTAAAAGGAAAGATAAAACTTTTTTTTTTTTTTTGAGATGCAGTTTTGCTCTTGTTGTCCATGCTGGAGTGCAATAGCTCGATCTGGGCTCACCACAACCTCCGCTTCCCAAGTAGCTGGGATTACAGGCATGTGCCACCACGTCCAACCAATTTTGTATTTTTAGTAGAGATAGGGTTTCTCCATGTTGGTCAGGCTGGTCTCGAACTCCTGACCTCAGGTGATCCATTCTCCTTGGCCTCCCAAAGTGCTGGGATTACAGACATCAGCCACTGCATCCAGCCAAAACAAAACTTTTTAAAAGTTGTGTATAGGGAGGACAGCAGAGGGAGCAAAGTAAAAGGTGTATGTCTGACTATACCTTGTTTTATAGATTTGCCTTTGAGGCCATGTAAGTATGTTACATAACTTATAATTATGTAAAACAAAAATTAAATTTAAAAAAGCCACATCTAAAATAAAATTTAAAATAAACTTGATGTTTTAAAAATTGGTAGCAAAACCTGACAGGAATTATTTCAAGGGACTTTAAAATATACTAATTTGATAGTACACTCCTAATAAAATATACCATAGGATCAAAAAGAACTGTACAATAGCTTAAACTGTTTTGATATGGTGTTGATATTATTCTGGGAGTATTTACAAATACTGTGGAATACAGAAAATAAGAAAATTATATTGATGGAAGCCCCTTTAACCTCTTCTGGTTTTCAGTGCTATGTCCCCCTACAATATGAATATTGTATATACATATTGATATATGAATATCGTATATACATACATATACAATATGAATATTGATGTATTCATTGGGATATATAGAAAAAAGATGAAGATGTAAGATTGAAGAGGTTGAGTTAAAAACCTTATAGTTTTGAACTTTACTGAAAGGTACAATTGACTCATGAGTACTTCGTAGTATGTCATGAGTATTTCATAACATATACATATATATATCCTATCTCTTTCCCCTAAAAAGCTCTGAAACAATGACTAATCCATTAATTATGAACACCCCTAGTGCCTAGATAATGGCAACTAAATACTACCTCCCACTAAAAAGAACTAGGAGCTGGGCGTGGTGGCTCACACCTGTAATACCAGCACTTTGCGAGGCCAAGGTGGGTGGATCACTTGAGGTCAGGTGTTCAAGACTAGCCTGGCCAAAAGGGTGAAACCCCATCTCTACTAAAAATACAAAAATGGCTGGATGTGGTGGCTCACGCCTGTAATCCCAGCACTTCAGGAGGCCGGGGCGGGAGGATCACCTGAGCTCAGGAGTTCGAGACCAGCCTGGCCACCATGGCGAAACCCCATCTCTACTAAAAATACAAAAATCAGCCGGGCATGGTGGCATGCACCTGTAATCCCAGCTACTCGGAAGGCTGAGGCAAGAGAATCACTAGAACCCAGGAGGCAGTGGTTGCAGTGAGCCGAGATCGCAACACTGCACTCCAGCCTGGGCGACAGAGCAAGACTCTGTCTCAAAAAAAAAAAAAAATTAGCTGGGCGTGGTGGAGCACCCATAATCCCAACTATCCAGGAAGCTGAGGGAGGAGAATCACTTGAACCCAGGAAGCACAGGTTGCAGTGAGCCGAGATTGCATCATTGCACTCCAGCCTGGGCGATAGAGTAATACTCTGTCTCAAAATAAATAAATTAATTAATTAAGTAAACAAAAATAAAAAGAACTAGAGCTTTTTGGAGAACGGCTGATTTCAGACCTGGGGCAGGAAATTTACAAAATAAGCCTGAAACATCTTGTCACACCAAATAGCAAGAAAACTAAGGATTGAATCTATGACAAAAATAAATTCTTAGCACTGGGAAGAATAACTGCAATGGACTGAAACACCTCAAATGTTTAAATCCATGAGTTAATAGCAATACTGGCTGGGCACAGTGGCTCAGGCCTGTAATCCCAGCACTCTGGGAGGCTGAGGCAGGTGGATCACGAGGTCAGAAGTTCAAGACCAGCCTGGCCAACATGGTGAAACCACGTCTCTATTAAAAATACAAAAATTAGCTGTGCCAGTGGCGGGAGCCTGTAATCCCAGCTACTCAGGAGGCTGAGGCAGGAGAATCGCTTGAAACCGGAAGGCGGAGGTTGCAGTGAACTGAGATCGCACCACTGCACTCCAGCCTACCTTAAAGACCGAAACTCCATCTCAAAAAAAAAAAAAAAAAATAGCAATACTAAAAATTTTTTTTAACTTGCTGGTCTTCTTTGGAGGGTGCTAGGGAATGAACTTACTATTTTGAAGACTAGTGAATAAAAGAAATGAATTAATGTTTATCCTGCCCTTCTTATACAAATTATACCTCAGGGTAATCAAAGAGTTGATGAAAAGGAGTTTGTCCTTGTGGAAATAGTCTGTATAATGAATTAAGATGGGATGACAAATAAAATATCACTTTAGGAGCCCTAATAAAATAATGGATCTAGACAAAACATCAATAGCTCCTAACAACAAAAAAGAAAGAGACAAGAAAAAATTATATGTCTCCTGCTATGATTTGAATATCTGCCCTTTCTAAAACTCATGCTGAAACTTAATCCCGGCCGGGCGCAGTGACTCATGCCTGTAATCCCAGCACTTTGGGAGGCCGAGGTGGGCAGATCACTTGAGGCCAGAAGTTCGAGACCAGCCTGGCCAACATGGTGAAACCCTGTCTCTACTAAAAATACAAAAAATTAGCCAGGAGTGGTGGTGCACGCCTGTAGTCCCAGCCACTCAGGAGGCTGAGGCAGGAGAATTGCTTGAACCTGGCAGGAGGAGGCTGCAGTGAGCCAAGATCACGCCACTGCACTCCAGCCTGGGCGACAGAGTGAGACTGTCTTGGAGCAGGAGGTCAGTAGGAAAAAAAAAAAAGAAAAAAAAAAAAAGCTCACACCTGTAATCTCAGCACTTTGGAAGGCTGAGGTGGGCCAATCACCTGAGGTCAGGAGTTCGAGACCAGCCTGGTCAACATGGTGAAACCCCATCTCTACTAAAAGTACAAAAATTAGCCAGGCATGGTGGCAGGTGCCTGTGATCCCAGCTACTTGGGAGGCTGAAGCAGGAGAATCATTTGAACACAGGAGGCAGAGGCTGCAGTGAACAGAGATCGTGCCACCGCACTACAGTCTGGGTGACAGAGTGAGACTACATCTCAAAAAAAAAAAAAACTTGTTTGACTCCCAGTGCACCCTTCTCGCCCTGTGATGCCTTCCACCATGCTATGACACAGTATGAGGCCCTCACCAGAAGCCAAACAGATGCAGCTGCTCAATCTTTGGACTTCCCAGCCTTTAGAGCTATATGAAATAAACTTCTTTTCTGTATAAATTACCAGTCTTGCATATTTTTATAGCAACAAAAAACAAATTAAGACACCTCTTGATGGTAGTACATAATACCTATGAAATCTCACAAAAAAAAAAAAAAAAAGACTACAGAGTTTTTAACCTGGGGCACATGGACCAGGTCCATGAAAATATTCTAGGGTCTATGAACTTCAGTAGAAAAAAATATATATATCCTCATTTTCAGTAACATTGAACTAAAATTTAACAATCCCTTCAATTATAAACATAGGCAACAAACTATAGTGGTGCTAGCAAGACCTAAGACTTTGCTGCCAAAAGAATTCACAGATATTTTCACTTCGTATGGCTACTATAGCTAAAATTTCAAATAAAATTTATATTCATCACTACTCCAAAATCATGGTAAACCAGGCATGCTGGCTCACACTTGTAATCCTAGCACGTTGGGAAGGCCAAGGCGGGAGGATCACCTAAGGCCACAAGTTGGAGACCAGCCTGGGCAAAATAGCAAGACCTCATCTCTATAAAAGTTAAAAAAAAAAAATTGTAATTAAAAACTCATTGTGATATTTTGTTACTTAGTAAATTTTAAAGAAAAGAAGCCTCTATATTAACATATATCCCAATTTGCTTTTTAATAATTTGACAACTAAATCTTTGCAATTGGTTTCCATTATAATTTTTAATATTTATGCATTTAAAAACATTATCCTAAGAAGAAAATACTGTTGGCTGGGCACAGTGGCTCACGCCTGTAATCTCAGCACTGTGGGAGGCCGAGGCGGGCAGATCACGAGGTCAAGAGATCGAGAACATCCTGGCCAACATGGTGAAACCCCATCTCTACTAAAAACACAAAAATTAGCTGGGCATGGTGGTGGATGCCTGTAGTCCCAGCTACTCAGGAGGCTGAGGCAGGAGAATGGCGTGAACCTGGGAGGCGGAGCTTGCAGTGAGCCGAGATCACGCCACTGCACTCCAACCTGGGAGACAGAGCAAGACTCAGTCTCAAAAAAAAAAAAAAAAGAAAAGAAAAAAAAAGAGAACAGCCTCTACTTTTATTTGAATGTTCCCATAAAATTTTTTTTAAGCCAACAGAAACCCTACATGTACCCATGCCAAGGCTGTTCAGACAAGCCAAAACATCACATGTATTTGCCTTCAGCTCTAATTATATCAACCAAGTGTGGTAACAATCATTTTCTCTTGCTAATCAGAAGTTCAGGTGTCTGATTAGTTAAAAGAGAGAGAGAAAAAAATAAACTCATTATTACTTAACAAATGAGTATTGGGGAAAGGGTGTCAAAATCTTTCAAAACATAAGATTCCTGGCAAAAAATAATAATAAAAGGGGTTCATAATGGAAGAAAAACCTGAAGATTGCTGATCTAATATAAAATGTCTCACACTGTATTCTACTTACTATGTATATGGCTACCCAGGTAGGTCACAAGCTCCTAAAAGACAGAAACAGTGTCATATTCCTCTTTGTTTATCCAGGATATGAATCAATACGGGCTGGCACAATTGCTGCAAAGGTAAAAAATGCCACCGGAGAAAGCTGACCTTTCTGAAACCTCTGTTAGTTCAACTGGAACAAGTAGGAACAAATGGATTACAAGAAGAAATCAATCTACAGTTTAACTTGGAAATGTGTCAACCCAAATGTGATTATCAGGAAGCATTCAACTTAAAAATAAAAGTGTAAAATAAGTTGCAAAACTCATTGGAATGGGACAGGGTGATAGTATTTGCTCCCATCTCAGCCTACCACATAGCTGGGACTACAGGCACATGCCACTACACCCAGCTAATTTTTAAAATTTTGGTAGAGACAAGGCCTCACTCACTATGTTGCCCAGGCTGGTCTCAAACTCCCGGCCTCAGGCGATCCTCATGCCTAGACCTCCCAAAGCACTGGGATTATAGACGTGCACCACCACACCCAACCAACAAGACAATCTTATCTGGTTGCAAGGCAGATACAAAATTATCTTCGTGAAGTGGGGGGACATGTAATTTCTTTGCCCTTGTTCTAGATACACCAAGCAACATTAATCCTATATTTCCCAGGTAGGTTTTTCTTTTGAGATGGTTGTCTTGTGACCATCTGTCAAAGTTAGCAGTGACAATTCTCATTAAAAACTACCACCTTTCTTTTCAAGTGTAAGTGTAAGTTTGAACAGCAAGAGCTACTTTCTCCAGAGACTGGTCACTACCAAATGAACTGATCATGATGTTCCAGACAAAGAGAACTGGAAAATTCTGGCAAAGAACAGGAATCAAGAGGTTCAGGTGTCAGCCTTCTTATCTACTACTCTAGAAATATGTTCATAAGGTTTTGCCAAAACCACAGTCTCACTATTTAATGAAGCAATAAAGCAAGCTTTTCCAAAAATTACCCTATACATTATAACACCAGTTATAGTTTCTTATGGAGCGGGACATTTCTGAAATTGGCAAAATATTTTTTTTTTCTGCTGATCTTCACCAAATGTTATACTGCATTTCTTAGACTAAAGGATGGGGTGGGTGAGCTAATTTTGCAGTATTCTATAACAATACAACAGAAGTTTGGAGCAGAGCAAGTTTAGTATGGGTCTAGATCCAGCAAGTAACCCACTAGGTTATATCCAGTCACTTTAGTTGTAACTCAGGATATTTCCAATCAAGACAGCTTCTACCTCTGAGCATTCCCAATGTTGTTAGTTCCCGGAACTGGTTTATTCTATTCTGAATCTACGAGAACAAGAAAAGGCCTGGAGCCAAAAGATAGTAGTGGGAGGGTTTAGAAGTCAATGACTTGATGAATTGATTGATGGATCAAATTGCCTGATTGACTAAACCTTAAAAGAACCAGATAATTTGGGTGGGATTGTGGAAATTTTTTGTTATTTTCTTTTTATTCTGTACATACTAGTTTTCAAACAATGAGAAATCTATTTACAGCCAAGTGTGGTGGCTCATGCCTGTAATCCCAGCACTTTGAGAGGCCAAGGTGGGCAGACTGCTGAAGCCCAAGAGTGCAAGACAAGCCTGGGCAACATGATCAAATGCCTTCTCTACAGAAAAAAATGCAAAAATTAGCCGGGTATGATGGCATGCACCTATAGTCCCAGCTATTTAGGAGGCTGAGATGAAAGGATCACCTGACCCCAGGGAGTTCAAGGCTGCAGTGAGCCATGATCATGCCACTGCACTCCAGCCTGGGTGACAGAGTGAGACCCTGTCTCAAAAACAAACAAACAAAATCTACATTCTGTCAGGAAAGTACAGGGACTAGAAGAAAATATAACATTGGAAGGCTTCCCCTCAACTCCTCATGTTTAATCCTTGTGGCTAATTTGGATTTGCAGCTCACATTCCATCTTTTGTTTCTCTCCCAACCTCTTCTGGTCTGTGATCCTCTGTTGACAATTTGAGATTTCCAAACTGCTGACTTAAAGCTCCCTGGACTTGCCAGTGGGGCATCCATCATCATCAAGTATTATTTATTTACTTATTACATTCATGCTAATGGACGCCATCAGAATACCTTGTCTATGTTTTTTATAGTGTCTCACAGTTTACAAAAACTCTTCTATACCCTATCTTATTTTATTTTTGATCCATTTGCCAATGCTGTGTGGTTGCAGATGAAGAAACTGAAGCTAAGAGAGTTGAAATGGCTGGATGCGGTGTCTCACGACTGTAATCCCAGCACTTTGGGAGGCTGAGGTGGGCAGATCACGAGCTCAAGAGATCAAGACCATCCTGGCCAACATGGTGAAGCCCTGTCTCTACTAAAAATACAAAATTAGCCAGGCGTGGTCGCACATGCCTGTAATCCCAGCTACTTGGGAGGCTGAGGCAGGAGAATAGCTTGAACCTGGGAGGCAGAGGTTGCCGTGAACCAAGATCACACCACTGCATTCCAGCCTGGGCATCAGAGTGAGACTCTGTCTCAAAAAAAAAAAAAAAAAAAGGAGAGAGGTGAAATGGGTTGCCTAACTGATGCTGTTCAAAAGTATCAGAATCAGGAGCAAAATACAAACCTACTGGCACTAAGTAGAGTGCTTTTGCTAACCATGTTCCCTCCTACATGACTCTTGTTAAAATTGTTACACCCAGGCGAGTTAGAGAAAACGCCACACTCTGAGACGAATTAAGAGTCTTTTATTTAAGCCAGCAGCCAAAGAGATGGCTAACGCTCAAAATTCTCTCGGCCCCAAGGAAGGGGCTTGATTAACTTTTATACCTTGGTTTAGGAAGGGGAGGGGAAGTTAAATGCAATAATTCTACAGAAGTAAAAACATGCAAGAATCAAAGAAACAAATGGTTACAGAGAGATAAACAATTTAAAAAGACAAATGGTTACAAAAAAGCAACGGAACCAGGTGTGGGGCTCTAAATCTTTCATTAGAGTTAGATATAGATGCTATGCCGGACACGGACTCAAGGCTTTATGTTGTTATCTCTGTGTAAAATCCTGGGAACTTCATACATTGTTTGTTTCAGTACCTTATCAGTTAATTGGGCTCCTTTGAAATGCTGAGGATCTACTTACACAGGTTAACTCCTTGCGGAAGGGGATTGGGTAAGGAGCCCTTAGTGTCTTGTAAATTAAGGGGTCAGTTGGAGTTTGTCCGGCTTTCCCAGCTAGAGAGTCTTATTTACAGGAGAAGCAAGGCTAGGTGATTAAAGAGACAAACAGGGAAAATTTAAAGTAGCGAGTTAGAGTAAAAACAAGGTTAGGCATTACAAAATAAATTCCAAATAGAGGATGCATCCAAACGTTGACGAAAATGAATGAAGCGGCTGGGCGCGGTGGCTCACCCCTGTAATCCCAGCACTTTGGGAGGCTAAGGTGGGTGGATCACTTGAGGTCAGGAGTTCGAGAACAGCCTGGCCAACATGGTGAAACCCCATCTCTACTAAAAATACAAAATTAGCCGGGTGTGGTGGCGCATGTCTGTAAACCCAGCTACTTGGGAGGCTGAGGCAGGAGAATCACTTGAACCCAGGAGGCGGAGGTTGCAGTGAGCCGAGATCGCGCTATTGCACTCCACCCTAGGTGACAAGAGTGAAACTCCATCTCAAAGAAAAATAAAATGAATGAAGCTACAAAAACACAGGCTAGATTTCCACAGCCGTAAAAATACAGGCTAATGCGATTTCTCTCTATAAATGCCCAAACTTTATCTGATCATATATACTCATATCATATATACTCATATCTAAGTATATTTTTCCATACATTTTATAATACATAACATATTGCATGACTACAGATTCAGTTATTATGGAATTATAATTATTATACATTTAAGTTGGAATTCTGTATGCAAAAATATCCTAACACACTTCAATCATATTGTCCACACTACTGAAATATACAAAATATACAACTCCTGTAATACCTGACAACTGTAAACCATCATAATATCATCCCATAGCCAATAAGATAAAAGCTACCAATATCAAGTCCTGTAGAAAATGAGAGAGAGTTACGCAGAAAATCAAACGGGTGCTAGTTAAAGAGGCCAACAATCAATGCCTTAAATCATTAACACGCACACTCACATGCAAAAACAGAAAAGCGTGGAGCAAGAGCAAACAGCCACTTAAGGTATTTGAAGGTAACTACACCTACAGGCTGAACACAGTACACCTGGTAAACTGCAGCCTTGTCTGCGGGAGGTCATCTATCTCAAAACAATCAAATCAGAGGTTATACCTGTGTCTTTTTTCAAGAGAGGACTTTGCAGTAGCACACCACTTCAAGATTTTTACCTAGAGACTGGAATGTGTGCGAATTTCCCTTCCCTGCTTAGTGGAAATAGTCCGAACCTGGAAGGCAGCTTCAATAGCCCACAGTGACTTTTTTTTTTTCCTTTTTTTGAGACAGGGTCAGGTTTCTGTCGCCCAAACTGGAGCGCAGTGGCATAATCAGGGTTCATTGCAGCCTCCTGGGCTCAAGTGATTTTCCCACCTCAGCCCCCAAGTAACTGGGACTACAGGTGTACACCACCATGCCCAGCTAATTTTTTTATTTTTAGTAGAGACAGGGTTTCACCATGTTCCCCACACTGGTCTGGAACTCCTGGACTCAAGCGATCTGCCTGCCTCAGCCTCCCAAACACAATGACTCTTATTACCATCTCCTTAATGGTACCCAATTCAATTCAGCATGTTTTTTTTAGATCCTAACACTGTGTCAAGCTATGGGAGCAGAGAAACGGAGCCCCTGTCCTCATGGAATTCACAATACAGCAGTGAAGAAGAATAGTAAAGCAACAATTCCAAATGTGGTGAGGGTGAACAAAGAGATGTACAAGGTAGGATGAGATCTAACCAAATCTGGGATTCATGGAAAGCCTTATTCATAAGGTCTTGACTTGAAGAATAAAGACAAGTTGTCTGGGTCAAGAGAAGGGCTATAGGAATTGTCATCCCAGCAAAGCGGACAGCATTGTAAATTCTCCAGCATGAATGGAGCCTGAACATGCAGCTCATCCAAAGGAATCAGTATTTTTCTAATCTGTGGTATAACCTAAACAGTCAGTAGCAATTATTGGTTTATTATTTCAAACACTGAGTATGTGTAAAAGATTGTGGGTGAAAGTTGAGTAAAGGTTTCCTTGACATTTTATGAATTATCACTTACATTTTTTCTTTTTCTTTTTTGTTTCCCTGCTGTTCATGAGCTCTAGAAAGCTGTAGAACTATTGCTTACATTTTCACCAACATCTAGGTGTTCTTATTTCTTTGTGCTCTAAAGCTTTTTTTTTGTCTGGTGGGGGGCATCATTTCTGGGTTCTACCACTAAATGTAGGTGGAAGAATACTGGTCCTCCAAAAGTGTCCACACTCTCTCCCTCACCCCTGAACCTGTGAATAGGTTACCTTACAAGGCAAAAGGGACTTCTGTAGATGTGGATTAACCAGGTAGCCCCAATCTAATCACATGAGACTTTAAAAGCAAAAACGTTTCCCAGCTGTAGTCAGAAGGAGCTATAACTACAGAAGGCTCAGAGAGATGCAACGTTGCTAGCTTTGAAGTCACAAGCCAAGGAAGGCAGGCAGCTTCCAGAAGGTGGAAAAGGCCAGGAATTGATTCTCCCCTAAAACCTCCAGAAAAGAATGCAACACCTGCAACACTTTGATTTTTAGCCCGGGAAGATGAATGTTGGCTTTCTGACCTACAGAACAGTAAGATATTAAATTGGTGTTGTTTTAAACCACTAAATTGGTGGTAATTTGTTATGACAGCAATAGAAAACGAATATACAAAGTCAACAATGCATGTGATACTTTAAAACAACACTTGAATCATAATGTTATAACTATTTACATTCATCTCAGCGAATTTCCTTAGTAACAAAATAATCACATCAAATAAAGAGTCTATTAAAAAACTGCAGGCAAAGCTGATTGGGAGCTACCTTGGATTGAAACACTTTCATCGTTTGCCAGGGAGAAAATAAAACCAGGCCATCAAGCCAGAAACTGCTGAACTAGTTCCATGGAAACCAACAAAAATTGAAAGTATAAATCCAGTGATTTATTCTTATGCATTATGTCCCATGTGACTTAGTGAAGAACACAGGGGACACATTAGTACTGTCCCATCCCCTACATAATAAAAGACAGGGAAGTGCTAGCCACTGATGAGCTCTTACGTATATTAACATACTGCATGTTCATACAACACTATATATGTATCATTCTGGCAGCATTTAAGTCTTTTAACCAAGTTTATGTGCCAAATAAATAGCAGCACTAGATTAAAATCCAAATATGATTCCAAAGCCTGTGTTCTTTACATTCTGCCATGCTAAAAAACTGAAATAAGGCCAGGAGCAGCAGCTCATGCCTGTAATCCCAGCACTTTGGGAGGCCGAGGCAGGTGGATCACTTGAGGTCAGGAGTTCGAAACCAGCCTGGCCAACATGGAGAAGCCCTGTCTCTACTAAAAAAAAAAAAAAAAAAATTAGCTGGGCATGGTTGCACAGACCTGTAATCCCAGCTACTCGGGAGGCTGACGCAGGAGAATCAGTTGAACCTGGGAGGCAGAGGTAGCAGTGAGCTGGGATGGCACCACTGCACTCCAGCCTGGGCGACAGAGTGAGAGTTTGTCTCAAAATAAAAATAAAAAAGTAAATTAATTGTGGGAATAAAGATAGTAAGAAAGGCACCCACTACCAGAATGATGACCTCTAAATTCCTATGACATTTTGGTTGCAATCCTCTTTTTCCATTTTCTATATTCTGCCTGTAGTGTTTTATATGTTCCACTTGCTTTACTAGATTCTAAATGCAGACATCGTGTTATGGATTTTTTGCCACCCACCCACCCCCACCTTATACACACATAGTCTCACAATATCTAGTAATAGTAATGGTAATAATAATTATGACATCTAACACTTATTGAGTGTATACTATATACCAAGCGCTAATTGATTTAATCCTCCCAACAATCCTGAGATGGGTACCATTATTACTGCTATTTACAGATAACAGAAATGGAGGCACAGAGATGTTAAGTAACTTGCCCAATATCACACAACTAGCAAATGGCAGAACCTGGAGACCAACCCAAGCAGTGTGGCTCCAGAGGCTGAGCTCATAACCACTGTTACACTGCAAGTACACTACTTGCATTTATTAGGGATTCATAAAACCTTTCTTACCTCAACAAAAGTGAAGTGGCTTAATAAAAATAAATGTGTGTGGGTGCCATACTAAGTACTTATATATGATGTTTCTTTTCGTTTCTTTTCTTTTGAGATGGAGTTTTGCTTTTGTCACCCAGGCTGGAGTACAACGGCGTACTCTCGGCTCACTGCAACCTCCACCTCCTGGGTTCAAGCGATTCTCCTGACTCAGCCTCCCGAGTAGCTGGGATTACAGGCGCCCGCCACCACGCCCAGCTAATTTTTGTATTTTTCGTAGAGATGGGGTTTCACCATGTTGGCCAGGCTGGTCTTGAACTCCTGACCTCAGGTGATCTGCCCATCTCGGCCTCCCAAAGTGCTGGGATTACAGGCGTGAGCCACTTTGCCCGGCCCTCTTTTTTTTTTTTTTTTTTTTTGAGACAGTCTTGCTCTGTCCCCCAGGCTGGAGTGCAGTGGCGCTATCTCATCTCACTGCAACCTCTGCCTCCTGGGTTCAAGCGATTCTCCTGCCTCAGCCTCCCAAGTAGCTGGGACTACAGGCGTGCACCTCCATGCCTGGCTTATTTTCATATTTTTAGTAGAGATGAGGTTTCGCCATATTGCCCAAGCTGGTCTCGAACTCCTGACCTCAGGTGATCTGCCCATCTCGGCCTCCCAAAGTGCTGGGATTACAGGCATGAGCCACCACACCTGGCCGATAAGTTTCTCTTAAATATCACAAAAACTCTTGTGAGATAGAGATTATTAGTACCATTATACTGTTGAAAAATAGTTGTAACAGTTTCAGCTGTTCAGAAGTAACTTTTCCAAGATCAGAAAATTAGTAAGTCTACATTTTTCCCGTTCCATACACTACTTCCCTGACAACAATAAAATATACCATATGTAATACTGACAATTATGATACCATACAGGGAGATCAATTGGTACAAATTACCCTGGCTCTGGCTGGACGCAGTGACTCACTCCTGTATTCCCAGCACTTTGGGAGGCCAAGATGTGGGGATCACTTGAGGTCAGGAGTTCAAGACCAGCCTGGCCAACATGGTGAAACCCCGTCTCTACTAAAAACATGAAAATTAGCTGGGCGTCATGGCACATGCTTGTAATCCCAGCTACTCAAGAGGCTGAGGTGGGAGGATCACTTGAACCCAGGAGGCAGAGGTTACAGTGAGCAGAGATCACACCACTGCACTCCAGCCTGAACAATGGGGCAAGACACCGTTTCAAAAAAAGAAAAAGAAAACATATTACCCTGCCTCTCTAACAAAGGGTACTGATTAGCCAAACCCATATGGTTATATGTTCTACAATTATTTTAATAAGGGGTGTTCTGATAAAAATAAGGGAAAATATAAAATCCATGTATGATATCCTTCTCTTTGTCATCTGGCTTTCATTGGCTGAAAGGAGAAAGCGTGAAACACATTTTCTTTTTGAGACGGAGTTTCGCTCTTGTAGCCCAGGATGGATTGCAATGGTGCGATCTCGGCTCATCGCAACCTCTGCCTCCTGGGTTCAAGCGATTCTCTTGCCTCAGCCTCCTAAGTAGCTGGGATTACAGGCATGCGCCACCACGCCTGGCTAATTTTGTATTTTTAGTAGATATGGGGTTTCTGCATGTTAGTCAGGCTGGTCTCAAACTCCCCACCTCAGGTGATCCCCCTGCCTTGGCCTCCTAAAGTGCTGGGATTACAGGTGTAAGCCACCGTGCCCAACCTGAAACACATTTTCATATCAGCTATTCTCTTTGGATATGGGTCAGAGGAACTTAAGTCTATTGCCTAGATTAGGGGGAAGGGGGCAAAATAAAGAGGGCAGCATTCAACTGTGGGCAATATATGGAGTATGTGGCCTCTGCCTCCAGGATCCTCCCTCCCCACAACTCTTCTGTGAGAAAAATTCTAAGAGGTGCACAAACATGGACACACTCCAAAAGACACAGAGGAGCTCCAGGAGGGCTGAAAAGGTGGGTGCTGGGGTGGGAGGCAGGTAGGATCAGGAAGCATAGGATTAGGGTTGGTAATAAACGTGCTGCCATTTCACAAGTCTGGATTGCAAGAGAGTACATCCCTGAGACAGGCATACAACCCTCCCTCTGCCCATCCCAGTCTGGCACAGGGACTGAGCACAAACAAACCCTGTTCTCAACAGGCAGCCAAGAAGCCACATAAAATGTTCAATTCTTAACACTGCCTGCCCATTGAGGCAGAACAGAAGGTTCTGAAGGACGATTCTCTTTAACTATTGTAAAAACTAGATTTCCCTCATTGCGGATTATCAAAACAAAAATCGCTTTCAACACTTGAGGGGTTTGTTCATTTTGTGTTTTGTGTGATCTAAATTGTCCAATGCAATCCTCAGATGAAGATAATCAACTGGCATGCAGCTGGAAGAATGAAGCCAACAGCAAACGCAATGCACAAAGGCTTACACAGAATCCTGCTGTGGTTTGGACTCCTGGCTCCTGCTGCTTCTCTGGTCTCTCTGTGGTTTGGCAGCGTAACCCTCCATGATTCTGTAAAGTAATAAATCCTCTTTTTTTTCTTTCCTATGCCAGTGGTGAGCTGGACACCACCAGTACCTCTAACAACTGACCTACTACACTCGTCACACACCAATCAGGCACCTGAAGAAAACAGGAGTCTGTGACTAATCTAGAAAGCTCGTGGAGACCTGGCCCAGTGAGGGAAGCGGAGGCGGCGAGGAGATTTCCTATGAGTCATGTCATCCCTTCTAGTCTTTCAACACCCTACAGGCCCCAAACCAGAAAAACTGTCATACGCCTCCCTTAAACTAGCTTCAACTTCTCCTAATTTAATCCAGACAACTCTGAATAGGCTCAAAAACTTTTCAACTTCCACTACCACACAAGAACGAGGATTATCGGGGAACCTGATGCAAGCCCAAAATTTTGTCAGTCTCAGGTGGGATCTTTAAATCCGTTAAGTTGCAATGTGTATAGAGCAATCTGTTTAACAGGAAAATAATATGGAAAAGGTGGGTATTTCACAGAACAGCAGCACTTCACAGAAGTACACTAAGGCCGGCCGGGTGTGGCAGCTCATGCCTGTAATCCCAGCACTTTGGGAGGCCAAGGCAGGTGGATCACCTGAGGTCAGGGGTTCAAGACCAGCCTGACCAACATGGTGAAACCCTGTCTCTACTAAAAATACAAAAATTAGCCAAGTGTGGTGGTGCAGACCTGTAATCCCAACTCCTCAGGAGGCTGAGGCAGGATAATTGCTTGAATCCAGGAGGCGGAGGCCACAGTGAGCGGAGACTGTGCCACTGCACTCCAGCCTAGACGAAAGAGACTCCAACTCAAAAAAAAAAAAAAAAAAAAGTACACTAAAGCCAATAAACATAGACAGAGACCCAACTTCATTAGGGATCAGGCATATGTAAATTAAGATGTTATTTTACATTCATTTGACCATCAAAAATTTTAAAGCCTGGCCGGGCGCAGTGGCTCACACTTGTAATCCCAGCATTTTGGAAGGATGAGGCAGGTGGATCAGTTGAGGCCAGAAGTTCAAAACCAGCCTAGCCAACATGGCAAAACCCTGTCTCTACTAAAAATACAAAAATTAAGGCCGAGGCGAGCGGATCATGAGGTCAGGAGTTCGAAACCAGTCTGGCCAACATAGTGAAACCCCGTTTCTACTAAAAATACACAAAAGATTAGCCGGGCGTGGTGGTGTGCACCTGTAATCCCAGCTACTCGGGAGGCTGAGGCAGGAGAATTGCGTGAACCCAGGAGGTGGAGGTTGCAGTGAGCTGAGATCGTGCCACTGCACTCCAGCCTAGGTGAAAGAACAAGACTTCGTCTCAAAAAAAAAGAAAAATAAAGAAAAATAAAAAATAAAAATAAAAATACAAAAATTAGCTGGGCGTGGTGGTGTGCCTATAACCCCAGCTACTCAGGAGGCTGAGGCACAAGAATCACTTGAAACTGGGAGGCAGTGAGGCAAGATTGCGCCACTACACTCCAGCCTGGGCGACAGAGTGAGACTCCGTCTCACAAAAAAAAAAAAAAAAAAAAAAAAAAAATTAAAGCTTGACTGGAAGTTGTTTTACAGGATTTCTCATATACAGCTGGTGGAAGTGGAAAAAAAATTTTTAATTTTTTTATTTTTTGAGCCAGAGTCTCACTCTGTTGCCAGGCTGAAGTGCAGTAGCATGATGTCAACTCACTGCAACCTCCGCCTCCTGGGTTCAAGCAGTTCTCATGCCTCAGCCTCCCAAGTAGCTGGGATTACAGGAAATGTGCCACCATACCCCTCTAATTAAAAATAAAATTTTTTAATACCGCCTCACTCTGTCACCCAGGCTGGAATGCAGTGGCGCAATCTCAGCTCACTGCAACCTCCACCTCTTGGGCTCAAGCGATCCTCCCACCTCAGCCTGCCCAGTAGCTGGGACTACAGGTGTGTACCGCCATACCTGGCTAATTTAGGAGTGGAAATTGGTACGACTGCTTTGGAAAACAGTTTGGCATTATTTTATGAAGTCTAACAATCACCTGCCCTATAAACCAGCAATTCTGCTTCTAGATATATGTATATGTGCATGTCTGTGAATGAAAGAAGCCCTTTACACATGATCAACAGGAGATCTGCATAAGACTGTTTCTAGAAGTCTGTATACAATAGCAAAAAACCCGGAAAAAACCCAAATGCCCATCAACAGCATGAATGAATAAAGTGTGGTATATTCACAGGAAAGAATATTACAAAGAGTCAAAGTGAGTGTTTGTATACAGCATCAGCACCTGCAACAATATGAATTAATTTTATCAACGTGATATAAGGGGATATAAGTCTCACCAGATTATAGAGCATGATATCCTTTTTATAAAGTCAAACATGATAATAAAAGCATACTTTTTAGAAATACAGAGGTACAAAGCAATATTAAAATGAGAGCAAAGGAAGAGTGAAAGGAAAATTCCAGATTGTGACTATCTTTGGTCTAGGTACATGTAAATTCTAGCTTTAGGACTGGTGATGCGTTTACGGGAACTTACTATATTAAAAAAGCAATTGAGGCTGGCCAGGCACAGTGGCTGATGCCTGTAATCCCAGCACTTTGGGAGGCCGAAGTGGGCAGATCACCTGAGGTCGGGAGTTCAAGACCAGACTGACCAACATGGAGAAACCCCATCTCTACTAAAACTACAAAATTAGCTGGGCTAATCCCAGCTACTCGGGAGGCGGAGGCAGGAGAATCGCTTGAACCCAAGAGGTGGAGATTACAGTGAGCCAAGATCGCACCATTGCACTCCAGCCTGGGCAACAAAAGCGAAACTTTGTCTCAAAAAAAAAAAAAAATTAATTGAGGCTGAGCAGAGTGGCTCACGCCTATAATCCCAGCACTTTGGGAGGCCAAGGTGGGAGGATCATTTGAGCCAGGTGTTCAAGATCAGCCTGGGCAAAATAGCAAGACCCCATTTCTACAAAAATTTTTTTAAAATTAGGTCTAGAGATGCACCCCTGTAGTCCTAGCTACTCTGGAGGCCAAGGCAGGAGGATCACTTGAGTTCAAGGCTGCAGTGAACTATGATCACACCATGGCACTCTAGCCTGGGTGACAAAGTGAGACTCTGTATCTTAAAAAAAAAAAAAAAAAAAAAAATATATATATATATATATATATATATATATATATATATATGTATATTAATTAAGCCATTCATGAGCCCACAATGAGAGTGTGTCATAGGCCAGTGATTATGATTAATCCATTTCCATGCAACTAGGGTCTAAAAAATAAATAATGCTCCCAGAAGATGCATTCTATTTATCTGACTTTATATACTCTTTGCCATCCCTAGAGATACAAATAATCCAGAACAGGCCTAGGGATAGACTGCCCAAGGTCTGTTTTTTGTTTGTTGCCCTATCGCAAAAGACAGAAAGGTACAGTGAGTAAGAGCACAGGCTCTGGGGGCCAGACTGCCTGAGGGGGAAGCCTGGTTGCATTCCTTACTACTGTGTGACTAACACTGTTAGGCAAAATTACCTCACCTCTCCGTGCTCCAACTTTCACATCTGTGAAATGGCACTAGCCATTATAGTATTATAATACCTGCCGCAGAAAGTTATTATAAGGGCCAGCCACGGTGGCTCCCGCCTATAATCCCAGCACTTTGGGAGGCCGAGGCAGACGGATCACCTAAGGTCAGGAGTTTGAGATCAGCCTGGCCAACATGGTGAAATCTCTCTACTAAAAATACAAAAATTAGCCGGGCCTGGTGGCATGCACCTGTAATCCCAGCTACTCAGGAGGCGGAAGCAGAATCGCTTGAACCCGGGAGGCGGAAGTTGCAGTGAACTGAGATCGCCCCACTGCACTCCAGCCTGGGTGACAGAGTCAGACTCCTTCTCCAATAAATAAATAAATAAATAAATAAATAAATAAATAAATAAATAAATAAAGTTATTGTAAGAATTACACAGGCCGGGCGCGGTGGCTCACGCCTGTAATCCCAGCACTTTGGGAGGCCAAAGCGGGCGGATCACAAGGTCAGGAGATCGAGACCATCCTGGCTAACATGGTGAAACCCCATCTCTACTAAAAATACAAAAAAAATTAGCCAGGCGTGGTGGCGGGCACCTGTAGTCCCAGCTACTCGGGAGGCTAAGGCAGGAGAATGGCGTGAACCCGGGAGGCAGAGCTTGCAGTGAGCCGAGATCACGTCACGGCACTCCAGCCTGGGCAACAGAGCGAGACTCCATCTCAAGAAAAAAAAAAAAAAAAAGAATTACATGAGTTAATTCACCCTGAGATCCCAGAATAGTGTGGTTGCTCAGTGCACAAAGTAAGCCTTACTCAACAAATGTTATTATTATTTTTATTTCTTGCTTCATATCACAGTGAAAAGCTTAGGAAATGCTCTTCCCCCAAGTATATCCTAAACACTTCTGGAGTAGGAATATCCCCACAATTCTCTGGGAAGATCTACTGCACCCATGCAGCACAACACCATCCTCCTTAGTAAGGCTGTGTTAGACTGAATAAACAGAATCTGTTTTTTCCTTAAGTACCCTTACATTTTTAAGAAATGACTAGAAGGTTCACACTTGTAATCCCAGCACTTTGGGAGGCCAAGGCGGGCAGATCATCTGAGCCCAGGAGTTCAAGACCAGCCCGGGCAACATGGCAAAACCCAGCTACTCGGGAGGCTGAGGCTGGAGGATTGCTTGAGCCTAGGAAGTCGAAGCTGCAGGGAGCCATGTTTGTGCCACTGCACTCCAGCCTGGGTGACAAAGTGAGACCCCATCTCCAAAAAACAAGAAAGGAAAAAGAAATGACTAGAAAGAAGTTTTGGATTTACCTGTGGTTTTTCATGGAATCTCTCTGTGTATCATTAACATAAATAACCAAGTTTTTGTGACACATCACTTGTTGGATGGCTTTCAATAACATAGGCTCTGGCTGGGCACGGTGGCTCATGCCTGTAATCCCAGCACTTTGGGAGGCTAAGACAGGCGGATCACTTCAGGTCAGGAGTTCAAGACCAGCCTGGCCAACATGGTAAAACCCCATCTCTACTAAAAATACAAAAATTAGCTGGGCGTGGTGGTGTGCACCTGTAATCCACGCTACTCAGGAGGCTGAGCCAGGAGAATTGCTTGAACCCAGGAGGCAGAGGTTGCAGTGTGCCAAGATCGCGCCGTTGCACTCCAGCCTGGGCGACAGACTGAGATTCTGTCATAAATAAATAAATAAATAAATAAATAAATAAATAAATAACATAGGCTCCTGTCATTATCCAAAATAAACAGCTCAAAATCTCTGGATTCAAAGCTTTTATAATTTATAAAAATGAAAACCATTCAAATCTTTATTTGGGGTCTATTTATACTTTGACTACAAGCAATTCTAAGAAACTGAGTTATCTGGTTTCTACGGTGTTAATACAGTAGAAATCATAATTTAGAAAGAACACAGGGTTCCAGAGATATGATTGGTAACAGAAAAAAAAAAATCACATGTGACAACCTGGGAGAAAAAAGGCTGAAAAAAATCAGACAAATAATCCATATCAACGCCCATGAACGTATTGTTGCCTCTCAGCAGAAAAAAGTGAATGATGATGATCCTGAATCATGAAGAAAACATGATACCACGATAAAGGTACTGTTTATCAAAAGAGTAGTCTCATATATTTGTCTTAAATATGCCATGAAAATTTTTAAGTAATTTTTTTTTTCTTGGCAAAATCTCCAGGATTAGTTGCAAATGGACCCAATAAGTAACTAAATGGCTTGGCCTACCCTAAGACAGTTGTTCAGTACAAACCAATTAATCCTCAAAGAATTGCTGCCAAAATTATAAATAAATGAATTAGCAGAAGTTAACAATCCATTACATAAATAGTGTCATTCAACTAGATTTAAAAGTGAATTTTAGGCTGGGAGCAGTGGCTCAAGCATGTAATCCCAGCACTTTGGGAGGCCAAGGTGGGTGGATCACTTGAGGTCAGGAGTTCAAGGCCAGCCTGGCCAACACGGTCAAACCCTCTCTCTACAAAAATACAAAACTTAGCTGGCATGGTGGCGGGCGCCTGTAATCCCAGCTACTCAGGAGGCTGAGGCAGGAGAATCGCTTGAACCCGGGAGGCGGAGGCTGCAGTGAGCCAAGATCATGCCACTGCACTCCAGCCTGAGTGTCAGAGCGAGACTCTGTCTCAAAAAAAAAAAAAAAGTGAATTTTAATGCTTAAAAGAATGAGTTTTAAATTATCTGGAAAATTAACCTGTGTGAAATGATTTGTTCTCTCTGATGATCTTCAGTAAATAATGGCATAGGTTTTCATAGCTTTTCTTTTACAGATAGGGACTTACCCTGTCGCCCAGGCTAGAGTGCAGTGGAGTGCCTTTGAAATACTGGACTCACAATCTCAAGTGATCCTCCTGCTTCAGCCTTCCAAGTAGCTAGGATTATAGGCCTACACCACTGCACATGGCTAATATTCTATTTTTTATTTTTTTGTAGAGACAGGAGTCTCGCTTTGTTGCCCAGGCTGGTCTTGAACTCCTGAGCTCCAGAAAGTTTCCTGTCTTGGTGTTCCAAAGTGCTGGGATCACACCCATGAGCAACCTCACGCAGTCTACTACAGCTTTTTCATAAAGGTACCAAAACTTGCCTACACAAGCAATTTCCTGGGGAGGCAATTCACTTCTTCCACAAATGTGGCTACCTTCAGAAATAATCTCTGAAAGCTATTCAGAAATAGCCTAATTTTTATTTCAGTCTTAACTCATACATATCATGGGAGGAATTGCTACCATTTCAGATCTGTGCCAGGCATAAAGTACTGCAGGAACTTCAAAGATGAATTATCATCTCTGTCCTTAAAAAGGCACTCTCCCAGGCAAGTGATAATTATACTTAACATTACAATATGAGAAGTGCAATGATGAGGTAGGAACAGGTACACAGAGGGGCACCCAACTGAAAATGTGTGTCAGGAGGGACAGAGGAAACAGGGAAGAAGATTTCCTAAGTTGGTGCTAACAGTGAAAGCAATCCCAGGAGGGAACTACAGGTGCAAAGGCGCAGGTATGGTGTGCACAAGGGAATCACCAGCAGATCAGTGTCTCTGAACCAAGTGCCAAGTGAGAGAGGGACATTCTGGGAGGTGAGCCTGGAGAGGGAAGTGGGCCAGTGATGGAAAGCCTCCTACCTCATGTCGAGAAGACTGAACTCTCACAAAATGACAAGTGCCAAATGATTCCATTTATATGAAGTATCTAGAGAAGTCAAATTCATAGAGACAGAAAGTAGAACTGTAGTGGCCAGGGGCTGGGGAGGGGGAGTGCAGAGTTATTATTTGAAATGTGCAGAGTTTGGGATAATAAACAAGTTCTGGAAACAGATATGGTGATGATTGCACAGTATTACAAATGTACTTAATCCCCCTGAATGATACACATAAAAATGGCTAAAATGGTACATTTTATGTTATGCATATTTTACCACAATAAAAAAGAAAACTTAAAAAAAGTATTATGTTCAGGTAAAGAGGAAGAAGAAAAAGGAGAGAAGGGTGAGGAGAGGAGGAGGGGCAGCAGTTTGAGCTCTAACCAATAAACAGTGGCTTTCAGATTTGTTTTAGCTGCAGAGCCCTTTCTTCACACAGCATTGGTATAGACTTAATATTTGTCTCCTCAAAATTCATATGTTGAAATTTAATCCCTAATGTGATACTATTTGGAGGTGGGGCCTCTGGGAGATGATAAGGTCATGAAGGTGGAGTCTACATAAATGGGATTAGTGTCCTTACAAAAGGGACTCCAGGGAGCTCCCAAATCCTTTTTACCATGTGAGGACACAGAAAGAAAACAGCTGACTATGAACCAAAGGACACCAAACCTGCAGGCACCTTGGTCTCAGACCTCCCAGCCTCCAGACTGTGAGAAATAAGTGTCTTTGGCTTGGAAGTTATCCAGTGTACAGTATTATTGTTATTAATCTGGCATAAAAGCCCAACTATAAAACGATCAATAGCAGCACACCCTGGTGGGTGCCAGAGGCCAGCCCAGAAGCCCACCAGCTCCTATCCCCTACTTGTTTCCCATGGTGAACCCTAAGGAACCTCCAGGGAACCCCAAGAGCTCCTCCGGTTTGCAAACCACTAGGGTAGGTGATGGGAAGAATCCCAAAAGGTTTTCAGCCTGAGCATAATGCAGTGAGATTTCTTTCTTTTTTTCTTTTAATTTTTTTGAGTAAACTAGTCATATCACATGAGATTTTTGAAAGAGTAAAGCAGCTCTGGATTTTAGAAACAAATGAAACTATCTCAGCTCTGCCTCTCACCAGCCAAGTGTCCTGGGTAAGTTACTTACCTGCTCTGTCTGTCAAAACAGAATAAAAAACCTATTTTTGTAGGATTGTCATGAGGATTGATGAAATATAAGTAGGGTGCCTGATACACAGCGAATTCTCATTTGATGACAGCCATTAATACTCTTTCGTTTTATTAGGCATCACTCTGACTTCTGTGTAGCGAGATGATTGGGGTCGGGGATAGATGGAGGCATGGATGGAAGCTATTACAACAGTCTAAGTGAGAGATGATAAAGGCTTGAACTGAATTAGTCACAATAGGGATTGAGGCCAGGTGCGGTGGCTCACGTCTGTAATCCCAGCACTTTGGGAGGCCGAGGTGGGCAGATCACCTGAAGTCAGGAGTTTGAGACCAGCCTGGCCAACATGGTGAAACCCCGTCTCTACTAAAAATGCAAAAACTAGCCAGGCTTGGTGGCAGGCACCTGTAATTCCAGCTACTCAGGAGGCTGAGGCAGGAGAATCGCTTGAACCTGGGAGGCGAAAGTTGCAGTGAGCTGAGATTGCGCCACTGCACTCCAGCCTGGGCGACAGAGCAAGACTCCGTTTTGGGAAAAAAAAAAAAAAAAAAAGACAATAGGGATTGAAGGGGGAGGTGGACTCTAGGACTATTCTGGAAGCGCTGTCAAGACAGGGAATAAGCACTGACTTCCTTCAAGTCAACCAGAAGAAAGAAGCAAACAAAAGAAGGAATAACCCAAAGGTTGTCTAGAACTGGTCTAGGGGAAGAAGGAGACTACAGCCTGGGGCAGAAAGAGGAACCAGAGGCCCAGTGGAGGGCATGCTGGAGAAAAGCTTTTCAATTCCAGTCTTACCTCTCCCTACAGTACATGTCTGCCCCTTTAACAACTCCCTCCAGTGTTGAGAAATTAATAAAACAGGTTCAGGCTGTCCAGCCAGCAATCATTCCTCACCTACCCTCTCCAAGCTCCTTGGGCTAATGGGCTGTAACCTAGAGAGACTGCCTCCTCCTTCTTTCAGAGCAGCTGATAGGAATAGCTTAATGGACAGTCACTGAACAACAGAAATCAAGGGTGATTCTGTAGTGCCCAAGATTGCTCCATCCTGGGGTGCATCCCCTCCCCTCTACCTAGAGGGACTCAGACCCAAGCCTGGCTATCATCTCGTTCTTCAGCACATAGGGGACATGTATGAGAGTGGTCATCACAGTGATGTTTGTGGAGGCTGGGAGTTGGAAGCTGTCTGGTTGTCTAACACTGGTGGATGGACCACGGAACCACAGAATACTCTGTAGCAGGTAAAAACAATAGACTAAATCAGTGGTTCTCAATTAGGGATGATTTTTGTCCCCGAGAAGACATTTGGCAATGTCTGGAGACACTTTTGAATATCACAACTGGGAGTGGGGGTGAGGGTGCTATACTGGCATTTATTGGGTGGGGCCAGGTATCTACATCTTACAGAACAGCCCCAACAAATAGTCAACTCAAGGCCGGGCACGGTGGCTCACTTCTATAAGCCCAGCACATTGGGAGGCCGAGGCAGGTGGATCACTTGAGGCCAGGAGTTCGAGACCAGCCTGGCCAACATGGTGAAATCCCATCTCTACTAAAGATACAAAAATTAGCCGAACGTGGTGGCAGGTGCCTGTAATCCCAGCTACTCGGGAGGCTGAGGCAAGAGATTCGTTTGAACCAAGAGGGGGAGGCTGCAGTGACCCAAAATCATGCCACTGCACTCCAGCCTGGAATGAGACTCCGTCTCCAAAAAAAAAAAAAAGAATTAGTCAACTCAAAATGTCAAGAAGGCTGAGGTTGATTGGGCACAGTGTCTCACACCTGTAATCCCAGCACTTTGGGAGGTTGAGATGGGTGGATCACCTGAGGTTGGGAATTCGCGACTAGCCTGGCCAACATGGTGAAACCCTGTCTTTAGCTGGGCGCGGTGGCTCACGCCTGTAATCCCAGCACTTTGGGAGGCTAAGGTGGGCGGATCACAAGGTCAGGAGTTCGAGACCAGCCTGGCCAATATGGTGAAACCCCATCTCTACTATAAATACAAAAATTAGCCGGGAGTGGTGGCACGTGCCTGTAGTCCCAGCTACTCAGGAGGCTGAAGCAGGAGAATCTCTTGAACCCGGGAGGCGGAGGTTGCAGTGAGCTGAGATCGCACCACTGTACTCTAGCCGGGGCAACAGAGTGAGATGCTGTCTCAAAAAAAAAAAAAGAAAGAAAGAAACCCTGTCTTTACTAAAAATACAAAAATTAGCCAGGCATGGTGGCAGGCGCCTATAATCCCAGCTACTTGGGAGGCTGAGGCTAGAGAATGGCTTGAACCCCGGAGACGGAGGTTGCAGTGACTGGAGATTGCGCCATTCCACTCCAGCCTGGGTGACAAGAGAGAAACTCCGTCTCAAAAAAAATAAAAATAAAAATAAATTAAAAAAAAAAAAGGCTGAGGTTGAGAAACACACTAGATGAAAAAAACAACATGACTGGGTCACAAACATATAATGCAGAGTGGAAATTTTTTCTAAAAAAAAGGGATGTAATCCTTTATACAATGCCTATTGGAATTAAGGATTCATTCTCAGCCATGCATCCCATATTTTTTGTGAATCTATTGCAAGGTCAGTAATGTAACAATCAGAATATACAATGGCCATAACTAGATATGATTCCTGACTCCTGGAGTCTAGTAGAATGGGCAGATAGTAAATAATTTCATAGTAAAAAGGGGGAAGGGAGAAGAATTTATGGAGACTCGTAGAATCCAGAGTTCCCCAATTCCCCAGGGAACTGCACAAGCCACAAAAGATCCCTAACTTTACATCTTTGTTTAAATAACACTATAAACAATACCCTTCAGCAGGGATACATACCAGCTTGGGATTTATGCTGCATACACAGTGAGAGCTCAATAGATGTCTGTTGATTGGATAAAGTCTGCACAGTTAAGCACAACTAAATGACTCCTTCAAAAATGTCTAGGACTTTACCCTGTGGAAGGCGGAAACCAAAATGAAAGGAGAAAGCACAGGTGTATCCCAGACCTGTTGCTAGACAATAACAAGGAGTGTGGGTGTTGGCCAGGCGTGGTGGCTCAGGCCTGTAATCCCAGCACTTTGGGAGGCCAAGGGAGGTGGATCACTTGAGGCCAGGAGTTCAAGACCAGCTCAGCCAACATGGTGAAACCTCATCTCTGCTAAAAACACAATATTGGCTGGGCACAGTGGCTCACGCCTGTAATCCCAACACTTTGGGAGGCCGAGGCAGGCGAATCACGAGGTGAGGAGTTTGAGATCAGCCTGGCCAACATGGTGAAACCCCGTCTCTACTAAAAATACAAAAAATTAGCTGGGTGTGGTGACAGGCACCTGTAGTCCCAGCTACTCGGGAGGCTGAGGCAGGAGAATCACTTGAACCTGGGAGGCAGAGGTTGCAGTCAGCTGAGATTGTGCTACTGCATTCCAGCTGGAGCAACAGTGCGAGACTCCACCTCAAAAAAAAAAAAAAAATACAAAATACAAAATTAAACTGGCTGGGCGCAGTGGCTCATGCCTGTAATCCCAGCACTTTGGAGGGGGCCGAGATGAGCAGGTCACCTGAGGTCAGGAGTTCAAGACCAGCCTAGCCAACATGGCAAAACCCTGTCTCTACAAAAAATACAAAAATTAGCCAGGCATGGTGGCATGCGCCTGTAATCCCAGCTACTACTAGGGAGGCTGAGGCAGGAGAATCACTTGAACCCAGGAGGCGGAGGCTAC
Source organism: Homo sapiens (assembly GCF_000001405.40). Lineage (NCBI taxonomy): Eukaryota > Metazoa > Chordata > Mammalia > Primates > Hominidae > Homo > Homo sapiens. The sequence goes on from NC_000011.10 coordinate 107,852,816, forward strand.
AGTGAGCTGAGATTGCACCACTGCACTCCAGCCTGGGCAACAGAACAAGACTCCATCTCAAAAAAAAAAAAAAAAAAATTTAGCCAGGCGTGGTGGCCCATGCTGATAATCCCAGCTACTCAGGAGGCTGAGACAGGAGACTCGCTTGAACTCAGGAGATCATGACACTGCACTCCAGCCTAGGGCTCCATCTCAAAAAAACAAAGTAATGTGGGTGTAGACTGACCACCTATTATCCTTCCCTCCTCCAGCCCATGCCCCCTTCACACCAAGCTACTTGAAGTTCCTTAAGCAAAACACTTTCTGGCACTTTCAAGCCTAGACTACCCTTCCTCACCTAGGCCACCTGGAAAACTCATTCAGGCTTCATAATCACGATCACCTTCCCTCTCAAGCTCCCTAACCCTATCTCACCCTGGTAGACTTGGTCTCTGCCCTTTTTTGTGCCATTGCTGAACCTTGCACTTATCTTTATAGCACTTATCATAACTTTTTATCATAATTTGATGATGAGCTTTCACTAGAGCAGGAACTTAGTCCTATTCGTTATGGCCAAAGAGACAAGTCTGAAGCCTAGAACATTACAGATGTCCAAGGCTTGGTGAATGAAAGAATCAATGAGGCCGGGCGCGGTGGCTCACGCCTGTAATCCCAGCACTTTGGGAGGCAGAGGCGGGAGGATCATGAGGTCAGGAGATCGAGACCATCCTGGCTAACACAGTGAAACCCCGCCTCTACTAAAAATACAAAAAAAATTAGCCGGGCGTGGTGGTGGGCGCCTGTAGTCCCAGCTACTCGGGAGGCTGAGGCAGGAGAATGGCGTGAACCCGGGAGGCGGAGCTTGCAGTGAGCCGAGATCGCGCCACTGCACTCCAGCCTGGGCGACAGAGCGAGACTCCGTCTCAAAAAAAAAAAAAAAAAAAAAAGAAAGAATCAATGAATAAACCATGTCCAGCACTCTGCTACAAAAGGAACATGATAAAACTCATGCCCTTGAAAAGCTTATTTATCTATTTGATGGGAAAAAGATAAATATATAAAATAATAATTAAAGGTTTTTGCTAGAGATATAAAGTTGATGGTTGTTACAAGGAATACGCGTTTTTAAAATATATGAATAGGCCTGGTGCAGTGACTCATGCCTGTGATCCCAAATTTTAGGAGGCCAAGATGGGAGGATTGCTTGAGCCCAGGAGTTCAAGATCAGCCTGAGTGACAAAGCAAGATTTTGTCCCTACAAAAACTAAAATTAAAAATTAAAAACATACATATGAATAAATTAGGATCTATGTGTCAGAATGTAAACTGTCTGACAGTATACAATTAAATAATAATACCAGGTGCAGTGGGCCACTCTTGTAATCCCAACATTTTGGAAAGCCAAGGCAGGTGGATCACTTGAGCCAAAGAGTTTGAGACCAGCCTGGGCAACATGGTGAAACCCTGTCTCTACGGAAAAAAAAAAAAAACTAGTAGTGCGTGGCAGTGCATGCCATAGTCCCAGCCACTCAGGAGGCTGAGGTGGGAGGATCACTTGAGCCACGGAGGTCGAGGCTGCAGTAAGCCATGATCAGCCACTGCACTCCAGCCTGGCCAACAGAGTGAGAGCCTGTCTCAAAAAATGATGATAATAATAATAATAAACAATTAAATAAGAAGTATTCTCAGATACTCCTGGAAGTCTATGGTCTTCTATCACAATATTTTTCACTTGAGTTGACAGTAATAAATCACAAAAGCCAAAATTACACACTCCACTAAGGAATATATGGTTCTCATTATCATGAATGTCTGGCACATGGTAAGTGTTCAATAAACTTTTATTGAATGAGTGATCTGATATTCCTAATCATAGAGAAAAGTTGTCTGTACCCTATGGGGGCAGGTATATTAAGAGCTGGGGTCACTTAGAACATATCCTCCTCATAATGAAAACATAACAAGCTCTATGCCCCAATCTTCTCCCTGTATTTAGTACCCAGTTGCCCAAAAAGCCTCTTCTTGCCCCTTTTTGGTAAAAGGAATAGAAATGAGCTATGTGGTTATAAATCTCTCTCTGTATCTTGCCCATATGGTGATAACACATCATATCCATTCACCAACCTCTTTCTACACTCTCCCACCCTTGGTTCCCTGGCCACAGGTGGGGATTCACAAAGCTACTCAAACTTGGGACATGAGTTTTGACAACAAAGCTTAAAATATTGAGTATTAGGAGTACTGGATATCTGGTAAACCACTCTTTTCTGATTGCTGGGTCTGATAAAGAGAAACTGCAATCCAAAATCCAAGTGCTTGGATGGCTGCCAGAGGTAGGAATGGAAACTTTAATTAACAAAAGAGCCCAGCCAACCAAACAAGAAGCTCAGCCCAAGACCCTTGGAATAAAGACCAATAAAGGGAAGAGTTCAGGGAGGGAGGCAGAATGGAAAGGAAGACTTGTGAACCTTTGTCATCCCTCAGTCATTCACTCATTCATTCATTCATGTGCTAAGGGTTGTGGTAGATATAAAAAAGAAAAAGACACCATTTTTGCTGTTAAAGAACTTCGTCCATGGCCAGGCGTGTGGCTCACACCTGTAATCCCAGCACTTTGGGAGGCCGAGGCGGGCGGATCACCTGAGGTTGGGAGTTCGAGAACAGCCTGACCAACATGGAGAAGCCCCATCTCTACAAAAAATACAAAATTAGCCAGGTGTGGTGGTGCATGCCTGTAATCCCAGCTACTTGGCAGGCTGAGGTAGAAGAAGAGCTTGAACCCGGGAGGCGGAGGTTGCGGTGAGCCGAGATCGCGCCATTGAACTCCAGCCTGGGCAACAACAGTGAAACTCTGTCTAAAAAAAAAAAATGCCCATAACTGCTATTCCACAAGAAAGGAAAAAGCCCTCAAAGAGATACATAAAAAGGACATTCATAGACAAAAGAAATCTCATATTTAGGAGGCTACTAGACTGATTATAAAACATACCCGGATTCCAAAAGTATCAGAACATTAGGAGAGAAAAAAAAAAATCAGGCCAGGCACGGTGGCTTACGCTTATAATCCCAGCACTTTTGGAGGCTGAGGTAGATGGATCACCTGAGGTCAGGAGCTCAAGACCAGCCTGGCCAACATGGTGAAATCCTGTCTGTATTAAAAATTAGCCGGGCATGGTGGCAGGCGCCTGTAATCCTAGCTACTCAGGAGGCTGAGGCAGGAGAATCACTTGAACCCGGGAGGCAGAGGTTGCAGTGAGCCATGATCGTGCCGCTGCACTCCAGCCTGGGCAACAAGAGCAAAACTCTGTCTCAAAAAAAAAAAAAAAAAAGAAGAAGAAGAAAAGAAAAGAAAATCATTGTTAATTCTTATCACATCTTGTTAAACATACATCTTGCCATATCATCTGCCCCAGCCTCAAGGCCACTGGCATCTCCTGAAGCAATCACCAAATGTTCCCATCACCCAAGAATAGAGAGCTAATGGTGACAACTAACCCATATAGAGCACTGAAAGGAGCCAGGCTCTGTCTGCCCTTTCCTGCATAGTAACCTTGTAACAGCACTACAAGGTAGGTACTGTTATTATCTCCATTTTACAAATAAGAAAACTGGAGCACAGGCTGGGCGCGGTGGCTCACGCCTGTAATCCCACTACTTTGGGAGGCGGAGGTGGGTGCATCACTTGAGGTCAGGAGTTCAAGACCAGCCTGGTCAACATGGGGAAACCCCATCTCTACTAAAAGCATGAAAAAATTAGCCTGGCGTGGTGGTATACATCTGTAATCCCAGCTACTTCGGAGGCTGAGGCAGGATAATCGCTTGAACCCGAAAGGTTGAGGTTGCAGTTAGCTGAGATAGAGCCTCTGCACTCAGGCCTGGGTGACAGAATGAGACTCTGTCAGGAAGGAAGGTGACAGAATGAGACTCCGTCAGGAGGGAGGGAGGGAGGGAGAGAAAAGAGGGAGGGAGACTGGAGCACAGAGAAGTTAAGTGACTTGTCCAAGAAGGGAGGGAGGGAGGGAGAGAGGGAGACCGGAGCACAGAGAAGTGACTTGTCCAGGAAGGAAGGAAGGAAGGCAGGAAGGAAGGAAGGGAGGGAGGGAAGGAAGGAAGGGAGGGAGGGAGGGAGGGAAAAGAGGGAAGGAGACTGGAGCACAGAGAAGTTAAGTGACTTGTCCAAGAAGGAAGGGAGGGAGGGAGACTGAAGCACAGAGAAGTGACTTGTCCAGGAAGGAAGGAAGGCAGGAAGGAAGGGAGGGGCGGAGGGAGGGAACTGGAGCACAGAGAACTGATTTGTCCAAGGTCACCCAGCAGAAGGAAGGGAGGAAGGAAGGGAGGAAGGAAGGGAGGGAGGGAGACTGGAGCACAGAGAAGTTAAGTGACTTGTCCAAGACGGACGGACACGGACGGAAGGAAGGAACAAAGAAGGAGGGAGGGAGGGAGGGAGGGAACTGGAGTACAGATAACTGACTTGTGGAAGGAAGGACGGAAGGAAGGAGAGAGGGAACGAAGGAAGGAGAGAGGGAAGGAAGGAAGGAAGGAGAGAGAGGGAAGGAAGGAAGGAGAGAGGGAGAGAGGGAGGGAAGGGAGGGAACTGGAGCACAGAGAACTGACTTGTCCAAGGTCACCCAGCCAGGATTTGAGTCCAGAATGTGAGTGCCCTTAGCCATTACACTGAATTGCCTCCCAGCTGAGAACTTTTAACAAATGTATCAGGACATACACAACTGGATGCTACAAGGTGGTTTTCGGCCAACTTTCCCCTTTAAACACATGCATCAATTTCAAACTATTTATATGATAAAAAATGCTTACACCTTTATCGATCTCGTTTTTAAAATGGTATGGCTTTTCAGGACTATCTTTCACAATCGTTAAAGGGAAATTCGCTTTGTTAATATGAAAAAAAAATCAAATATCTGTTTCATGAGTTGTCAGTGGCCAACGCTGTTTAGACTACGGCTTGAACGCATCACCCCTTAAAGATCATCTTGTGGCCTTGGGCAAATTGCTTAGCCTTCTTTGTTTCTCCAGCGGCAAAGTGGATATAACAATAGTACCATCTCCTAAAGTGGTGAGGATTAGCTGATATTATCCATATAAATTGTTATGCACAGTACCTGACACAGAGCGAGTGCCCAATAAATGTCTTTCACTATTTAGGTCCTGGGTTCTCTCATTTCCAGAGTGCAAGTCCTCCAGCAACCACAGAAACGCTTTCTAGAGTCGCTGCCCACTCCTTAAAAACATTTGTCCCTACTTCGCACAGAGCATAGTGATACCACAAACAGGCTTCCCTGGACCCCAGCCCTGGGGGTGGCTATATCACCTCGCTCAGGCCCAGGAAGAGAGAGCCGGCTCTGGTCTCCCACCCGGCAGCAGCACAAAACTTAACCAGGATTTCTCACTTCGGTCAACTCTTGAATCACCGCGCCCAGTCTGGCTGGCTCGGCAGCAGATGGAATGAGGGCGCCGGCGCCAGGAAGTGGCGCTCACCCACCTGCCCAGCCCGAGGTGGGCACTCCTCCTTCACAGCATCCCCGGGGACCTCGTCCCTCCACCGCGGAACGCCCCAGAGGACCGACCTAATAGTGCCACAGGGTGGGTTTCCCCCCAAATCCTCCAAAATACATCGCCACGATTTCGAAACGGGAGCCGAGGGAGACGCACCAAGTGCTTCCCGACGCCAGGTGAAGCGCACCATACCTGGTGTGCGTGTTGAGCCCCGAACCGAAGTCCGTGCGGCCGCCACCTCTGCCTCCCTGCTGGGGGCCTCAGAGAGTGTGCTCCTTGTCCACGTGCGCGCAGGGCCCGCAGCCGCCCCCACGCCCCAGCGGAGCTGCAGCACGCCCCTTCCACTCACCAGGTGAAGAGTTTGCCTTTTATCCTGCGCAGCAGGCTGGAGAACTCGGCCGCCGCTCCCTCCGCGAGGGGCTCTGGGGCGCCGGGGCCCGCTGGCGAGTCTGCCTCCATCGGCGCCCTTGCGCGTCTCCGGCGCCCAAAACCCCCGAAGTGCCGGGTCCCGGAAGACGGGAGGCGGTGCCTGTGCGGCCGGCTGGGGCTCCGCTCTGGCCCTGCGCTCCCTCCCTCGCTCGCTTGCTCGCGTCCCTCTCGCTCCTCCGCTCGGCTCCTTCAGCGACCAATCATTAACTGTCAAGCCCTAAGGGCCAGACAATACATTTGCAGATTACAACCTGGCACCTCCAGGGTGGCAGGAGGAGAAAGGGCAATTTTTTTTTCGTCTTGGCAGCCGAGCCTTATTGTTGAGCGGCACCCAGTGTGCCTTCAGGTTTTTAGGGTTCCTTGTTTGAAATCACAAGATACAGTGACACGAGGTTATTGTAGGTGATTCCTAAGCTAAGAAGCGGTGAGTGAGCAGTGAGTTAGAAGCAGTGAGTGAGCCGGGACTCTCCTAACTGGAAGGACTGGCTGACCCCTCCTCTTCCCTCCCACTCTCCCTCCCTCTGGCTGATTTGTACAAAATCGCTTCATTAAAATAACTGAAGGCTGGCAGGGCGCGTTGGCTCACACCTGTAATCCCAACGCTTTGGGAGGCCGAGACGGGTGGATCACCTGAGGTCAGGAGTTCGAGACCAGACTGGGAAATATGGTGAAACCCCGTCTCTACTAAAAATACAAAAATTAGCCGGGCGTGGTGACGGGTGCCTGTAGTCCCAGCTACTCGAGAGGCTGAGGCAGGAGAATCGCTTGAACCCAGGAGGCGGCGGTTGTGAGCCAAGATCGCGCCTTTGCACTCCAGCCTGGGCAACAGAGGGAGACGTCGTCTTAAAAAAAAAAAAAAAAAAAAAAAAAACCTGAAGGCGCTTCAGGTCTGTGTCGCTTTTCCCTGCAAAACATGGGTAAGATCCTAAAAAGATCTTGGAAACGTGCCTTTGTGGCGTGGATGGAGGCGTGGCTCATTCCTCGCGGTGTGTTGGTTTTGTCTTTCAGTATTCAGTTGTCTCCGCCGTGCCAGGGAGAGAGACGGTGCCAACCCCCGGCGCTCGGCTTGGATGCCCTGCCCTGGCCACGCCTTCCGAGGCTTCCACGGGCTAAAGAGGGATTAAGAGACACTAAGCTGGGGTCGAAAAGTTCCTGTCACTGACCCCCTGCTTCCGGAAAGGAGGAGATCCAGAAAACAAAAGAAAAGGTGTTGGGACCTTTTATTTTTTCCTGGCCACCTGCTTTGGGGGTTGGGGTGGGTCAAAATAAACGTAGGTTCAAATAGACAGGCTGTGCAGACGAGCTGGCAATTCTGTAAGAGGAGTCTAAGAAAAAAAACAGCTTTCGAAAATGAAATATTACTTCAGGAACCCCAAGTTTAGCAGCTGCAGGAACCTCAAAAAAACCTTTGAAACTAAGAACGTGGTCATCCGTAGAGACTAATTAAGTATTATAATACAAGCATATTATGAAACAAGAGGACATTAGAAGCACATTTAAGATGTCACTTTTGTAAAGTAAACAACTCATTTAACCCTGCATATTGACAACGTTGAATTCTACCTGAGCCCTGTGCTCCTGGAAAGTAATGACAATTAAGAAACCTTCCTAGGCCGGGCGCGGTGGCTGACGCCTGTAATCCCAGTGCTTTGGGAGACCGAAGCGGGCGGATTACTCCTGAGGTCAGGAGTTCGAGACCAGCCTGACCAACATGGCGAAATCCCGTCTCTACTAAAACTACAAAAATTAGCCCGGCGTTTTGGTGTGTGCCTGTAATCCCAGCTACTTGGGAGGCTAAGGCAGGAGAACCACTTGAACCCGGGAGGCAGAGGTTGCAGTGAGCCAAAATCGTGCCACTGCACTTCAGCCTGGGCAACAGAGTAAGACTGTCTCAAAAAAAAAAGAAAGAAAGAGAGAAAGAGAGAAAGAAAGAAAGAGAAAAGAAAAGAAGCCTCCCACCTTTTTTTTTTTAATCAAAGATTTTGGTTGAATTTCTCTTCCTCCCTCATACCTCTGAACTTTCACCCACCCTGACCCTGAGCCGCAGGTAACCCCTCCTTAATAGCCCCTCCTGAGAAGTTGGCCTCAGGGTGAAACATTCTCTAATCTATTATCCAGTGGAGAGCCACCTTTTCATTCCACTTCCCACCAGTAGGGAATAGGCCCCCTCCTACTGCAGGAACCCTTCCCCACAGTCCCCACCCATCCCCATTTGCAATAATCCCTACAAATAAAGTCTCTCCTTAACCAAATTTGATTTTTTATTTGCAATATATACAGTAGTCACCTCCTTACCTGAGGTTTTGATTTCCACGGTTTTAGTTACCACAGCCAATTACCCTCTGAAAATAGGTGACTAGAGTATAGTAAGATATTTTGAGAGAGAGACCACATTCACATAACTTTTATTACAGTATATTGTTATAATTGTTCTATTTTATTATGAGTTGTTAATTTCTTACTGTGCCAATTTTATAAATTAAATTTTATTATAGGTATGTGTAGGAAAAAAGTATATACTGTATAGGGCTAAATACTCTCTGCAGTTTCAGACACCCACCGGGGGTCTTGAAACATAAGGGAGGACTACTATGTTTGATTATGTGAGTATGAAGAAAAATAGAAGATACACGTCAACACCAGTAACTTTAAAAGAGGGTGGGGGGCCAGGCACAGTAGCTCACACCTGTAATCCCAACACTTCAGGAGGCTGAGGCAGGAGGATTGTTTGAGCTCAGGAGTTTCAGACCAGCCTGGGGCTACATAGTGAGACAGTCTTTTAAAACACACACACAGACACACACACACACCCCCCAAAAAAAAACTCCGGCACGTATAATAGAGTCCCCCCGCTTTTATTTTTTTTTTCAGACGGAGTCTCTCTTTGTCAGGCTGGAATACAGTGGTGCGATCTCAGCTCACTGCAACCTCCAACTCCCTGGTTCAAGCAATTCTCCTGCCTCAGCCCCCCAAGTAGATGGGACTACAGGCATGTGCCCATGCCCGGCTAATTCTTGTATTTTTAGTAGAGACAGGAGTTCACCATGTTGGCCAGGTTGGTCTCGATCTCCTGACCTCGTGATTCACCTGCCTCGGCCTCCCAAAGTGCCAGGATTACAGGTGTGAGCCACCACGCCCGCCAATAGAGTCCCTGTTATGTCAAATGTATGCCTTTGTATAAATACATGAAATTAAAAGATGAATTTAGACATTGTAGCAAGCTGAATAATGTCCCCCAAAATATCCAGGTCCTAATCCCTAGAACCTGTGAATGTTGCCTTGAGTGGCAAAATGGACTTTGCAGATGTGATTAAGTTACACACCGTGAGATGGAGAGATTATCCTGTGGGCCATAATGTAATCACAGTGTCATAGGAGGGAAACAGAGGCCAGGCATGGAGGCTCACACCTGTAATCCCAGCACTTTGGAAGGCTGAAGCGGGTGGATCACGAGGTCAGGAGTTCGAGACCAGTTTTGCCACCATGGCGAAACCCCCATCTCTACTAAAAATACAAAAATTATCCAGGCATGGTGGTGCACGCCTGTAATCCCAGCTACTCAGGAGGCTGAGGCAGGAGAATCACTTGAATGCAGGAGGCAGAGGTTGCAGTGAGTTGAGATCGTGCCATTGCACTCCAGCCTGGGTGACATAGCAAGACTGTGTCCCCACCACCACCACCACCAAAAAAAGGAGGGAAACAGAAAGAAAAGAAAGTGATATAATGTAAGCAGAGGTTGAAGTGATGCGCTTTACTCAGGAGGCTGAGGCAGGAGAATCACTTGAACGCGGGAGGCAGAGGTTGCAGTGAGTTGAGATCGTGCCATTGCACTCCAGCCTGGGTGACATAGCAAGACTGTGTCCCCACCACCACCACCACCAAAAAAAGGAGGGAAACAGAAAGAAAAGAAAGTGATATAATGTAAGCAGAGGTTGAAGTGATGCGCTTTGAAGACAGAGAAAGGCTAACACAAGCCAAGGAATACATGCAGCCACCAGAAGCTCAGAGGCTCCAGAAGAAAGTAGCCCTGACACCTTTAGGCTTGACAACCGGCCAGTAAAACTGATTTCAGACTTCTGACCTCCAGAACTGTAAGAGAATAAATCTACGTTGTTTTAAGCCACTAAATTGGTGATTTATTACAGCGGCCATAGGAAACAAATGCAGATGTGTATACACTAATTTATAGAAATCAGGGTACACTGTCAAGTGAAAAAAGCAAATTTTTAGGGTAACTGTATAATACAGTTACATTTTAATAAAAGCTACCAACTAAATATCTTTATATATACATATATTAATACATTGATAGACATATATTTATATTTGCTGTGTTTATTATATAAGCAAGAAAAAGGATTTGGAAGAATACATAACAGGTTATTGATAATGGTTAAATCATGTGAGTGGTTGGGGATGGGGCGGGGAATGAATAAGGGGGTGAGAGATTGCCATATATATCTTCATTTTGTGCTCTTGCTATGAGCATATACTGCCTTTGCAATTTAAAAAATGTACAATTAAGACATTTTTCAATAGGTCACATTAATCTTAATTTAAAACATATTAAGCTCAGCTGGGCGCAGTGGCTCATGCCTGTAATCCCAGCACTTTGAGAGGCCAAGGCAGGTGGATCACCTGAGGTCAGGAGTTCAAGACTAGCCCCACCAACATGGTGAAACCCCATCTCTACTAAATACAAAAAAAGTAGCCTGGCATGGTGGCACATGACTCTAATTCCAGCTACTTGGGCAGTAGCTGAGGCAGGAGAATTCCTTGAACCCAGGAGACAGAGGTTGCAGTGAGCCGAGAGTGTGCCATTGCACTCCAGCCTGGGCAACAAGAGCAAAACTCCGTCTCAAACAAACAAACAAACAAAACATATTAGGCTCAACATGTCACCCCCAGGAGACACTGGGGCCAGGAAATATAATTAACCACTGACATGGATTCTAAAGTTATGGACAAAATTATATGTATTTCTTAAACACAAATCCTCCTCAAAAAGTGGCAATAGTAGTACTGCTCTAGCATTGCTCCAAAATGAGCTCATCCCTGCTGAGGAGTATTGATCAGTCTACCTTATTTTGGTATCAGAATTAAAATACATTGAGTGGATCTGTGGGCACCGATCCACAAGTTTATGTCAATGGAAATTTACTGGAAAAATAAGTTAGGTGTTGAGGATTTGTTTTGCACATAATAACTTTACTTCTTACAATTACAAAATAACAGCTACCACTTATTGAGTGCCTACTGTGTGCCAGATAATTTAGATTTTCTATTATATGAATCAAATCACCCCAAATCATAGAGGCTTCAAACAGCAATCATTTTATTATCCTTTGCGGTTTCTGTGGGTCAGGAATTTAGGAAGGTGTGGGCCAGGCGGTTCTGGCTCGAGATCTCTCTTGTGGTTGCAGTCAGAAGGTAGCTGAACTGAGAAGGCGAGGGGTAGAGTGGGAGGTTTGGGCTGGAGCATGGAGCGCCTGACCAGCATCTCTCTCTCTCTCTCTCTCTCTCTCTCTCTCTCTCTCTCTCTCTCTCTCTCCATTTAGTTTCAGGGGCTTTCCATGTGGTCTCTCTTTGTGGCCTAATTTGCTAATTTGGGCTTCCTCATAGATAGCTAGGTGACTTCAGGATAATTGGTCCGCTTACGTGGCAGCTGGCAGCTGGTTCTTACCCCTAGCAAGTGCCCTAAGAGAAAAAAGCAAGAGCTTATTGTCAATATCCTCCAACCAAGGCCACTGTGAATGTATGTGTAGTTGAACAAGTTGAACTTACTACTCCTTGCTGTGAGAGAGAATTCATGTGTTGGGGGAACCATAGAGTCTCAGTAACAGAGAGTTAGAAAGAACTAAATAACTAAATATATATAGGATATTAGCTTGTTTGAGTGATTCGAAGGAGGGTCTAAGGAAGCAGGAGTTCACTCTAGATTGGAGGCTGTTTGGATGCAATTCTTATTGGTATCTCAAGACATCTATATGGAGGGCAGACTTGGGTGAAGGAAAAACTGTAACTGGTAAAGAACTAGCGTCACTTATTTTGGCAAAAAGCCCAGAGTTGGTATTATACCGGTGGCACAATGACATTGTTTTTGTGCTTAGAGAAGATTATGAGCTAGCCTTGCTTTGTTTTATCATGGTCTCAGGATAATCTCGTCTGAGAATGATATTCTGTTAGATTATGTCCTATAAAAGAATAATATGAAGGCTGGTCATGATGGCTCATGCCTGTAATCCCAGCACTTTCAAAGGGCGAGGCGGGCGGATCACCTGAGGTCAGGAGTTCGAGACCAGCCTGGCCAACATAGCAAAACCCCATCTCTACTAAAAATACAAAAAGCCGGGCATGGTAGCTGCTGGGGAGGCTGAGGCAGGAGAATTGCTTGAACCCAGGGGGCAGAGGTTGCAGTGAGCCAAGATTGCGCCACTGCACTCCAGCCTGGGTGATAGAACGAGACTCCGTCTCAAAAATAATAATAATAATAATAACATGGCTCAGCTATAAGTGCCAGGCCAGTTTTTAGAAAAAAAAAACTGTTTATTTTTCTATTCTTTCTCAGTATCTCCTTTCATGACCTAGCCAAAAAAGTCCTGTAGTCTCATTACCACCATAGTCCCAAACCCACCCAGGCTCAAAGGAAGGGAATGTAGACCCCACCTTTCAAAGGAACAGGGTGTCACCATCACATGGGAAAAGAGCATATGGGATGGAGGATATTGTTGCAGCCATCTATGGTTTGCCACAAATGCTTTGCAAATTGCTCTCAGGCATAATTAATACTGTTTTTCAGGTGAGTAAGCTAAAATTCAGAAAAGAATAAGTAAATTGTCCAAGATCTTCAGAATAGTAACTGATTGATACTGACATTAAAAGCACCAAGCTGTCTTTCCAATTTAATTGACAAGCATGTATGAGCCTCTTTCCCAGTATCTTTTTCTCATTGCTTGTAAAAATAATTATAAATAGATATACTTTTTAGATCTCACCAAATACAACATACTGAATAAGAAAAGCTATGATAGTCACATCCACATTAAGATTACCATCCATTTAAAAAAATAATAAGACTGTAGTTCTAAGTGATGGTTTTGGATGTTTGTCCCCTCCAAATCTCATGTTGAAACGTGATTCCCAAAGTTAGAGGTGGGGCCTGGTGGGAGGTAATTGGATCAATGGGATAGATCCCTCATGAAAGCTTTAGCACCATTTCCTTAATGATAAATGAGTTCTCACTCAGTTTACACAAGATCTGGTTGTTTAAAAGAGTCTGGAACCTGCCAGGTGTGGTGGCTCACACCTGTAACCCCAGAACTTTGGGAGGCCAAGGCAGGTGTATCACCTGTGGTCAGGAATTCAAGACCAGCCTGGCCAACATGGTGAAACCCCGTCTGTACTAAAAATACAAAATACATGGTGGTGCATGCCTGTAATCCCAGTTACTCGGGAGGCTCAAGCAGGAGAATTGCTGGAACCCGAAAGGTGAAGATTGCAAGATGAGCCGAGATCACACCACTGCACTCCAGCCTGGGCAACAAGAGCAAAACTCCATCTCAAAAAAAAAACTTCCCCCACTCTTGCCATGTGACATGCTGGCTCTCCATCACCTTCCACTGTGATTGTAAGCTTATTGAGGCCTCACCAGAAGCAAATGCCAGTGCCATGCTTCCTGTAAAGCCTACAGAACTCTGAGCCACCAATTAAATCTCATTATTATTATTTGAGACAGGATCTTGCTCTGTCACCCAGGCTGCAGTGCAGTGGCACAATCATGGCTTACTACAGTCTCGACCTTCTGGGCTCAGGCAATCCTCCCACCTCAGCCTCCTGAGTAGCTGGGACTATAAGCATGCACTACCATCCCGGCTAATTTTTATATTTTTAAAATTTTTGTAGAGATAGAGTCTCACTATGTTCTCCAGGCTGGTCTCGAACTCCCGGGCTCAAGTAATCCTCTGGCCTCAGCCCCAGAAAGTGCTGGGATTATAGGTATGTGCCACTGTGCCTCACCTAAATCTCTTTTTTTAATAACTTACTCAGCCTCAGATATTTCTTTATAGCAACATAAGAGCAGCCTAATGCACTAAGTGTTTATGATTTTTTTTTCTTTTTTTGAGATGGAGTATCACTGTGTCGCCCAGGCTGGAGTGCAGGGGCATGATGTCGGCTCACTGCAACCTCTGCCTCCTGGGTTCAAGCAATTCTCCTGCCTCAGCCTCCCAAGTAGCTGGGACTACAGGCATAGGCCACCACACCCAGCTAATTTGTATATTTTTAGTAGAGATGGGGTTTCGCCACATTGACCAGGCTGGTCTCGAACTCCTGACTTCAGGTGATCCACCCACCTCAGCCTCCCAAAGTACTGCGATTACAGGCATGAGCCACCATGCCCAGCCACGATTTTATATTATATTATTTGTGAGGAATATTTGAATACTAAAAATATCACAGTAGTAAAGAAGTGGCTTTGGAAGGCCAAGGCAGAGGATCACTTGAGGCCAGGAGTTTGAGACCAGCCTGGGCAGTATAGCAAGACCCCATCTCTACAAAAAATATAAATAAATAATAAACATAAAAATTAGCTGGGCATGGTAACTTGCACCTGTGGCCCCAGCTATACAGGAGGCTGAGGTAGGAGGATTCCTTGAGCCTGGGAGGTGCAGGCTGCAGTGAGCCATGAACATGCCACTCCGCTCCAACATGGGTGACAGAATGAGACCCTGTCTCAAAAAAAAAAAAAAAAAAAAGAATTAAGACTCCTTTAATCTAGAACCAATGTCTAAGGTAGTTAAACTAAAGTCATTTCTATAAACATGCAGTGGGAACTTTCCAAATATAATCTATAATTAAAGTTCATTTTAAAACACTTACTTAAAAAGCTTTATTTTAAAAAATTCTGTTTGCAGCATCCTATTAAATACATTTCTTTCTACTATACTTGAGGCTCACAAGGACAATAGCTGCATTATTCCAGCTAAGCCTCTTTATTTTCTCTTTCACAAGTATTCGAAGAATACTGATCAGTGTCAATCTGTCTTCGATTTGAATGGCCTAGATTAGTATACAAGGTACCAAAGAAATGAAAATGTCAGAATTGGCCGGGCGTGGTGGCTCACGCCTGTTATCCCATCACTTTGGGAGGCCAAGGCGGGCAGATCACGAGGTCAGGAGATCGAGACCACAGTGAAACCCCGTCTCTACTAAACATACAAAAAATTAGCTGGGCACAGTGGTGGGTGCCTGTAGTCCCAGCTACTCGGGAGGCTGAGGCAGGAGAACGGCGTGAACCTGGGAGGCGGAGCTTGCAGTGAGCTGAGATCGCACCACTGCACTCCAGCCTGGGCGACAGAGTGAGACTCCGTCTCAAAAAAAAAAAAAAAGTCAGAATTACCTGTCATTAAGCAGAGGGAATCAATAATACTATCTGCTTAGATGGCAACTTTGTTTAGAGAATTAGCCTTATTACCATTATCTTATTATAGGACACATTACAAATCAATCAACTATATATTGGTTGAATGCAAATTATGAGCAGACCACATTTCTAGATGTGCTCTCTGATATTCAATATGTGAAAGATACTTTTACTCTTCCATCAACCTTTCCTTCCTTCTTTCCCTCCAAAAACATTTTAGAACACCTACTATGTTCAGGGCCCCATGCTAGATGGCACGAAGAATGTAGGAGTAATTAAGACTTGGTTCTTGTCTTCATATTGTTTACAATTTAATAGAGAGGAAAGTACTTTGCACAACCCTAACTGCCCTTATTTTTATTTTATTTATTTATTTATTTATTTATTTTTTTGAGACAGAGTCTCGTTCTGTCGCCCAGGCTGGAGTGCAGTGGTGCGATCTGGGTTCACTGCAGCCTCGGCCTCCCGGGTTCAAGCTTTTCTCCTGCCTCAGCCTCCGGAGTAGCTGGGATTACAGGCACCTGCCACCATGCCCAGCTAATTTTTGTATTTTTTGTAGAGACGGGGTTTCACTGTGTTGGCCAGGCTGGTCTTGAACTCCTGACCTCGTGATCCACCCGCCTTGGCCTCCCAAAGTTCTGGGATTACAGGCGTGAGCCACCGCGCCCAGCTTTCTTTTTTTTTTTTTTTTTTTTTTTTTGAGACAAGGTCTCACTCTCTCACCTAGACTGGATTGCAGTGGTGTGATCACGGCTCACTGCAGCTTCAACTTCCTCAGGCACAAGTGATCCTCCCACCTCAGCCTTCCAAATAGCTGGGACCACAGGTGCACACCACCATGCTCAGCTAATTTCTTGTATTTTTTGTAGAGATGGGGTTTCTCCATGTTGCCCAGAATGGACTTGAACTCCTGGGCTCAAGTGGTCCTCCTGCCTTGGCCTCTGAAAGTGTTGGGATTAAAAGAGCTTGAGCTAGGCCGGGTGCAGTGGCTCACACCTGTAATCCCAGCACTTTGGGAGGCCAAGAAGGGTGGATCACCTAAGGTCAGGAGTTCAAGACCAACCTGGCCAACATGGTGAAACCCTGTTGCTACTAAAAATACAAAAATTAGCGGGGTGTGGTGGCGGGTGCCTGTAATCCCAGCTACTTGGGAGGCTGAGGCAGGAGAATTGCTTGAACCCAGGGGGCAGAGGTTGCAGTGAGCTGAGATCGCACCACTGCACTCTAGCCCGGGTGACAGAGTGAGACTGACTCTGCCTCAAAAAAAAAAAAAAAGCTTGAGCCTGGGAGGCAGAGGTTGCAGTGGGCCGAGTTTACACCACTGTACTCCAGCCTGGGTGACACAGTGAGACTCCATTCCCCAAAACCCCCAAAAAGGCATGAGCCACCATGCCCAGCCTAACCTTATTATTTAATTGAGGAGTAAAGGCTCCAAGAAATGAGCTTATTCCTGATTATCCCTTGGTCCCAGCCAGCTCCCACTTCACCCCTTCTTTTCTGCTTACAGTCCTGAAAGATTTCTCTTCACTTCACCTCTTTTCCAGGTACCATTGCCTGAATCCCTTTTCCTGAGGTCATCTAACTTCTAAAATAAGTACTGAAGGGAAAATGAAAAGGAAACAAATATAGGTTGTACAAAAAATAAAAACACAAAAGAGAAAAACAAAAAATCATCTTGAGAAGTTTTAAACTGTGTCATTAACCATAGCAGTCCCTTTTTGTCTAATGCAGTGGTTTAAAATACCAACCATAGGCTAATGACTCCCTGACTTTTTTAGCTCCAGCACAGGCTTCCCCTGAGCTTCACATTTGTATATATAATTGCTGACTTGCCATATCCACTAGGAAGTCTTAAAGGCATCTCAAACACAGCCCAAACAAAACTCTCTCTGTTCCTCCATTTCTTACTTTCCTCACTTACACCCATTGCAACATAAAGCACTTCAATCTATCAGTTCTCAAACTAAGAAACTAGGGATCTGCCAGGCATGGTGGCTCATGCCTGTAATCCCAGCACTTTGGGAGGCTGAGCTGGGAGGATCACTTGAGGCCAGGAGTTTGAAACAAGCAATAAAGTAAGACCTCATTTCTATGGAAAAAAAATTAATTTTAAAAATAAAAGAATCTAGGGATCATACATGGTTTCTCCTTTTCTCTTATTTCTCTCATTCAATTCAATAGCCAGTCTTTCCTTTTTTTTTTTTTTTTTTTTTTGAGACAGAGTCTCGCTCTGTCACCCAGGCTGGAGTACAGCGGCACGATCTCGGGTCACTGCAACCTCGGCCTCCCGGGTTCAAGCAATTCTCTTGTCTCAGCCTCCCTAGTGTCTGGGACTACAGTCACACGCCGCCACGCCTGGCTAATTTTTGTATTTTTAGTAGAGACAGGGTTTCACCATATTGGTCAGGCTGATCTTGAACTCCTGACCTCAGGTGATCCACCCACCTCAGCCTCCCAAAGTGCTGGGATTACAGGCATGAGCCACCACGCCCAGCCCAGTTTTTATATTCATTTTCAAAATATATCTGAAATCCATTCCCTTTTCTCTGTCTTCACCACCATAGGCCAAACCACCAAAATCTGTGGCCTATATGCTGCAACAGACTGGTATATCTTCCTACTTATTCTATTCTTGCCTCCTACAGTCCATTACCCAAAATCCCTACGAAATAAGGTCACTCTCCCCTGCTTATAAGCCTACAATGCCTGCCTGTTGTATTTAGCATGAAATTTAGGCTCCTTGCTCTAGCTTAAATGCGCTGCCTAACTCTTCAACCTGCATACTGTGTTCTTTCTCTTTCCCTTTATTTCTATTGTCTCATTTCCTCTGCCCGGAATAATCTGCCTTCAGATCTAAGCATAGTCTTAGGTCCAGTGTTGCCTCCTTAGAGAAGATGTCCTTGACTTAATCCACTGGTTCCCAGTCTCTCCCTATCAAATTGATAGGTTACATTTTCATCATAGGTATTGTTGGGGGCTGAATTGTGCACCGCCCCCTGCCCAGAAATGTATATATTGAAGTCACCCAGGGCTGAGGGGGTGGACCACCACGCTGGTGGGCCGAGGACAGAGCATCAAGCCAAAGATTATTCTGGAGCCTTAGTCTTTTTTTGTTCGTTTGTTTGTTTTTTGGAGACAGAGTCTCGCTCTGTCACACAGGCTGGAGTGCAGTGGCATGATCTTGGCTTACTGCAACCTCCGCCTCCTGGGTTCAAGCAATTCTCCCTCCTCAGCCTCCTGAGTAGCTGGGACTACCGGCATAATAAGCTACCAGGTCTGGTTAATGTTTGCTTTTTTAATAAAGAAAGGGTTTCGCCATATTGGCCAGGCTGGTCTCGAACTCCTGAGCTCAGGTGATCCACCCGCCTCGGCCACCAAAGTGCTGGGATTATAGGCATGAGCCACCGCATCCGGCTGGGATTTATTTTTTATTTCTGACTTTTGGAATGGGAAAGACTATGCTATGCCTATGCCATCATTGTATTTTGGAAGCAGATAACTTGTCTGGTTTTATAGATTCACAGCTGGGGAGGAATTTTGCCTCAGGACAAATCATAACTCCTATGAGTCTCACTCATACCTGATTTAGATTATATTTTGTGCTTACACTTGATGCTGAAATGAGTTAAGATTTCTGGCACAGTTAGAACAGGGTGAGCGTATGAATTTGGAGGAGAGGTGGACGGAGGGCTATAATGAGGTCTACCAAAATTCATATGTTGAAGTCCTAACCTCCAGTGCCTCAGAATGTGATTGCAGCGACGAAGTCTTTAGAGGTATTAAGTTATAATGAAGACATTAGGGTAGGCCCTAATCCAATATAACTAGTATCCTTATAACAAGAGGAAATTAAGACACAGACAGTTACAGAGGAAAGACCATGTGAAAACACAGAGAGATGGCCCTGTACAAGCGACGAGAGATGCTTCAAAAGAAACCAGTTCTGGCTTGGCGCGGTGGCTCACGACTGTAATCCCAGCACTTTGGAAGGCCAAGGCCGGCGGATCACGTGAGGTCAGGAATTCAAGACCACCCTGACCAACATGGAGAAACTCCATCTCTACTAAAAATACAAAATTAGCCGGGCATGGTGGCACATGCCTGTAGTTCCAGCTACACGGGAGGCCAAGACAGGAGAATCGCTTGAATCTGGGAGGCGGAGGTTGCAGTGAGCAGAGACCGCCCCATTGCACTCCAGCCTGGGCCACGAGAGCGAAACTCTGTCTCAACAAAAAAGCCAATTCTGCCACCATGTTGATTTCAGACTTCTAACCTCCAAGACTGTGAGAAAATAAATGTGTTTAAGCCACTCAGTCTGTTATATCTTGTTATGGCAACCCTAACAAACTCATACAGAAATTATCTAAAATTATCTTGTTCTTAGATTACTTATATTGTGTTCTCCCACCCACAGAGAATTTCCTGCCCATCTATGGAGAACAGCCCCATAAGTATCTTGAGAATCATGTTAGCACTCAAAAGAAGCTAAATCATAAAGTGACCTCCCAAAAACATATATTTATCTTTTCATACACATCTTCCATGAATTTTAATGTATTAATCTCAGTGCCTCTCTCACTGCCTTTTCCTTTCTTCACTCTTCTGCACCCACTTAACAACCACTATCCCTCTAGCCAGACCAAGTTACTTACAGCTCGTGAACTACAACATGCCATTTTGCACAGCTATACCTTTCCATTAGATTAAGGAGAAGTCTTATCCTTCAACAGTAAGCAAAGGGATTCCTTCCTCTGGGAACTCTTTTTTAATCCTCTCTATATTTTATTTATTTACTTATTTATTTATTTATTTTTGAGATAGAGTCTCACCTAGGCTGGAGTGCAGTGGCATGAACATGGCTCACTTCAGCCTCAAACTCCCAGGCTCAGGTGATCCTCCCACCTCAGCCTCCCAAGTAGCTGGGACCACAGGTGCCAGCTGCCATGCCTGGCTGTTTTTGTATCTTTTGTACAGACTGGGTTGCCCAGGCTGGTCTCCAACTCGTGGGGTCAAGCTATCTGCCGTCTCGGCCTCCCAAAGTGCTAAGATTACAGGTTTGAGCCACCGACCCTTGCCCTACTTCAGTAATTTTTGTTCCAATTTATATTATTTCCTTCCTTCTACATTATTTGGGCTTATGTTGCTTTTTCCCTAACTCCTTAAACTGCGTTCTAAACTCATTAATTTTGAGTTGCCTCTCACGAGTTTTGATAATGGCTTTACTATCATTCACTTCTACGTATTTTCCAGTTTCCATTATAACTTCTTCTTTGACTCGTGAGTTGGAAAGACACATCCCTTAATTTCCAAGCATAATAAGAGTTTTTAACTTTTTTTTTTTTTTGAGACGGAGTCTCGTTCTGTCGCCAGGCTGGAGTGCAGTGGCGCGATCTCGGCTCACTGCAACCTCTGCCGCCCAGGTTCAAGTGATTCTCCCTCCTCAGCCTCCTGAGTAGCTGGGACTATAGGCATAAGCCACCACACTTGGTTAATTTTTGTATTTTTAGTAGAGAGGGGGTTTCGCCATATTGGCCAGGCTGGTCTTGAACTCCTGACCTCAGGTGATCCACATGCCGTAGCCTCCCAAAGTGTTAGAATTACAGGCGTGGGCCACTGCACCTGGCCAAGTTTTTAATTATTTTCTATAGTTGATTTCTAACTTAATTGTATGATAATGTAGGCTATATGATACTTTTTTTTTTTTTAGAGATAGGGTCTCACTCTGTCACCCAGGCTGGAGTGCAGTGGTATAGTCATAACTCACTGCAGCCTCAAACTCATGGGCTCACAGGATGTTTCTGCCTCAGATTCTGGAGTAGCTGGGACTACAAGCGAGCACCACCACACCTGGCTAATTTTTAAATTTTTTGTAGAGACTGGTTTTCTCCATGTCGCCCAGGCTGGTCTAGAACTCCTGGCCTCCCAAATCATTGGGATTACAAGTGTGAGCCACCATACCTGACCTGACCTGATACTTTCAATATTTTGAAAATAGCGAGATAAGTTTTAAGACCTAGTACATGGTCAATTTTGATAAATGTTTTTCATGTGTGTGTAAAATAATTTTTTTTGTTTGTTTTTTGTTTTCTTTCTTTTTTTTTTTTTTTTTGAGACAGAGTTTTGCTCTTGTTGCCCATGTTGGAGTGCAATGGCGCCATCTCGGCTCACTGCAACCTCTGCCTCCCACGTTCAAGCGATTCTCCTGCCTCAGCCTGCTGAGTAGCTGGGATTACATGCACCACCACACCCGGCTAATTTTGTATTTTTAGAAGAGATGGGGTTTCTCCACGTTGGTCAGGCTGGTCTCAAACTCCCAATCTCAGGTGATCCGCCTGCCTCGGCCTCCCAAAGTGCTGGGATTATAGGCGTGAGCCACCACGCCTGGCAGAATGTTTATTCTCAATGTGTTTTTTGTTTGTTTGGTTGGTTGGTTGTTTTTTTTGTTTTTGTTTTTGTTTTTGTTTTTTTGAGATGGAGCCTCACTCTGTCGCCCAGGCTGGAGTGCAGTGGTATGATTTCAGCTCACTGCAGCCTCCCTCTCCCAGGTTCAAGCGATTCTCCTGCCTTAGCCTCCCGAGTACCTGGAATTACAGGCACCCGCCACACACCTGGCTCATTTTTGTATTTTTACTAGAGATGGGGTTTCACCATGTTGGCCGGGCTGTTCTCAAACTCCTGACCTCAAGTGATCCATTGGCCTTTGCCTCCCAAAGTGTTGGGATTACAGGCATGAGCCACCGTGCCCAGCCCTCAGTGTTTTAACATGTCCATTTGAACAAATATTCAGTCTCCTACTGATTTTTTTTGTCTATTTGATCTATCAATTTCTGAAATATTTGTTAAACCAGTGGTTCTCAAAGCATAGGCCTGAATCAGAAACATCAGCAGCACCTGAGAACTAGGTGCTTCTCTCAGGTGCTTGTAAGAAGTGGAAATTCTCAGTCCCCACCCTAGACCTATTGAATCAGAAGCTCTGGAGTTGGGCCCAGCAATCTGTTTTAAGAAGCCCATCATGGGATCGTGAGACAGACGAAAATTTGAGAACCAACCTATTCTTCCATTATAGGAAGAAATAGAAACTTAGTTTCTCATTATAAAATTGTCAATATTTACTTCATATGTTTTAAATTTTTATTATTAGGTACAGAGTAGTTTTTGTTACACATCTCTGTTGAGTATTTTATTATTATGACATGACACTCTTTATCTGCCCTAATACTTTTTGTGTGAAAGTCTATTTTTTCTGATGCTAATACAGCTTTTCCAACTTCATTTTAGTTGGTATTGGCCTGGCATATTTTTTTCTATTCATTGCTTTTCAATATTTCTGTATAATAATGATATTTATATATATATATATCTTGAAACAGCACATAGCTGGATTTTATTTTGTTTTGTTTTTTGTTTTTGAGACGGAGTTTTGCTCTTGTTGCCCAGGCTGGAGTGCAATGGCAATCTCGGCTCACTGCAACCTCTGCCTCCCGGGTTCAAGTGATTCTCCTGCTTCAGCCTCCCAAGTAGCTGGGATTACAGGTGCATGCCGCCGTACCCGGCTAATTTTGTATTTTTAGTAGAGGCAGGGTTTCACCATGTTGGCCAGGCTGGTCTCGAACTCCTGACCTCAGGTGATCCACCCACCTTGGCCTCCCAAAGTGCTGGGATTACAGGCGTGAGCTACCACGCCCAGCTTTGTTTTGTTTTTAGGCTCTTTGCCTTTTCTTTTTTTTTTTTCTTTTTGTTACTTGAACTGCTAAATCTACTTTAATCTTTGCCTTTTCATTGGACAGTTTAGTCTATTTACACATAGGATGATTACTGACATATTTTGATTTATTTATACCAAATTACTATGTGGTTTGCAACTTGTCTTAATGTTTCTGTCTCTCTCTGTCTTGCCTTCTTTTGAACTGGCTGAGTTTTTTCTCCTGTTTGGAAGTTTTGTTACCTATGCCTATTCTTTCATAGTAGTCATAGCTATTCTAACATGCAAACTTAGTGAAGTCTAAAATTAATCAAAAGTTTTATCCTCTTCCCAAACAATGCAAGAACCTTAGAATACTTTATAACTCTCCCAGCTTATATGCTGTTGTTATCTAGTAATTTAGTTCTAGCTTGCTTCTTCTCAACCGCAAAGTACAGACTTGTGGAAGCTAAATCAACTTCATATGCTAATCCATGTTGATTTATGATTAACTCCAGTTCTGAGAATGCCTCTTAAGATTTATAGTTTCACATACTTACTGTATGTCCTGCCCTTCGGCAAATTCCCTATTATTGAATATAAGCCCTGGGTCTTGGGGGTAACTGCAAGGATCCACCAATTTGCAGTTGCATGAGACAAAGCTTCTGTTAGTAAGTCCTATTAAATATTGCTTTATGAGAAACTGGATTTGTCAGCCTCTTTCTATGGTCTCTCAGCTCCCTCGGCCTTTGGGGTAGGTTTTCATATGCCTGCCCACCACAGAATAGTATTATTGTTGTTTCACATAATTAATGATTATATAACAGTCATTCAACAGTACAGTACCTAGGGCCAGATTTGTGGATGTATGACTTATGTAGTCACAAAGGGCCCCATGCTTGGTGTCTTAGTCTGTTTGTGCTGCTATAACAAAATACTCGATAGTTCATAAAGAAGATACGCGGCGGCTCAGGCATGTAATCCCTGCATTTTGGGAGGCTGAGAATCACTTGAAGTCAGGAGTTTAAGACCAGCCTGGCCAACATGGTGAAACCCTGTCTCTACTAAAAATACAAAAAATTAGCTGGGTGTGATGGTGTGCACCTGTAATCCCAGCTACTTGGGAGGCTGAGGCACGAGAATTGCTTGAACCTGGGAGGCAGAAGTTGCAGTGAGCCGAGATCAAGTCATTGCACTCCAGCCTGGGCAACAGGGCAAGACTGTCTCAAAAAAGAAAGAAAGAAAGAAAATAAATTAATTTTCTCATAGTTCTGGAACCTGAGAAGCCCAAGATCAAGGCACCAGCAGGTTCAGTTGTTTGGAAAGGGCTGCTCTCTGCTTCCTGGATGGGACCTTATTGCTGTATCTTGTGGAGAGGGGGATCCCTGTGTCCTCACAGGGTGGAAGGCAGAAAGGCAAGCCAACCTGAACCTATGTGAATCTCTCTTAAAAGACTTAATCCCATTTCAAAGGGTAGGAGCCCTCATGACCTAATTACCTCTTAAAGGCACCACCTCTTACTATCATTACACTGGCCATTAAGTTTCAACACTTGAATTTTGGTGGGGACACATTTAAACCACAGCACTGGCTCTCACGCTCTGCTGTTGTCATCAGGTTTTTTTGTTTTTTGTTTTTTGTTTTTGAGACGGAGTCTCGCTCTGTCACCCAGGCTGGAGTGCAATGGTGCACTTTTTCGGCTCACTGCAACTTCTGCCTCCCTGGCTCAAACGATTCTCCTGCCTCAGCCTCCTGAGTAGCTGGGATTACAGGTGCACGCCATCACACCTAGCTAATTTTTGTATTTTTAGTAGAGACAAGTTTCACCATGTTGGCCAGGCTGGTCTTGGACTCCTGACCTCAGGTAATCCACCTGCTCTGGTCTCCCAAAGTGCAGCAATTACAGGCAGAGTCACCATGCCTGCTACTGCCATCTTGAAATTTTTAATAATTTTTTTAACAAGGAGCCTCATATTTTCTTTTTTCTTTTTTTTTTTTTTTTGAGACAGAGTCTCATTCTGTTGCCCAGGCTGGAGTGCAGTGGCATGATCTTGGCTTACTGCAACCTCCACCTCCTGGGGTCAACCGATTCTCCTGCCTCAATCTCCCCAGTACCTACAATTACAGGCACCTGCCACCAGGACTGGCTCATTTTTGTATTTTTGTAGAGATGGGGATTTCACCATTTTGGCCAGGCTGGTCTCGAACTCCTGACCTCAGGTGATCTGCCTGCTCTGGCCTCCCAGAGTGCTGGGATTACCGGTGTGAGCCACGGCGCCTGGCCTCGGAGCCTCATATTTTCTTTTATCTTTTTTTTTTTTTTGAGACGGAGTCTCACTCTGTCTCCCAGCTTGGAGTACAGTGGTGCAATATCGGCTCACTGCCAGCTCTGCCTCCCAGGTTCACGCCATTCTCCTGCCTCAGCCTCCTGAGTAGCTGGGACTACAGGCACCCACCACAACACCCAGCTAATTTTTTGTATTTTTAGTAGAGACAGGGTTTCACTGTGTTAGCCAGGATGGTCTGGATCTCCTGACCTCGTGATCTGCCCGTCTCGGCCTCCCAAGGTGCTGTGATTACAGGCGTGAGCCACTGCGCCCAGCCGAGCCTCACATTTTCAATGACTCTGCGCTAGGACCCAAAAATTATGTAGCCTAGGTCTTCCATCAGGATTTTATTTTGTTTCTACTGCAGTTACATCTTTAGAATTCCCTTTACAGGGGGTCTTTTGATGTAAAGTCTATTTTTGTCTGAAAATACCTTTATGGCACCCTCTTTGTTTTTTAAGATACTGTTGATGGATATAAAACTTAAGATTGACTAATATTTTCTGTAACCACTTTGAATATATTTTCCTATCTTCATTTTTGCAATTGAGAAGGCAGCCAACCATCTAATTACCTTTTTCCTGTAGGTGATCTGACTCTTTTCCTGTGACTTTTCACCATCCTTTTTTTTTCTTTATTTTTTTTTTAGGGTTGTGCATTTCACTATGATGTATCTAGATGTGGATTTTTTTGCTTGGGATTTACCTGGCTTTATTGGGCTTCCTAGATCTGAATATTGATATATTATCCATGAATATTTTGATACCTGGATTACAGCTGAATTCTCCCAAAGATAAGTTACTTCTGACTGAGAGAGCTGTCAGGCCTCTGAGCCCAAGCTAAGCCATCATATCCCCTGTGACCTGCACGAATACATCCAGATGGCCTAAAGCAACTGAAGATCCACACAAGAAGTGAAAATAGCCTTAACTGATGACGTTCCATCACTGATTTGTTCCTGCCCCACCCTAACTGATAGGATATATTCTCCCCTGCCCTTAAGAAGGTACTTTGTAATATTCTGTCCCTCTCCCCCCGCCCACCGCCCCCCAACCCCCCCGCCCTTAAGAACTAATAATAATCCCACCACCCTTTGCTGACTCTCTTTTCGGACTCAGCCCGCCTGCACCCAGGTGATTAAAAAGCTTTATTGCTCACACAAAGCCTGTTTGGTGGTCTCTTCACACGGACGCGCATGACAAGAGCTACCAAATAGCACCATTTAAAATTCCCTATTCGAAGGTTTTCTGAGTTTCACAGGTAGCATGAATTAAAACTGCAAAACTCATAAAAGCTAGCTTGTGTTATGAATCCGCAAGAAATAGCTTTCTCTTCTGTCAAGTTCCAAGTTCAAGATATGAAACTGCCTTCGCGAAATTATGACTGAGACAGTGAAAGAGATCTAACTTAACAGACTCCATCTTGCTTCTAACCTCCAAGTTGTCCTGGTACATTCCTGGACGTAGGGCGAACTAACTTTGAAAGAAACTTAGTTTGTAGTTTATAGTTGTTTTTTTTTTTTTTTGTAATGGAATTTCACTCTTGTTGCCCAGGCTGGAGAGCAATGGCGCGACCTCAGCTCACTGCAAACTCCGCCTCCCAGGCTCAAGCAATTCTCCTGCCTCAGCCTTGTAAGTATCTGGGATTACAGGCACCCACCCCGACACCTGGGTAATTTTGTTTTGTTTTGTTTTGTTTTGTTTTAAGGAGTTGAGAGTTTAATAGGCAAGAAGGAAGGGAGAAGACAGAAGGAAGAAGCTCCCCTGTACAGAGACAGGGACGGGGGCTCCAAAGCCGAGAGAGGGAACCCCCACCTGGTTTTTTGTTTTTTAGACGGAGTCTCGCACTGTCACCCAGGCTGGAGTGCAACGTGTGATCTCCGCTCACTGCAACCTCTGCTCCCGGGATCACGTGCTTCTCCTGCCTCAGCCTCCCAAGTAGCTGGGATTACAGGCGCACACCACCACACCCGGCTAATTTTTTGTATTTTTAGTAGAGACAGGGTTTCACTATGTTGGCCAGATTGGTCTTGAACTCCTGACTTCTTGATCCGCCCACGTCAGCCTCCCAAAGTGCTGAGATTATAGGCATGAGCCACTGCGCTAGGCCAATTTTTTGGTATTTTTAGTAGAGTCAGAGTTTCACCATGTTGGCCAGGCAGTCTTGAACTCCTGACCTCAGGTGATCCACCCACTTTGGCCTCCCAAAGTGCTGGGATTACAGGCGTGAGCAACCACACCTGGGCCTATAGTTTATAGTTTAAAACAAAGATGATAACAGCCCTTTCTCATAGCAGACCTCCTTCTTGCCTGGGGACCAGATTGCCTTTGTAGGACTAACATTAGCCACAAGATTAGAAATTATGGTTTAGGAGTCATGCAGCTGGAGGCTACAAAACTCTGACCCTCCCTCAACTACTCCTAAAATCAGTGCTTGAGATGTTTTGCAGACCCTGCACTTGATGGATCAGCTGGCACCACCCAGACTGATAAATGGGCTTTTCTGATCTTGTGGTCCCCACCCAGGAATGGACTCAGTGCAAGAAGACAGCTTTGACTCCCTATGATTTCATCCCTGCCCAGTCAGCACTCCGGGCTCACTGCCTTCCCCTACCCACAAAGTTGTCCTTAAAAACTCTGCTCCATGAGTGCTTGGGGAGACCGATTTGAGTAATAATAAAACTCCAGTCTCCCTCACAACCATCTCTGCATGAATTACTCTTTCTCTATTGCAATTCCCCTGTCTCGATGAATGGGCTCTGTCTAGGCAGCTGGCAAGGTGAACCCCATTGGGCAGTTACAGATAGGCAACTGTCTTTTCTGATGTCTTTTGCACAATGGAATTTATTTTTTCATTTTTCTTTATACTTCAGGTGTAGATCTGGGGAGCTTCAGCTTTATTCAGAATGTTACAGGAAAGGGGTCCCCATCCAGACCCCAAGAGTGGGTTCTTGGATCTCACACAATAAAGAATTCAGGGCAAGTCTGTAAAGTGAAAGCAAGTTAAGAAAGTAAAGGAGTAAAAGAATGATTACTCCACAGACAGAGCAGCTTTGAGGGCTGCTGGTTGCCCTTTTTTATGGCTATTTCTTTCTTTCTTTTTTTTTTTTTTTTTTTGAGACAGAGTCTCACTCTGTCACCAGGGCTGGAGTGCAGTGTCCTGATCTTGGCTCACTGCAACCTCTGCCTCCCTAGTTCAAGCGATTCTCCTGCCTCAGCTTCCCGAATAGCTGAGACTAGAGGCGCCTGCCACCATGCCCAGCTAATTTTTGTATTTTTAGTAGAGACGGGGTTTCACCATGTTGGCCAGGATGGTCTCGATCTCTTGACCTCGTGATCCGCCCACCTCGGCCTCCCAAAGTGTTGGGATTACAGGTGTGAGCCACCAAGCCCGGCCGGCTATTTCTTGATTATATGCTAAACAAGGGGTGGATTATTCATGCCTCCCCTTTTTAGACCATATAGGGTAACTTCCTGCCATGACGTTGCCATGGCATTTGTAAACTGTCATGGCGCTGGTGGGAGTGTAGCACTGAGGACCACCAGAGGTCACTCTTATGGCCATCTTGGTTTTGGTGGGTTTTAGCTGGCTTCTTTACTGCAAGCTGTTTTATCAGC
Source organism: Homo sapiens (assembly GCF_000001405.40). Taxonomy (NCBI): domain Eukaryota; kingdom Metazoa; phylum Chordata; class Mammalia; order Primates; family Hominidae; genus Homo; species Homo sapiens. The sequence goes on from NC_000011.10 coordinate 107,881,784, forward strand.
AAGGTCTTTATGACCTGTATCTGGTGCCAACCCCCAATCTCATCCTGCTTAGAATGACTTAACCGTCTAGGAATGCAGCCAGTAGGTTTCAGCCTCATTTTACCTAGCTCCTATTCAAGATGGAGTTGCTCTGGTCCAAAAGCCTCTGACAAGAAGGCTGATTTCTAGATTTCTCACCTAAGCATGTCCCAGACTTTAACTTCTACAATTAAAGAAGTAGCTCCAAGAGGTCTTCAAAGCAGAAGACTCACATTCTTCAAGATTTAGCAGAAAACTCCAGGGCAAATACTGTCTTTATCATATTACCTCTCAAGGTCTCTGAGTTTTCTTTTGTTTGGAGGCCTCTGCAGAGTTATTGTTACAGTAAGTAATTAGTCAGGTATGAGCAGGGCAGGAGAGGGCCTCTTGCTCTACCAGAAATGTTAGGCAACCATCAGGTGATGGTCAGGCAGTTGTTAACTTTCTCTCTTGGTTGCAGCCAACACCAGGGAAAGGCAGTCTCCCAATATGTAGAAAAACCTGAAGCTGGTGATCAGCAGCTTCCTGATAAGATCTTAGGAGTTGGGCAAGTAGGCTCACACATGCGCACTAAGAGGCAAAATGGTGGAGTTTAACTGGTATATGACCTTATAGGAACACTTGACTGGTAAGGGAAGAATGCCTCAAATGAGCATGCATACAACTCCAGTAAACACACTGCACATGCTCACCTCCCAAGCGCTAGCAGGCCACTGCACATGTGGACAGCCCACTCCAATGGAAGAATCAGGAGAGATGTAATGCAAGACCCTGGAAGCATGCCAACATATAAAACCCCAAGTCAAAAGATCAGATTGTGCACTTGACTCTCTCAAGTCCCTCACTTGGCCCTCTTCCAAGTGTACTTTACTTCCTTTCATTGCTGCCCTAAAACTTTTTAATAAACTTTAATTCCTGCTCTAAAATTTGCCTGGATCTCTCACTCTGCTTTATGCCCATGAGGTGAATTCTTTCTTCTTAAGAGGCAAGAATTGAGGTTGCTGCAGACCTTACGTATTCGCTGTCGGTAACATGCTTTGGTGCTCTGTGACTTGGATATGTTCCGCTGCTAACATTATTACTTTCATATCAGCTCAGTAATGCATTTTAAATTATTTTATGTGCCTTATATTTTATTTAGTTTGAAGGGTCATTCAGGTGTCTAATTGACATTACTGCCTGAAATGGAATTTTGCATTTACTTAATCTATAATATAAAAGTGTTGAGCCATTAAAACAATTTTTTAAATCCAGCAACAGATTTATTTATTTAAAAATATTAGGTCAGGCACAGTGGCTCACGCCTGTAATCCCAGCTCTTTGGGAGTCTGAAGCGGGCAGATCACAAGGTCAGAGTTCAAGACCAGCCTGCCCAACATGGCGAAACCCCGTCTCTATTAAAAATACAAAAATTAGCCAGGTGTGGTGATGGGCACCTGTAATCCCAACTACTCAGGAGGCTGAAGCAGGAGAATTGCTTGAACCCAGGAGGTGGAGGTTGCAGTGAGCTGAGATTGCGCCACTGCACTCCAGCCTGGGTGACAGAGCAAAACTCCATCTCGGGAGGAAAAAGAAAAATTACAATACATATATCTGCCAGAAGACTCACATCTTTTTTTTTTTTTTTTTTCTGAGACAGAGTCTCAGTCTGTTGCCCAGGCTGGAGTGCAGTGGCATGATCTTGGTTTGCTGCAACCTCTGCCTCCCAGATTCCATCGATTCTTCTGCCTCAGCCTCCCAAGTAGCTGGGATTACAGGTATGCACCACCATGCCCGGCTAATTTTTTTTATTAGTATAGTAGAGACAGCGTTTCACCATGTTGGCCAAGCTGATCTCGAACTCCTGACCTCAAGTGATCTGCCTGCCTCGGCCTCCCAAAGCGCTGAGATTATAGGTGTGAGCCACTGTCCCCAGTCAAAAGACTCATATCTGTATACATAAAGAACTCATATAAATCCAAAAGAAAAAGCCCAAAAAAAAGTAGACAAAAAATTTTGTTCATTTTTCTTTATGTTAATTTTTTTCTTTGTAACATTTAATTAATTTATTAATACTATTTTTGGTAGAGACAGGGTCTCTCCAATGTTGCCCAGGCTGGTATCAAACTCCTGGGTCAAGCGATCTTCTAGCTTCAGCCTCCCAAAGTGCTGGCATTATAGGCATGAGCCACCACAACTGGCCAGCAAAATTTTTTTTTTTTTTTAGACGGAGTTTTGCTCTTGTTGCCCAGGCTGGAGTGCAATGGCTTGATCTCAGCTCACTGCAAGCTCCGCCTCCCGGGTTCACGCCATTCTCCTGCCTCAGCCTCCCAAGAAGCTGGGATTACAGGCATGCGCCACCATGCCTGGCTAATTTTGTATTTTTAGTAGAGACAGGGTTTCTCCATGTTGGTCAGGCTGGTCTCGAACTCCTGACCTCAGGTTATCTGCCCACCTCGGCCTCCCAAAGTGCTAGATTACTGGCATGAGCCACCGCACCCAGCCAGCAAAATATTTTTATACGCCGGGCGCAGTGGCTCACGCCTGTAATCCCAGCACTTTGGGAGGCCAAGACGGGCAGATCACGAGGTCAGGAGATCAAGACCATCCTGGCTAACACGGCGAAACCCCGTCTCTACTAAAAATACAAAAAATTAGCTGGGCGTGGTGGCAGGCGCCTATAGTCCCAGCTACTGGGGAGGCTAAGGCAGGAGAATGGCGTGAACCCGGGAGGCGGAGCTTGCAGTGAGCCGAGATCGCACCACTGCACTCCAGCCTGGGGGACAGAGGGAGACTCTGCCTCAAAAAAAAAAAAAAAAAGGAAAAGGAAAAAAAAATATGTATTTTTATAGACCCTTCACAAAATAAGACATCTGTGATATTGTGATATAATGAGAGATACATATTTGGTCTTCATCCCAGTTCCTGGCACAGAACTCCTAAAACCCTTGGAATCTCTGAAGTAAGAGGAGCGTCTTTTGTTATTCATAGCAAGCTCCTTTCAACTAAACCTAAAATAACGCTAATAAGGTGATTCTTGGTGGTTCCCTAGATAGCTATAGGATGGAGGATGGTAGCCAGAGGAATCAACCATGTGTTAGAGAGTTGGAACTTTGGCCCCCACCTCACCTCTGGGAAGGAGGGAAGAGGTGGAGATTGAGTTCAATCACCAATGGCCAATGATGTAATCAATTATGCTACCATAATGAAATTTCCATAAAAACCGGAAACAATGGGGTTTGGAGAGTTTCTGGGTTGATGAACACATTGAGGTGCTGGGAAGATGGGGCACCCGGAGAGGGCATGAAAGCTCTATGCCTCTTCCCCATATCTTGCCCTATGCATTTCTTTTATTTGGCTGCTCCTGAGTTGTGTTCTTTACACTAGATCAGTAAACGTAAGGAAACAGTTTTCCTGAGTTCTGTGGGCTGTTCTAGCAAATTATAGAACCTGAGGAGGGGATCATGGGAACTCCCGATTTATAGCTCGTCATTCAAAAGAAGGGAGGCCCTCAGCTTGCAATTGACATCTGAAGTGATGGCAGCCTTGTGGGACTGAACCCTTAATTTGTTGCATCTGATGCCAACTCAAAGTACATAACATCAGATAGAACCGCACGAAGTCCAGCTGGTATCTGAAGAGCTGGAGAACTGGTTGATGTCAGGGAAAAAAAAAACCCCACACATTTGGTGCCAGGAGTGTTCTATGGGTAGAAACAGATCACAGTAGTTGGTATCAGAAGTATTATGGATAAAACACAGTTCCAAATTAATAATATCCAAATGATCAATAAACATAAGATATTCACTATCATTAGTCATCAAAGAAATGCAATGACATTCCACTACATGCCCAAAGGAACTGCTAACTTTTTAAATGATAATACCAAAATTGATAAGGATGTGTAACTACTGGAATTCTAATATACTGCTGGCAGGAATAGAAAGAAGTATAACCAGTTTAGAAAACTTTTTGGCAGTATAGCTGCTAGAGCTGAACATATGCATATGCCATGACCCTGCAAACCCACTCCTAGGTGTATGCGCAAGAGAAAATGAATACATATTCGCGAACAGAAGAATGTTCATAACCTTTTTTTTTTTTTTTTTTTTTTTGAGACAGTCTCTCACTCTGTCACCCAGGCTGGAGTGCAGCGGCACAATCTTGGCTCACTGCAACCTCCACCTCCCAGGTTCAAGTGATCCTCCACCTCAGCCTCCCAAGTAGCTGGGACCACAGGCGTGTGCCACTACGCCCAGCTAATTTTTGTATTTTTTGTAGGCACAGGGTTTTGCCAGGCTGCCTAGGCCAGTCTCAAACTCCTGGGCTTAAGCAATCCACCTGCCTCAGCCTCCCAAAGTGCTGGGTTACAGGTGTGAGCCACTGCACCCGGCTCCATTTTTATTAGTTATAGCCTCAAACTGGAAAACACCCAAGTACCCATCAACAGAATAAACTGTTGTATATTCCTACAATACTATAGTACATGAAAAGAACAAAGTACTGCTATGGGAAACAAATTGAGATGAATCTCACACGCATAATATTGAGTGACAAAAGCCATTACATACTGCATGCTTCCATTTATGTGAATTTCAAGAAAACCAAGAAGGTAAAACTAATCCATTATGATAAGAGTCAGAATAGTGGTTACCTTTGGTGTTATGAATTGAATTGTGTCCCCACAAAAAATATGTCAAAGTCCTAATCCAGGTACCTGTGAATGTGACCTTATTTGGAAATAGGGTCTATGAGAATGTAATCAAGTAGGATAAGATCAGAGTGGATTCAGGTGAGACCTAATTCAATGATTGATGTGCTTATAAGAAGAGGACAATTTGGACCAGGCACGGTGGCTCACACCTGTAATCCCAGCATTTTGGGAGGCCAAGGTGGGCAGATCACCTGAGGTCGGGAGTTCAAGACCAGCCTGACCAACATGGAGAAACCCCATCTCTACTAAAAATACAAAAAATTAGCTGGGCATGGTGGCGCATGCCTGTAATCCCAGCTACTCAGGAGGCTGAGGCAGGAGAATCACTTGAACCTGGGAGGTGGAGGTTGTGGTGAACTGAGATCATGCCATTGTACTCCAGCCTGGGCAACAAGAGTGAAATTCCATCTCAAAAAAAAAAAAAAAAAAAAAGGAAGAGGGTAATTTGGACATAGAGACATAGAAGGAGAATGCCATGTGACGATGGAGGCAGAGACTGGATAGAGGTCACTGCAAGCTAAGGAACACCAGGGATTGTTGGCAACCACCTGAGTCTAGGAGAAGGGGCATGGAACAGATTCTCCCACAGAGCATCCAGAAGGAATCAACCTCACCCATACCTTGATTTTTACCTTCTAGCCTCCAGATCTGTGAAATAATAAATTTCTGTTGGTTTAAGCCACCCAGTCTGTGATAATCTGGGAAACTAATACACTGTGGAGAAATATCAACTGGGAGAGAGTAGGAAGGAGACTTCTGGGACATAAACATAATTTATATCTTCATGTAAGGAGTGGTTACATGGTATATACATATGTAAAAATTCACCGACCCACACTTTTATGTGCACTTTAAGGTATACCCAATTTTTAAAATGTACAAGAAAAGAAAAACAAATGGGAAAAAAAATAGTACATAAAATAAAGCTTAGTTAGGTTTAGAGTGACATAAAAGATAATCTCATGGTTGGCTGTGATGGCTCATGACTGAAATCCCGGCAACTTTGAGAAGCCAAGGCAGGAAAACGCTTGAGCCCAGGAGTTTGAGGCCAGCCTGGGTGACAGAGCAAGACTTCGACTCTTAAAAAATAAAAATAAAAATAAAAGATAACCCCTTTGAGCACACTCATCTTAATATTTTAGAGCTTTTGCTTATGCAGAGTACATTATACTATTCTATCTACTTTTGTAAATGTTTGTTTGAAAATGTCCATACTAAAAAGTTTTTTTTTAAAAAAACACATAGCCACTAGGAGTTTGGGAAATCTAAAATTTTTGCTTTCCTGTGTGCAAATGAGGAAGGCACACTAGAAGGAAACTGAACACGGATCAAGCGCTAAGCCATTGTGTTACCGCGTAAATGAAACACAAAAAGGGTGATGTAAACTGGAAAGCCCCTTTCCCACAGTAGCTTCCATCTCTCCAGTAACCTAAGTATTTATTTATTTATTTATTTATTTATTTATTTTTTATGATTATCTTTTTGAGATGGAGTCTCGCTCTGTCAGCCTGGCTGGAGTGCAATGGCGTGATCTTGGCTCACTGCAACCTCCACCTCCCGGGTTCATGTGATTCTCCCGCCTCAGCCTCCCAAGTATCTGGGATTACAGGCATGCACCACCACAGCCAGGTAATTTTGTAGTGTTTTATTTATTTATTTATTTATTTTTTTGAGATGGAGTTCCGCTCTTGTTGCCCAGGCTAGAGTGCAGTGGCTTGATCTCAGCTCACTGCAACCTCTGCCTCCGGAGTTCAAGAAATTCTCCTGTCTCAGCCTCCCAAGTAGCTGGGATTACAGGTGCCCACCACCATGCCTGGCTAATTTTTTGTATTTTTAGTAGAGATGGGGTTTCATTATGTTGGCCAGGCTGGTCTCAAACTCCTGACTTCAGGTGATCCACCCACCTCGGCCTCCCAAAGTGCAGGGATTACAGGCATAAGCAATCCGGCCAATTTTGTAGTGGTTTTTGTTGTCGTTGTTGTTGTTGTTGCTGTTTTGAGACAGAGTATCGCTCTGTCCCCAAGCCGGAGAGCAGTGGCACGACCTCGGCTGACTGCAACCTCCGCCTCCCGGATTCAAGCGATTCTCCTGCCCCAGCCTCCTGAGTAGCTGGGAGTACAGGCGTGTGCCACCACGCCCAGCTATTTTTTGTATTTTTAGTAGAGATGGGGTTTCACCATGTTGGCCAGGATTGTCTCCATCTCTTGACCTCGTGATCCACCCGCCTCGGCCTCCTAAAGTGCTGGGATTACAGGCATAAGCCACTGCTCCCAGCCCAATTTTGTAGTTCTAATAAAGACAGGGTTTTGCCATGTTGGCCAGGCTGGTCTCGAACTCCTCATCTCAGGTGATACACCCGTCGTGGCCTCCCAAAGTGCTAGGATTACAGGCATGAGCCACTGCACCCGGCCTAAACAGAGTATTTATAGTTGTAAAATATAGTGTTTTCCTCATGTGGATAGTGCTGAAGGTTATAACTTTCTGAGTTATTTACCAGCCCTAGGATTACAGCATAGTCCCAGTGTTTGTTAGCAAAACCCATCTTAGAGTGGATATTTCCTGAGGCTGCTATCCACTATAAGAGTTAGTTACGGAATACGTTGATTCTTTTTGGTATTGCTCTCAAAGCCAACAAATTCTGGGAATGCCTTACTGTAGCCCTCTTTATATTAATCTCCTTCTCATTGAGGAATAACTAAGTAGCCTCTGTTAAGAATGTCAAAGGGAAAAAATTGAGAGAAAATGCCTAAGGAAACTATTCCCATTATCTAGAGTCATTCCGTGTAAAATCTACATTGTAGATTACTGCATTCTTGTTAAAAAACTGAAGTTCTGTCTGGGCACAGTGGCTCACGCCTGTAATCCCAGCACTTTGGGAGGCTGAGGTGGGTGGCCCACCTGAGGTCAGGAGGTTAAGACCAGCCTGGCCAACATGGTGAAACCCCGTTTCTACAAAAATACAAAAATTAGGCAGGCATTATGGTGGGTGCCTGTAATCCCAGCTACTTGGGAGGCTGAGGCGGGAGAATCGCTTGAACCTGGATGGCGGAGGTTGCAGTGAGCTGGGATCATGCCATTGCACTCCAGCCTGGGTGACAAGAGCAAAACTCCGTCTAAAAAAACAAAACAAAACAAAAAACCTGTTTTGTTTTGTTTTGTTTGAGAATGAGTCTCACCCTGTCACCCATTCTGTGGAGTAGTGGCAAGATCTCAGCTCACTGCAACCTCTGCCTCTCAGGTTCAACCAATTCTCCTGCCTCAGCCTCCCAAGTAGCTAGGATTACAGGCACCTGCCACCATGCCCGGCTAATTTTTGTATTTTTAGTAGAGATGGGGTTTCAGCATGTTAGCCAGGCTGGTCTCGAACTCCTGACCTCAAGTGATCCACCCCTCCCCGGCCTCCCAAAATGCTTGGATTATAGGTGTAAGCCGCTGTGCCCAGTCCCTAAAAATTGAAGTGCTTTTGAAAATTTTCCAGGCAGAAGTAAAAAGAGAAGGGGTTTGGACATTTAGGATGTAATGGAACACCCTTTAAAAGTGCTGCTAGCAAAAAGTAAGTAAGTAAGCACTTGAGAAATTTGGGCATATAGTATTGAGTGCATATGAAGATGATATTTTAAGCTCACGAATGAACTAAAAGTCTTATTGAACTGCTGGCAGTTTTGAAAAGTATTGAAAAACTATAGTGGCACAAAGAATTGAAAAGGCAAATACAGCGCCATCCTGTATCAATTGCATATGCCTTGTTCCTTAATGTTTCTTACAATTATCCTTACAGGCTCTGCCACTTGTCAGCAAAAATTAAATGGCAGAGTTATAGTGATATCATTACTGAGATGCTGCCTACTTTTACAAAACACTCCTTAAGACATTTACTAATGCACTACAGTGTATTGCTATAAATAATTAAAATCAAATAAATTCAGAATAGCTAAATAATTTAAACATTTGTCAAAATAAATCAGCTAAGAATATTCTGAGGTTTAATGTATTTGATTTTCATGCTTTGATTTACTTGTTTTGTGTTAAATTAGATAAGATAAAAAAGTTAAACTTTTAATTCATCTATGCCAAATAACATCGGCTTTACTGTGCGGCAAGACACATTAGTTAGAAAACAAATACACAAACACAAAGGACTTATAAATTGATCATGAAATTTGGGTGGGTTCCCCGTGAGTCATGAGTACTTGAAGTTCAAATGGCAGTCCTGTGTACAGACAAATTTTCACACACCATATGTCCCAATTTTTAATTTAATGTATATGACTCTTGGGCTCAAGACACTATTGTATGTATTAATGGATATATAGGTATATGTGTTCTTGGTATCAAGAAATTAGCAATATCAGCCAGGCGCGGTGGCCCACACTGTATGGATCACCTGAGGTCAGGAGTTTGAGACCAGCCTGGCCAACATAGTTATACCCCATCTCTACTAAAAATACAAAATTAGCCGGGCGTGGTGGTGCATGCCTGTAATCCCACCTACTTGGGAGGCTGAGGCAGGAGAATCACTTGAACCTGGGAGGCAGAGGTTGCAGTGAGCCGAGATAATGCCACTGCACTCCAGCCTGGGCAACAGAGCGAGACTCTGTCTCAAAAAAAGAAAAGAAAAGAAATTGGCAATGTATTAAGAGAAATAAGGCATATGCATTAAAAGTTAATTGACAAAGTAAGGCACTAAATGTTAGTATGATAAATTATATAGGAATTCAAAACTAGATGAGATGGCTCTGAATTAACTCAAAGAAACCTTACTGGGAAGAAGAAGGAGAAGGAGAAGGAGAAGGAGAAGAGAAGGAGAAGGAGAAGGAGAAGCCTCTTTCCCTGAGCTTTAAATTATGATTAGGTCCTGGATAGGCTATGAATAAGGGAGAATTTGGAAGCCAGGTAAAAAGTGGAGTATAACATGAAAGAATAGGCAAAACGGCCTGGCTGAAAGAGGGGATTTCATGATAGGAAACAGGAAAAGAGAAGGAAAGAAAGGCAAATTGAAACTTCACTGTTAATAGTCTTGAGTTTTATAAGTCAAGAAGTTTCCATTTCCTTCTATGAAACAGTGGACAGTCATTAAGAGGCTTTTTGAGTAGTAGAGTTCTAAGAAGGTTGCTCATGTAGAATAAGTTAGCAAGGATTCTGAATGTACAGCGGGCCATTAGAAGGTAATTATTACAGCACCACAAGTGGTAACAGGGTCCACTTTAGTAGTGATGATAGCAGTACCAAAGACGGGACCAAAACAAAGGAAATAGCTATAGAGTTTGGTGATTGCTTGCCAAGGAAATGAAAGAGATGAAAGGTAACCTGAAGATGTTATTTTGTTTTGTTGTATTGTGATAAGAACACTTGATAGAAGATCTACCCTGTTCATTTTTTTTTTCCCTTGGAAACAGAGTTTCACTCTTGTTGCCCAGGCTGGAGTGCAATGGCGCGATCTTGGCTCACTGCAACCTCCGCCTCCCAGATTCAAGCCAGTCTCCTGCCTCAGCCTCTGGAGTGGCTGGGATTACAGGTGTGTGCCACCACGTCTGGCTGATTTTTGTATTATTAGTAGACACAGGGTTTCACCATGTTGGCAGGCTGGTCTCTAACTCCTGACCTCAGGTGATCCACTCTCCTCAGCCTTCCAAAGTGCTGGGATCACAGGCATGAACCAATGTGCCCAGCCCCTGTTAATATTTTTTTAAGTGTATAAGACATTATTGTTGATTATAGGCACAATGTTGTGCAGCAGAACTCTAGAATTTATTCATCTTGCTTATCTGAAACGTTATGCCCATTAATTAGTAAATCCCCATTTTCTCTTCCCACACCCCCCACCCCCACCCCTGGCAACCACCATTCCACTCTTTGGTTCTATGAAATGGACTATTTTAGATACCTCATGTAAGTAGAATTATGAAGTATTTGTCTTTCTGTGACTAGCTTATTTCACTTAGCATAACATCTTCAAGTTTCATCCATGTTATTGCATATTGCTGAATTTCCTTCTTTTTTAAAAAAAATTAAGGACTTGAATAGACATTTCTCCTAAAAAGACATACAAATGGCCAGTATCTGAACTATGCACATCAAAACCACAGTGATATACCACCTCACAACTGTCAGGAAGGCTATTATCAAATAAAAGATGGCAAGTACTGGCAAGATGTAGAGAAATTGGAACGTTTGGACACTGTTGGTAGAAATGCAAAATGGTGCAGCCATTGTAAAAAGCAGTATGAAGGTTTCTCAAAAAATTAAAAATAAAACTAACATATGATCAAGCAATCCCTCTTCTGGGATATAAAAGAATTGAATTCTGGGCCAGGTGCGGTGGCTCACACCTGTAATCCCAGTACTTTGAGACGCCAAGACGGGTGGATCACCAGGTCAGGAGATCGAGACCATCCTAGCTAACATGGAGAAACCCCATCTCTACTAAAAAGTACAAAAACTTAGCCGGGTGTGGTGGCAGGTGCCTGTAGTCCCAGCTACTTCAGAGGCTGAGGCAGGAGAATGGCATGAACCCAGGAGGCGGAGCTTGCAGTGAGCCGAGATCGTGCCACTGCACTCCAGCCTGGGCGACAGAGCAAGACTCTATCTTAAGAAAAAAAAAAAAAAGAATTCAATTCTGGATCTCAAAAGATACTAGCAGTCCTATATTCATTGCAGCACTGTTCACAATAGCCAAGATGCGGAAACAGCCTGAATGTCAATCAAAAGATGAATGAATAAAGAAAATGTGTTATATAAAACCTGAAAATTTTGAGAGTGACTGAGAGACTGATGGTACCATTGACAGAGAAAGATAAATCAGGAGTCAGTTTGTAAAGAAGAAAGCGAGTTTGATTTTCAAGCATGTTGTAGTTCAAGGAGCAGCTGAGCTTTCAGGGAGTCAAGTCTGGGCCTGTTACATGGAAAAGACAATAGCAGAGAGAAAGATTTGAGGTTTTTTTTTGGCCTAGAAGCGGTGGCTGAAAAGATTAAACTGAACTAAATTCCCTAAGGATGAGAATGTAAATAGAGAAGAACAGAACCAAACCTAGAAAATACCCTATTTACAGGATGCAAGAGGAAGAGAGGCTATTGTGGAGGCCAAAACACTTAATGGATCTCAGTGCAGGAAATGGAAATATGAAACATGAGTGATGATAATGATTATTATTTTAGAAGTTTGTCCCTCAATATTATTCAAGTAAATATAAGATGTTGAAGTTTTACTTAAGAATAATGAAAAGGGGCTGGGTGCTGTGGCTCACACCTGTAATCCCAGCACTTTGGGATTCTGAAGTGGGTGGATCGCCGAGGTCTGGAGTTTGAGATCAGTCTGACCAACATGGTGAAACCCCATCTCTACTAAAAATAAAGAATTAGCTGGGCCTGGTGGTGCATGCCTGTAATCTCAGCTACTCGAGAGGCTGGGGCAGGAGAATCGCTTGAACCTGGGAGGCAGAGGTTGCAGTGAGCTGAAATCACGCCATTGCACTCCAGCCTGGGAAACAAGAGCGGAAACTCTGTCTCAAAAAAAAAAAAAAGACAAGGAAAGAAAAGAAAAGAAAAAAAGAATAATGAAAAGGTAAGAGGGATACCAAAACTGTTTTTCAGAAATTCTGAAACTAGAAATTATAACAGGCTGGGCATAGTGGCTCACACCCGCAATCCTAGCACTCTGGGAGGCTAAGGCCAGAGGATCACTTGAGCTCAGGAGTTCAAGACCAGCCTGGGCAACATAGTGAGACCCCCCCCCCCCGCATCTCTAAAATAAATAAATAAATAAAAGTAAAAAAAAAGAAATTATAACATATTAAGAGACAGAGATGGCAAGGCACTGTGACTCACACCTGTAATCAGCACTTTTGGAGGCCAAGGCAGGAGGATCGCTTGAACCCAGGAGTTCAAGACCAGCCTACAATTTTACACACATGCACACACACAAATTAGCCAAGCGCAGTGTTGTGCACCTGTACTCCCAGCTGGTTGGGAGGCTGAGGTGGGAAGATCACTTAGGGCCCGGGAGGTCAAGCTTGCACCAATGCACTCCAGCTTGGGTGACAGAGCAAGACCCTGTCTGAAAAAAAAAAGAGAGACAGATAAATGTTGTGGTGTTTCAAATTAAGTGTGTATCGCTCATTTAAGTAAGATGAAGGCTAATAAAGTATATGAATACAAATATTTGAGTTAATAAAGACTACAAAATTTCTAGGAAGGAGAAGATGAAATTGTCCATAATAATCACACACACACACACAGACACACACACACACACCCACACACACAGGGAAACTAAATCACCTGTGCTAGCTAGCTACCCGAGTCACTTAACTAGTTGCATTCTTAAAAATAAATTGACAAGTTGATTGAACTAACATATTTGATTGACTGTTTAGAATCGTGATCAAGATGATCATGCAGCCAAAGCCAAACATATTCAAACATATGGTTAAATCCTGATTACTCACTAATATATTGTAGACAATCCTGTAAACAACTCAATTGTTAGGTCCCTGAATTCTAACTGGATTGATCCCATTTCTACATTATGTAAAGCAATAAAGTAATGTTTAGAAATAATTGCCTTGTATAAGCATGAGACTATTGTTGGTAAATTTTTATGGAACCACAGAATTGTAAGAAGACTCTAAAGAGGTTAATATTGGCTGGGCACAATGGCTCATGCATGTAATCTCAGCACTTTGGGAGGCCAAGGCGGGCAGATCACCTGAGGTCAGGAGTTCGAGACCAGCCTGGCCAACATGGTGAAACCTCATCTGTACTAAAAAAAAAAAAAAAAAAAAAAAAACTAGCCAGACTTGGTGGCACATGCCTGTAATCCCAGCTGAGACAGGAGAATTGCTTGAACTGGAAAGCAGAGGTTGCAGTGAGCCAAGATCATGCCACTGCACTCCAGCCTGGATGATGGGAGTGAGACTCTGTCTCAAAAAAAAGAAAAAGGAAAAGAAAAAAAAGAGGTTAATATTCAAACCAAAAGGCTGTATGGTAAAATAGCATGAATTTAGGAGTCAAGCAAACTTAGACTCAGATAGAACATTGAGAGGGTTACATAAGTGCACATATGTATTACATATGCACATCATAATAAGCGCTTAATGTTGTTAAATAATTAGTTAACAAAGTTCTGACCTCAGATGTGCATGGACAGCAGAGGAAGCCATACATACAAATCGCCAATTAAAATAAAGTTAAATAATGCAATAATAAAAATACTTATTATTATTACTATATTAAGTGCTTACCATGTATCAAATATTATCTCCATTTATAGAACAGGAAACTGGGGCTTAAAGAGGTCATATAACGGTGGACGGTGAGCAGGAAAAAAAAAAATTTAAGAAAAAAATTTATGGCTGGGCTTGGCGGCTCACGCCTGTGATCCCAGCACTTTGGGAGGCCGAGGTGGGTGGATCACTAAGTCAGGAGTTCAAGACCAGCCTGGCCAAGATGGTGAAACCAGGTCTCTACTAAAAATACAAAAATTGCCGAGCGCGGTGACTCAAGCCTGTAATCCCAGCACTTTGGGAGGCCAAGGTGAGTGGATCATGAGGTCAGGAGATGGAGACCATCCTGGCTAACACGGTGAAACCCCGTCTCTACTAAAAATACAAAAATTAGCCGGGCGTGGTGGTGGGCGCCTATAGTCCCAGTTACTCTGGAGGCTGAGGCAGGAGAATGGCAGGTGAACCCAGGAGGCGGAGGAGCTTGCAGTGAGCCGAGATCATGCCACTGGCCTCCAGCCTGGGCAACAGAGCCAGCCTCTGTCTCAAAAAAAAAAAAAAACAAAAAAACAAAAATTAGCTAGACATGGTGGCAGGTGCCTGTAATCCCAGCTACTCGGGAGGCTGAGGCAGAGAATTGCTTGAACCCGGGAGGCGGAGGTTGCAGTGAGCCAAGATTGCACCACTGCATTCCAGCCTGAGCAACAGAGTGAGACTGTCTCAAAAAAAAAAGGAAAAAAAAAGAAAAAAATTTACCTAGTTAATAAGTGATAGATTGAAACCCACATTTGCTAACTCCAGAGTCTGGGCTCTTAAATGCAGACATGTATGGTCTCCAGATAGAGTTGAATAGAAGGTGCTTTGGAAGTAGAAAAGAAGAATCTCTTGGCCAGGTGCAGTGGCTCACGCCTGTAATCCCAGACTTTGGAAGCCTGAGGTGGATGGATCATTTGAGGCCAGGATTTCAAGACCAGCCTGGCCAATATGGTGAAATCCCATCTCTACTAAAAATACAAAAATTAGCCAAGCGTGATGGCACATACCTGTAATCCCAGCTACTGGACAGGCTGAGGCATGAGAATTGCTTGAACCCAGAAGGCAGAGTTTGCAATGAGCTGAGATCGTGACACCTCACTCCAGCCTGGGCGACAGAGTGAGACTCTGTCTCAAAAAAAGAAGAAAGAGAAGGAGATGGAGAAGAAGCTCTTGAGGCTGAGTGGCAAGAGACAGTATAGAGTGAGTGAAAGGGGATCAAGAATGACTTTATTGACAAGATGGCAAAAGCAGCTCCTTAAAAAGTAGGAATTTGGGGCTGGGCGCGGTGGCTCACACCTGTAATCCCAGCACTTTGGGAGGCCAAGGCAAGTGGATCACCTGAGGTCAGGAGTTCAAGACCAGCCTGACCAATGTGGTGAAACCCCGTCTCTACTAAAAATACAACAATTAGCCGGGTGTGGTGGCAGGTGCCTGTAATCCCAGCTACTCAGGAGGCTGAGACAGAAGAATTGCTTGAATGCAGAAGGTGGAGCTTGCAGTGAGCCAAGATCGTGCCACTGTACTCCAGCCTGGGCAACAGAGTGAGACTCTGTCTCAAAATAAAATAAAATAAAATAAAATAGAATAAAAGAAAATAAAGGTAGGAATTTGGTAGACAGCCAAGGAGATAGAAAGGACATTACAGGCAAAAAGGAGAGGAACTTCAAACACATGGGATATGGCTGGCTCACAGAGGGCACATGGAGATGCAGTGAAAGAAGAGGTCATAGAGGTCGCAGGCACATGCCATAAAGCACTTGATGCCTCCTGAGGAGCTGCAGCACCTGGAAGCATGGGAATGCCACCATCATTCTGTCACTAATGTGTGTTATACAAAGGAGGGGGCAGAAACACTAGTTAGGAGGCAATTGTAATAGTCCAGGCAAAAGATGATGAGAGCCTGAGTTAAGAATGAAGTGAAGGGGACACGGTTGAACATATGTAGGAAATAGAATCAACACGGTTTAGTGCTGACTGGATGCCATGGGTAGAGAGGATGGAGGCATCTAGGCTAAGTCCCTGGCTTCTGACTAAGGCAACTGCATGAAGGATGAATTATTCCTTTTAAAGACTGTAGGGACCAGGTGCAGTGGCTCACACCTGTAATCCCAGCACTTTGGGAGGCCGAGGTGGACGGATTACTTGAGGTCAGGAGTTAGAAACAAGCCTGGCCAACATGGTGAAACCCCATCTCTACTAAAAATACAAAAATTAGCTGGGTGTGGTGGCGTGCACCTGTAATCCCAACTACTTGGGAGGCTGAGGTAAGAGAATGGCTTGAACCCAGGAGACAGAGGTTGCAGCGAGCCAAGTTCGCGCCACTGCACTCCAGTCTGGGTGACAAGCGAGACTGCATCTCAAAAAAAAAAAAAAAAAAAAAAAAAAAGACTGTAGGGAGAGGAGCAGATCTAAAATGGAAAATAACAAATTATACATTGAACTTTTTGTGTTTGGGTACCTCTAAGACATCTGGATGGAGATATCTAGCAAATGTCTGCCACTCAGAAGTGATTTATTAATATTTACTAATATAAAATTAATTTAACCCGTCCAAATGTACAATATTATTTTACTAATTCACAAAACATTGTTTTATATAGGCAAAAACAGAGGTATAGATTTAACAGCTTGCACCAGTGGACATAATCATGCAACTAATCCACAACAGATCCTGGTGGTGAATGCTAGGCTGACTCCAAATCTCAGACTCCATTAGACTGTACTGCCTCCATGTGTATACTTCTGCAATAGCAGAAGGAAAATTAAGTCACCTACTTCACTGTTTTAGGCAACTCTGTAGGAATTCAAACATTTGGAGGCCAAAAGCAACCCAATGGAACAGATTCTTAGGTTTATGAAACTGAGAAACTTTTTGGGAGCTCTACCATAGTCTGGTATTTCCCAGAACAAAACCTCAACTAACAATAATAATCTCTGTAGGACAGAAAAAATAGTTTTTTAGGCTGAGAATGGTGGTTCATGCCTTTAATCCCAGTATTTTGCGGGGCCGAGGCAGGAGGATGACTTGAGCCCAGGAGTTCAAAGTTGCAGTGAGCTGTGAATGCGCCACTGCCCTCCAGCCTGAGTGATGGAGCGAGACTTTGACTCTTAAAAGAAAAAATAGTTATTCAATAATCTGAAAGAACTTTATTCTTAGCTTTATTAAGTTATCAAGAAGTAATGGACCAGTCGGGAACAAGGGCTAGAAGTAAAATGTAATTACTTGCTATACCATCTTCCCATAGTCTTTAGTGAAAAGCACTAAAGGCCTGAATTTCTCTAGTATTAATAAAAATGAAAGCACTTTTAAGCATTATAGTCAGCATACTCCTAAGATTAGGGGAAAACACCAAGACAATTATGATCTTTCTAAACTTTGGGGGAGTAGACTCACATAAGTTCTGCAAAATATAATTAGCACTTACCCATTCAGACAAAGAAAGAAATGCACCTCCTTTATTTATTTATTTTTCCTTTATTTTTTATTTATTTATTTTTTTCTGAGATGGAATCTCGCTCCGTCACCCAGGCGGGAGTGCAGTGACATGATCTCGGCTCAGTGTAACCTCCACCTCCCCGGCTCAAGCGATTCTCTTGCCTCAGCTTCCCCAGTAGCTGGGATTACAGGCACCCACCACTATGCCCAGCTAATTTTTTTGTATTTTAATAGAGACAGGGTTTTCACCATGTTGGCCAGGCTGGCTTCGAACTCCTGACCTCAAGTGTTCTGCCAGCCTTGACCTCCCAAACTGCTAGGATTACATGTGTGGGCCACTGTGCCCAACTTTTTTTTTTTTTCAGACGGAGTCTTGCTCTGTTGCCCAGGCTGGAGTGGAGTGGCCCGATCTCGGCTCACTATAACCTCTGTCTCCCAGGTTCAAGTGATTCTCAAGCCTCAGGCTTCCGAGTAGCTGGGATTACAGGCATGCACCATCACACCCAGCTAATTTTGTAGTATTAACAGAGACAGGGTTTTGACATGTTGGCCAGGCTGGTCTCAAACTCCTGACCTCAAGTGATCCATTTACCTTGGCCTCCCAAAGTGTTGGGATTACAGGCATGAGCCACCATGCCCAGCCACCTCCTTTCTTTAAAAACAGACACCACAGAACTCCAAAAGGGGAGAATAATTATGAGAAGGGAAAAGACAGAAATAGAATGCACTGATCTAGGGCTTTAAAAATCAGATACTTTACCTTTTTACACTTGAAAAGGAGAAAGAGGTTGCACAAATTGTAAGTGAGGTAACTGGGATTTGAACCCAAGTACTAAAACCTACCTCTGTCTTCAAATCTCATATTCTTTTTTTCTTATTTTTGTGGGTATATAATAGGTGCATATATTTAATTTCATACCGTTAATCACCCTGTTTTCTGCTTTTCAATTAAGAAGATTAGGCATATTCTTCCAAAACCACAAGTCAAATGTCTGTATGCCTTCCACCAGTCATCATTTGGAGAAGGTGTTTTTCTCAAAAGCAAAATCCTAAGTGAGGGGAAATCTAAGGTACAGGCCACTTACCTTTTCATTCATTCATTCAATCATTAAGTTCTGAGTGCTTACTCTGTGTCAGACACTGTCCCCGTACTACATATATATAGCATGGAAGATGGGGTGGGGAAATGAGCAAATAAATAATACATAGGAAGACTACTGGATAGTTATAAGCGCTAGTGGTAGAAAGGGAGGAGTGGGAAAGCAGAAATTGATAATAATAACCCTGAACTTGAAAACAGAAGCACTAAGTACTAGCTTGGTTTTGCCACACACTAGAGTTTGGTGCTTGGGCAATTCACCTCACTCCCTTAGATCTTAGTTCATCACACATCAAATAAGTCATTTTGAAACATATTGTACTGAGCAGATGTGTTTATATTTGTTCCTTTCCAAAATCCCAGTGAGTAATAGTAAACAAATTAACAACAACAACAACAAAAGAGACTTAAACCCACAAAGACAACAGAAGAAAAGACAACAGTAGACAAGGATGTCAACCACATTTTGGAAGAGACAAGTAATCAAACACATGGCAACTGACAGTGGAAATGAGGAAGCTGAAGCCTCCTGTGGAAAGTCGGAAGCCAAAACAACCCACCAGAGAGAACAAAATGAACTCAGAGCAAACATAGACTAAGCAGGGACTAAAGGAAAACTTCGAAGATAATAATTAATATCATGAAACAAGAAGAGCACAGTGTACAAAGAAAATAATCAGAGAGCAACAACAAAAACAACAAAAAACTGGCTGGGTGTGGTGTTTTACATCTGTAATCCCAGCACTTTGTGAGACCAAAGTGGGAAGATTGCTTGAGCCCAGGAGTTAAAGACCAGCCAGGGCAACATAGAAAGACCCATCTCTAAAACAATAATAATAATAGATCAGCCAGGCATGTTGGCACACACCTGCAGTCCCAGCTACGCTGGGAGGCTGAGGTGGGTGGATCATTTAAGCCCAAAAGCTTGAAGCTGCAGAGAGCTGTGATGGTACCACTGAACTCCTGCCTGGGTGACAGACCCAGACCCTATTAAAAACAAAACAAAACAAAACAAAAAACCACAAACTCTTGGAAATTAAATGATGACAGCAAAAATTAAAAATTCAACTGAAAGATTGGAAGATAAAGTTGAGAAGCTCTATCAAAAAGTAAAACAAGAACACGAAGAGACAGAAAATGGGAGATACAACATAATCATCTACCAAAGTTGCTCTTTTCTTTTTGGAAGGTCTGTGGAGGAGAAAGAGCATTCATCACAGGTTTCCCAGAGAGAAGAGATAAGTCAGTGTACTGCTGACAACATGAGCCAGGGTTAAGGTACCCCTTGGAATTACTGATTTCTAAGATTAATAAAGTAGTTCTGTTTAAAAAAAGAAAATAGGAGATAATAAGAAAATTAGAATATATATATATCCAAAAAATATTACATTCAACTTTTAGGCATTTAGAGACAATAATAAGAAATGGGGCCAGGTGTGGTGGCTCATGCCTGTAATCCCAGCACTTAGGGAGGCCGAGGCCGGTGGATCACCTGAGGTCAGGAGTTTGAGACCAGCCTGACTAACATGGTGAAACCCCGTCTCTACTAAAAATACAAAAATTGGCCGGGCGTAGTAGCGGGCACCTGTAATCCCAGCTACTCAGGAGGCTGAGGCAGAATTGCTTGAACCTAGGAGGCGGAGGTTGCAGTAAGCTAAGATCGCGCCATTGCACTCCAGCCTAGGCGACAGAGCCAGACTCCGTCTCAAAAAAAAAAAAAAAAGAAAAAGGATAAGAAATGGGTCCAGTCACGGTGGCTCACACATGTAATCCCAGCACTTTGGGAGGCTGAGGCAAGAGGATCACTTGAGCCCAGGAGTTCAAGACCAGTCTGGGCAACATGTAGAAACCCCATCTCTACAAAAAAAAAAAAAAAAATTACCCAGGTGTGGTGGTGCACACCTGTGATTCCAGCTACTCAGGAGGCTGAGTTGGAAGGATTGCTTGAGCCCAGGAGATTGAGGCTGCAGTAAGCTATAATCACACCACTGCACTCCAGCCTGGGCAACAGAGTGAGACCCTGTCACAAGAAGAAGAACAAAAAAATAAATAAATAAAAGGAAATTCTCAAAGAAACAACAATACAAAACTTCCCAGAATTTAAAAGTGAGAGTCTCCGTGATAAAAGAGCCCACAATTAAAAAGAAAGGCACACATTGTAAAATTTTGTGAAAATTTTTAAAAGGATCCTAAAAGCTTCCAGAGAGGAAAAAAAGCAAGTAGATCACAAACATGTAAGAATGAGAATGGCAATGAAATTTTCAATCACAACATGGGAATCTAGGAGACAATACAAGGATGTCTTCAAAATTCAGATGAAAACTTATTTTTCAATCATAACACTATAGCCAGGAAAAGTGTTAATATAAGAGTAAAATAAAGACTTTTTTGAGCACAGAAGTTCTCAGAAAATGACTTGCTATGTATCCTTTTGGTGGGAAACTATTGGAGAATGTGGTACACCAAACTGAAAGTTTATTTTTTATTTTTTATATTTTTTTGAGACGGAGTCTCGCTCTGTCGCCCAGGCTGGAGTGCAGTGGCACGATCTCGGCTCACTGCAAGCTCCACCTCCCGGGTTCACACCATTATCCTGCCTCAGCCACCCGAGTAGCTGGGACTACAGGCACCCGCCACCACGCCCGGCTAATTTTTTTGTATTTTTAGTAGAGACGGGGTTTCACCATGTTAGCCAGGATGGTCTCGATCTCCTGACCTCGTGATTTGCCCACCTCGGTCTCCCAAAGTGCTGGGATTACAGGTGTGAGCCACCGCGCCCAGCCTCAAACGGAAAGTTTATTAAGAAAGTAGGAGATATTTTCTTTTTTTCTTTTTTTTCTTTCTTTCTTTTTTTTTTTTTTTGAGATGGAGTCTCTCTCTGTCGCCCAGGCTGGAGTGCAATGGCATGATCTCAGCTCACTGCAGCCTCCGCCTCCCAGGTTCAAGTGATTCTCCTGCCTCAGCCTCTCAAGTAGCTGGGACTACGGGCACATGCCACCATACTCAGCTAATTTTTTTTTTTTAATGTATTTTTAGTACAGATGGGGTTTCACTGTGTTAGCCAGGATTGTCTCAATCTCCTGACCTCGTCATCCACCCGCCTCAGGCTCCTAAAGTGCTGGGATTACAGGCGTGAGCCACCGCTAGGCCAAGAAGGAGATATTTTCTTTTTTTTCTTTTCTTTTTTTTTTTCAAGATGGAGTCTCGCATTGTTGCCTGGGCTGGAGTGCAGTGGCAGGATCTTGGCTCACTGCAACCTCCACTTCCGAGGTTCAAGCGATTCTCCTGCCTCATCCTCCCAAGTAGATAGGACTACAGGCTCTCTCTACCACACCCAGCTCTTTTTTTTTTTTTTTTTTTTTTTGAGACGGAGTTTCGCTCTGTCACCAGGCTGCTGGAGTGCAGTGGCGCAATCTCGATTCACTGCAACCTCCGCCTCCCAGGTTCAAGCGTTTCTGCTGCCTCAGGCTCCTGAGTAGCTGGGACTACAGGTGCACGCCACCATACCCAGCTAATTTTTGTATTTTTAGTAGAGATGGGGTTTCACTATGTTGGCCAGGATGGTCTCCATCTCTTAACCTCGTAATTTGGTAGCCTTGGCCTCCCAAAGTGTTTTGTATTTTTAGTAGAGATGGGGTTCACCTTATTGGTCAGGCTGGTCTCAAACTCATGACTTTAGGCAATCCACCCGCCTCGGCCTCCCAAAGTGCTGGGATTACAGGCGTGAGCCACCATGCCTGGCAGAAGGAGATATTTTCTATTCTGTATTTTTTTTTTTTTTTTTTAGGACAGAGTCTTGCTCTGTTGCCCAGGCTGGAGTGCAGTGGCACAATATCGGCTCACGGCAAGCTCCGCCTCCTGGGTTCATGCCATTCTCCTGCCTCAGCCTCCCAAGTAGCTGGGCACAGGCACCTGCCACCATGCCCGGCTAATTTTTTGTATGTTTTAGTAGAGATGGGGTTTCACTGTGTTAGCTAGGATGGTCTCGATCTCCTGACCTCGTGATCCACCCGCTTCGGCCTCCCAAAGTGCTGGGATTACAGGCGTGAGCCACTGTGCCTGGCCTATTCTGTATTCTGGCTGGTTGTTTGCGTCTCCTTCTGCAGTCATCCACAGGAATGCAGTGGTACAGCTCCAGGAAGTGCTTTCAGAATTTTAGGCAGTCCCATGCTGGCTCTTTCACATGCATGACTTTCTTCTGTCCATAGAAAAACACTCACTCATCCTTTGCCCAAAGAACAAAAAATCCAGGTTAGTTCCAACACAGGCAACCTCTTCTTGGCTCCTCCATTAGGAGGGATAACCAGCAAGGTGCTCACCTTTTAGATTTCCTAAGTGGAGCTAAACACACCCCACAACTGCAGGGGGTACACATTGAGCTTAGTGAGTGGTCCCGTTGAGGCTCTTTCCCTGGACTTGAGACGGGGAGCATCTACCCTTGCGGAAGAGAGAAAGAACATGCAGAACACTACCAGCTCGCTGCAAAACTTCCTCTTCATCACCAGCAAACCATGCCTTTTTGTTTGTTTGTTTGTTTGAGATGGAGTTTCGCTCTTTTGCGCAGGCTGGAGTGAAGTGGGAGATCTCTGCTCACTGCAACCTCTACCTCCCGGGCTCAAGCAATTCTCCTGCCTCAACCTCCCCAGTATCTGGGATTATAGGTGCCCCCCACCATGACCAGCTAACTTTTTTTATATTTTTAGTAAAGACGGGGTTTTGCCATATTGGCCAGGCTGGTCTTGAACTCCTGACCTCAGGTGATCCACCCACCTCAGCCTCCCAAAGTGCTGGGATTACAGGTGTGAGCCACCACGTCTGGCCTCATGCCCTTTATATTGCAACCCATGACTTTTTATATTTTTTATATAAGTGATTATTTATTTATTTTGAGACAGGGTCTCACTCTGTCACTTAGGCTGGAGTGCAGTGGTGCAATTTTAGCTCACTGTAACCTCCACCTCCCAGGCTCAAGCGATCCTCCCACCTCAGCCTCCTGAGTAGCTGGGATTACAGGCACTCACCACCACACTTGACTAATTTTTGTATTTTTAGTAGAGACCGGTTTTCACCATGTTGCCCAGGCTGGTCTCGAACTCCTGAGCTTAAGCAATCCACCTGCCTCAGCCTTTTGAAGTGCTGGGGTTACAGACCTGAGCCACGGCACCCAATCTAGGTGATTTTTTATATTCTGTATATAGTTATGGGTTTATGAGTTCAATGGCCAGTTTGAGATGTCTCCTTTGAAATCTCTGTATCTTGGTCTGAACGCTTACTTTGGAATATGTTCTCCATTGTGCAGGGGATTCAGTTGAGATTTCCATCATATTTTGTTACTCTTTAATAAAAATTAAAATTAAAATGACAGGCTATCACTAAACTGCATCATCTGTAAGTTCTCCTACAGCTCTAAAAATTGTATTGTGTGGGTAGGGAGAGGTACAGTTGAAGAGAAGAGCAAAATGCTAACAATGGTGACACTGAGAAGAGAATTTATGTAACTGTGTGGCGTGATGTGGTCAGGTAAGGGTATAGTGTCTGGCCATGATGCATTCCCCATTACTGTCCCCAAAAGCTTTAGAGGACAAGAGGAGCTAGCTGCAAGGGTGACCACACAAGACTTCAAAGAACTAGTGGCCAGATACCATCATTTGAAGAGACCTGAAGAAAGAAAGTGGTTCAGAAAAACAAAAAACCTTTTTTCTTATCAATTTTGAGATCTTTAGGATGTTAGGGAAATACAGTTCAATAGATTAAACTCTCAGGAGGACTATAATAGTGACTTTTTAATAATATACCAGGTCTGTATGTTTTTTAATAAAAATAGATGGCATTCTTTTTCAGTAACTCCATGGATGCATTATTGAAGAATGAAGGCTACATTCAGGCTGCCTATTACTAATGAAATGTTGCTTGATAGAAAATATAGTAAGAGCTAAGCCATTTCTTAAGGAATAATCAGAGTCCAAGCATTTAGCTCTGATAAGGTGAATAGATCCCAAACACTCTTTGGTAGACTTCCAATCAGAAATAACTGGTGTCTGAGAAGGTTTAGAATTGGAAGAGAGCCAATTCTTTCTCTATCCTCTCCCTCAATAATATTGATTTTTTAGTATCTTTGTACAGTTAAAATTTCTGAGTGTTTTAGGTTTGGGACCAGAGGAAAATTTCAAAACTTTCACAGTTCCGAAATTCAAACAAAAAGGCTTTCTTTAATGATCTTGAAATTCACTGTGATGATTTATACTCTAACCTTTAAGTCATTTAATTTTCAGTGGTGGGAAACATTAGGTAACGAAAAATTACAGTGATCAATCATCAAGTTAGTCGCCCTCAGCAAAATTGTCCATTTGATAGGAAAAATTGCATGTCATTTATTTAATTTGCCTCTATTTGATGACTAGTGAGGCTGGACTTTTTTAAGTGCTTAACGGCCGTTTATATATTTTTATTTGTGAATAACCTTTTGATAGGTAGAGAGCGTCTTTTGATAAATTAGGTAGCAATTTTCAGTAAGGTAAACACACTGTGTTCTGTCCCCACTATTTTTTAATTTGCACCTTAATGACATGATACTCCTTATAATTGAATAGATTACAGACCCCTAGACATAACACAAAACAAAAACAAACCAACAAAAAACAACCGTCATCTCAAATGTGAATCACTATTAATGTTTCTGCCATCACTGATCTGCTCTCTATTTTCAGACAAGATATGAATCTAAAAAGTCAATTGGGCAGGGTGTGGTGGCTCACACCTCTAATCCCAGCACTTTGGGAGGCCGAGGCAGGTGGATCACTTGAGGTCAGGAGTTCAAGACCAGCCTGACGAACATGGTGAAACCCCGTCTTTACTAAAAATACTAAAATAAGCCAGGCGTGATGGCACATGCCTGTAACCCCAGCTACTCGGGAGGCTGAGGCAGGAGAATCGGTTGAACCTGGGAGGCGGAGGCTGCAGCAAGCTGAGATCATGCCACTGCACTCCAGCCTGGGCAACAGAGTGAGAGACTCTGTGTCAAACAAACAAACAAACAAACAGACAAACAAAAAGTTAATTGTTCTAAAAATAAATTCTTACCTTTGAAGGACAGACACCAACCAAAGTTTAACTTGCTTATCTATTATGAAAGTTAATTCACTGTGTTACCTACATGTATTTTCCTTTTTCTTTCTTTCTTTTCTTTTCTTTTTTTTTTTTTTTGAGATGGAATCTCCCTCAATCGCCCAGGCTGGAGTGCAGTGGCACGATCTCAGCTCATTGCAATCTCTGCCTCCCAGGTTCAAGCAATTCTCTTGCCTCAGCCTCCCTAGTAGCTGGGATTACAGGCATGTGCCATCATGCCCGGCTAATTTTTGTATTTTAAGCAGAGATGGGGTTTTACCATGTTGACCAGAATGGTCTCGAATTCCTGACCTCAGGTGATCTGCCTGCCTCAGCCTCCCAAAGTGTTGGGATTACAGGCGTGAGCCACCTCACCCAGCCCTACATGTATTTTCATGTTGAGTGGATAGACACAGGCATTTGGTTTTACCTGATTTAAAATTTTCTCAGGTTAAGTTACTGAAGCCATCCTCCACTATATAAAACTTTGAGGTCTATGTCCTCTGTGTGCTGTAGTGAATCCCAAAGTACCTCCTGAGGAGGGGGTAGGCCCTGCCCAAGGGTGCTCCCTTTGCCTGCCTTTATGCCCTTCTATGCCAACTTTCAAATGAGGTTG
Organism: Homo sapiens; assembly: GCF_000001405.40. Classification (NCBI taxonomy): domain Eukaryota; kingdom Metazoa; phylum Chordata; class Mammalia; order Primates; family Hominidae; genus Homo; species Homo sapiens. The sequence continues at coordinate 107,908,004 of NC_000011.10, forward strand.
TCAATCCTCTCTCCAGCCCAGCTTACTGTTAAAATTTAGGACCCTGCCAGTCGCAGTGGCTCCCGCCTGTAATCCCAACACTTTGGGAAGCCAAGGAGGGTGGATCACTTGAGGTTGGGAGTTTGAGACCAGCCTGGCCAACATGGAGAAACCCCATCTCTACTAAAAAGACAAAAATTAGCTGGGTGTGGTGGTGGGCGCCTGTAATCCCAGCTACTTGGGAGGCTGAAGCATGAGAATCGCTTGAGCCTAGGAGGTGGAGGTTGTAGTGAGCCAAGATTGTGCCACTGCACTCCAGCCTGGGTGATGAGAGTGAGACTCCTTCTCAAAAATAAATAAATAGCTTTTCCTCCCTGATGCAAACGAGGTCGCACGCATGAGGCTTCTCCGCCGCCGCCGCCGCAGACGCCGCGGCGATGCGCTACGTCGCCTCCTACCTGCTGGCTGCCCTCGGGGGTAACTCCTCCCCCAGCGCCAAGGACATCAAGAAGATCTTGGACAGCGTGGGCATCGAGGAGGATTACGACCGGCTCAACAAGGTTATCAGTGAGCTGAATGGAGAAAACAATGAAGACGTCATTGCCTAGAGTATTGGCAAGCTTGCCAGTGTACCTGCCGGTGTGGCTGTGGCCATCTCTGTTGCCCCAGGCTCTGCAGCCCCTGCTGCTGGTTCCGCCCCTGCTGCAGCAGAGGAGAAGAAAGATGAGAAGGAGGAGTCTGAGGAGTCGGACGATGACATGGGATTTGGCCTCTTTGATTAAATTCCTGCTCCCCTGCAAATAAAGCCTTTTTACACATCAAAAAAATAAAAATAAAAATAAATACATAAATACATAAAAATAAAAATTTAGGACCCTACCTTTAAAAATTAAAATTTAGGACCCTACCTTTTTGAGTGCTGGGGTTATACTCCAGGTGCCTGGCATTGAGAATAACATTGAACTCACAATCCTTGTCCAAAGTAAGACAAATAGTATTTATGGAAGTTTGACTGAGTGGTCTATACCCCTAGCATATGTCAAGATCTATCCCTAGGAAAGACCAAACCAGAAGAGAGCTAGCTAGGCCCCAGCCTCTTATCATCTCTTCTTGCTGAATTATGCTCAGACATGACGCCATTGATCTACACTGAAGGGCATTTACATGAAACTATAAAACTCACTGACCTCTCAGTTCCTTGATGTCCTCATCTTCATAGACGTTTTTCATCTACACCACCTGAGGTACTCACTTTCTAGAGTGACATCCTGGAATTGTCATCACCAGAAATGGTACTACTTCCAAAATCACAAATCTAAGATCTCAACCTCCTTGCTGTCCATCCAGCTCCTTTGCTCAAGTAGTGCAATGCCACAACTCAGTCTCAAAGAGTGCCAATCCATTGACACACTGACACTACCACTTTTTTCCTATCTTCACTTCCTTCCTTTTTTTTTTTTAGATGGAGTTTCGCTCTCATTGCCCAGGCTGGAGTGCAATGGCTCGATCTCAGCTCACTACAACCTCAACCTCCCAGGTTCAAGCAATTCTCCTGCCTCAGCCTCCCGAGTAGCTGGGATTACAGGCACCTGCCACCATGCCCGGCTAATTTTGTATTTTTAGTAGAGACTGGGTTTCTCCATGTTGGTCAGGCTGGTCTTGAACTCCCGACCTCAGGTGATCCGTCTACCGCAGCCTCCCAAAGTGCTGGGATTACAGGCATGAGCCACCGTGCCTGGCCCACCTCCTTCCTTATCCACCTTAGGTACTAATGCCTAAATTTTTTCAGCCTTTTTTTTTTTTTTTTTTTTTTTAAGATAGGGTCTCTCTGTGTCACCCAGGCTAGAGCGCAGTGGTGTGATCACAGCTCACTGCAGCCACAACCTCCTGGGCTCTAGACAATCCTCCCACCTCAGCCTCCTGAGTAGCTGGGACTATAGGCGCACACCATCACTCCCAGCTAATTTTTGTATATTTTGTAGAGATGGAGTTTTGCTATGTTGGCCAGGCTGGTCTTGAATTCCTGGACTCAAGCAATCTGCCCACCTCAGCCTCCCAAAGTGCCAGAATTAAAGGTGTGAGCCATAGTGCCTAGCCTTATTTTTTTCATCTTCTAAAAATTATTTTTTTTATTTTTAATGTTTGCGGGTACATAGTAGGACTATATGTTTATAGGGTACATCAGATATTTTGGTATAGGCATACAATGCATAATAATCACATCATGGAAAATTGAGTATCCAACCATCCCCTCAAGCATTTATCCTTTGTGTTATAAACAATCCAATTATACTCTTTTAGTTTTTTGTTTTTGTTTTTGTTTTTGTTTTTTTTTGAGACAGAGTTTCACCGTTGTTGCCCAGGCTGGAGTGCAATGGCACAATCTCTGCTCACCGCAACCTCTGCCTCCTGTGTTCAAGCGATTCTCGTGCGTCAGTCTCACAAGTAGCTGAGATTACAGGCATGCACCACCACGTCCAGCTAATTTTGTATTTTTAGTAGAGACGGGGTTTCTCCATGTTGGTCAGGCTGGTCTCGAACTCCCTACCTCAGGTGATCCACCCGCCTCGGCCTCCCAAAGTGCTGTGATTACAGGCGTGAGCCACCGCGCCGGCTCTTTTAGTTATTTTTAAATGTACAATTAAATTGTTATTGACTACAGTCCTTGTGTTGTGTTATCCAATACTGGTCTTATTCATTCTTTCTTACTATTTTTTTTCTTTTTCTTTTTGTTTTGTTTTGTTTTGTTTTGTTTTGTTTTGTTTTGGAGATGGAATCTTGCTCTGTCACCCAGGCTGGAGGTCAGTGGAATGATCTCTGCTCACTGCAACCTCTGCCTCCCGAGTTCAAGTGATTCTCCTGCCTCAGCCTCCCAAGTAGCTGGGACTATACGCATGCGCCACCACGCCCAGCTAATTTTTGTGTTTTTAGTATAGACAGGGTTTCACCATGTTGGCCAGGTTGGTCTTGAACTCCTGACCTCAAGTGATCTGTCCACCTCAGCCTCCCAAAGTCCTGGGATTACAGGTGTGAGTCACCACACCAGGCCACTAACCTTTTTTTTTGGTTTCCATTAACCACCTCCACCTCCCCACCATTGCTGCCCCCTTGCTACCCTTCCAGCCTCTGGTAAACATCCTTCTATTCTCTATCTCCATGACTTCAATTGTTTTGATTTTTAGATCCCGCAAATAAGCGAGAACATGTGATATTTGCCTTTCTGTGTTAAGGCTTCAATTTATAATCACTCATGTAATTTAAAAAATCCAACAGTACCTCTTGCTTTGGCTATAGTTTGATGCAGGGGATGAAATGATGTCACAAGAACCCAGTTTTTTTCCTGGGTTTAAGAGCATTGGGCTGGGCACCGTGGCTCACGCCTGTAATCCCAGCACCTTGGGTGGCCGAGACGGGCGGATCACGAGGTCAGGAGATCAAGACCATCCTGGCTAACACGGTGAAACCCTGTCTCTACTAAAAATACAAAAAAATTAGCTGGGTGTGGTGGCAGGCGCCTGTAGTCCCAGCTACTCGGGAGGCTGAGGCAGGAGAATGGCGTGAACCTGGGAGGCGGAGCTTGCAGTGAGCCGAGATCACGCCACTGCACTCCAGCCTGGGCGACAGAGCAAGACTCTGTGTCAAAAAAAAAAAAAAAAGCAAAAAGCACTGCTTCCTCTAGGTTGGTTCCATTCTCAGGCAGGCTTTCTTCCCACCATGCCAAGGAGGTTGCATTCATTAGCCTCACAACCCTAGACCCAACCACAAAAGAGATTCCCTTTTGCCCCTGCCCCTCCTCCTCCCCCTCCCCCTCCCTCTCCCTCTCCCCACGGTCTCCCTCTCCCTCTCTTTGCAAGGTCTCCCTCTGATACCGAGCCGAAGCTGGACTGTACTGCTGCCATCTCGGCTCACTGCAACCTCCCTGCCTGATTCTCCTGCCTCAGCCTGCCGAGTGCCTGCGATTGCAGGCGCGCGCCGCCACGCCTGACTGGTTTTCGTATTTTTTTGGTGGAGATGGGGTTTTGCTGTGTTGGCCGGGCTGGTCTCCAGCTCCTAACCGCGAGTGATCCACCAGCCTCGGCCTCCCGAGGTGCCGGGATTGCAGACGGAGTCTGGTTCACTCAGTGCTCAATGGCGCCCAGGCTGGAGTGCGTTGGCGTGATCTCGGCTCGCTACAACCTCCACCTCCCAGCCGCCTGCCTTGGCCTCCCTAAGTGCCGGGAGTGCAGCCTCTGCCCGGCCGCCACCCCGTCTGGGAAGTGAGGAGCGTCTCTGCCTGGCCACCCATCGTCTGGGACGTGAGGAGCCCCTCTGCCTGGCTGCCCAGTCTGGAAAGTGAGGAGCGCTTCTTCCCGGCCGCCATCCCATCTAGGAAGTGAGGAGTGCCTCTTCCCGGCCACCATCCCATCTAGGAAGTGAGGAGCGTCTCTGCCCGCCGCCCATTGTCTGAGATGTGGGGAGCGCCTCTGCCCCGCCGCCCCGTCTGGGATGTGAGGAGCGCCTCTGCCCGGCCGCGACCCCGTCTGGGAGGTGAGGAGACCCTCCGCCCGGCAACCGCCCCGTCTGAGAAGTGAGGAGCCCCTCCGCCCGGCAGCCGCCCCGTCTGAGAAGTGAAGAGCCCCTCCGCCCGGCAGCCACCCCGTTTGGGAGGTGAGGAGCGTCTCCGCCCTGCAGCCACCCCGTTCGGGAGGGAGGTGGGGGGGTCAGCCCCCCCCGCCGGCCGGCCGCCCAGTCCGGGAGGGAGGTGGGGTGTCAGCCCCCCGCCCGGCCAGCCGCCCCGTCCGGGAGGTGAGGGGCGCCTCTGCCCGGCCGCCCCTACTGGGAGGTGAGGAGCCCCTCTGCCCGGCCAGCCGCCCAGTCCGGGAGGGAGGTGGGGTGTCAGCCCCCCGCCCGGCCAGCCGCCCCGTCCGGGAGGTGAGGGGCGCCTCTGCCCGGCCACCCCTACTGGGAGGTGAGAAGCCCCTCTGCCCGGCCACCACCCCGTCGGGGAGGTGTGACCAGCAGCTCATTGAGAGCGGGCCATGATGACAATGGCGGTTTTGTGGAATAGAAGGAGGGGAAAGGTGGGGAAAAGATTGAGAAATCAGATGGTTGCCCTGTCTGTGTGGAAAGAAGTAGACATGGGAGACTTTTCATTTTGTTCTGTACTAAGAAAAATTCTTCTGCCTTGGGATCCTGTTGATCTGTGACCTTACCCCCAACCCTGTGCTCTCTGAAACATGTGCTGTGTCCACTCAGGGTTAAATGGATTAAGGGCGGTGCAAGATGTGCTTTGTTAAACAGATGCTTGAAGGCAGCATGCTCGTTAAGAGTCATCACCACTCCCTAATCTCAAGTACCCAGGGACACAAACACTGCGGAAGGCCGCAGGGTCCTCTGCCTAGGAAAACCAGAGACCTTTGTTCACTTGTCTATCTGCTGACCTTCCCTCCACTATTGTCCTATGACCCTGCCAAATCCCCCACTGCGAGAAACACCCAAGAATGATCAATTAAAAAAAAAAAAATTTGAAAACGTTTCAAAGAAAAAAGCTTTTAGAGAAATTAAATTTTACAGAGTTTAAAAAAAAAAAAACAGATTCCCTTTTTTAAGAGTTTTTATAAAAGTCCTGAGATTCACTAAGAATCACTAAGAGGATGTGCACGTCATCCCCTCCTTCCCTGTCTTGCCTGAATGGGGATATGATGGCTGATGTTTAAGCAGCAATTCTGAGGTAAAAGCCACTTGCAGAACAGGGCAGAGCAGCAATATAGCCAGAGTCTAGCAATATAGACAGCTGCTCTATTAGTCCTGGCAGGCTCAATTTTATACTTCTTTTTATATAAAAGAGAAAAAAAATTTCCACCTTGTTTAAGCCACTGTTATTTTTGTTTTTTTTCTGTCACTCACAGCCTAATCTAATCCTGATACATGCCAAGTGCATGTATCAGGATAGACGATGGCATCTTAGGAGCCACATACTGTGTAATAATGTAAGAGCAAACTTTAACAAGTAGAAGATGAAAGAAAGTTTAATGATGACCAAACCATCTTTTACACCATCTTAATCAATTTTATTCTTTAAGCAATATGTGTGTACGTACCAGGGATGGGAGGGTTGAAATATTTTGAGCTAGGAGTTAATGATTAGATTATTTATATGTTAGAAAGATTCTTCGCATGCTTCGATGGATATTTTGGAAGTGGGCAAGACTGGGGAACTGAGTTTGCAACAATTCTAGCAAGAGACGATAAAGTTCAAAATCAGGGCAACAGTGCTGGAGAAGGCAAAAAGGAGACAGATTTGAAAGATATACACGAGGTAGAATTGGCCAAAATGTGGCCAGTCTGAACGACTTCTGAAGTGACAGAGGCAGATAGATCCTATTATAAGAATACAACAGCTGATATTAGAAGTAGCATTCCAGAGAGATGATTTTTTTTAAATGCAGATATCTATGCTGTAGAATTTTTTATTCACTATTTTCATATACAGTTCTCACAAAAGTTCTGAGAGTCACATGCATGTTATGTCTGAATGAATGGGCATAGTTTATTGGAGTGTAGATATATTTAAATCACTATTACATGTCAGTTATCATTTGGATCAGTTCTTCCTCTTGTAGCAAGAAAGATAGCTTCAATCTACTGCCTCAGGCATGCAACTGAACTGTAACTTTATCTTTCTACAACTCAACTGTCTTTACCTAGAGCCTCCATTCCACTTGATGATAAGTGGTTATAGTTATTTAAGACATTTCGCTATTTAAGACATTTTTTCCAGTCATTATAGATTTAAACTCTGTCAATTCAAGATATTTTTTCCCTCTTTCCAAATTCAGGTCATTTAAACACCTGGATGTTTGTATGAGCTCATTGTGTAGCTGCACCAGACCAATCTGGTTCAACCACTTGTTTTTGTTTTGTTTTGTTTTGTTTTGTTTTGAGACAGCGTTTTGCTCTTGTTGTCCAGGCTGGAGTGCAATGGCACAATCTCGGCTCACTGTAGCCTCTGACTCCCAGGTTCAAGCAATTCTCCTGCCTCGGCCTCCCGACTAGCTGGGATTACAGGCGCCCACCACCATCCTCTGCTAATTGTATTTTTTGTATTTTTAGTAGAGACAGGGTTTCATCATGTTGGCCAGTCTAGTCTCAAACTCCTGGTCTCAGGTAATCCACCCACCTTGGCCTCCCAAAGTGCTGGGATTACAGGCATGAGCCACTGTGCCCTGCCCTTTTTTTAAAGTATTATTATTATTTTTTGAGACAGTCTCACTCTGTCACCCAGGCTGGAATGCAGTGGCAGGATCTCGGCTCACAGCAGCCTCTGCCTCCTGGGTTCAACTGATTCTCCCACCTCAGACCCCCAAGTAGGTGGGACCTCAGGAACCCACACCACAGCTGGCTAATTTTTTGTATTTTTAGTAGAGACAGGGTTTCTCCATGTTGCCCAGGCTGGTCTCCAACTCCTGGGCTCAAGGAATCCGCCCGCCTCAACCTCCCGAAGTTCTGGGATTACAGGTGTTAGCCACCCTGCCAGGTCTGGTTCAAAGTTGTGGTTGTTTTTCAGTTGCCGTGGACCCTCACATCACTATAACCTGAGCATGCCCAGATGAACAAAGCATGCAACCACATGGAGAACCTAAGTGCTCAGACCAAGGAGCAGGGACTGAATTAAGAATTGGAAACCACATGGCAGGATCCAATCAGATCAAGCCCTGGTGTCACCCTATGGCAGGATCTAGTCAGTTAATGCCTCCCAGCATCACCTTATTGCCAGATTCAGTCAGATCCCACATCCTTACCTTATGCCTGTAAAACCTGTCCCAGCCCCCAGCCTGGAGAGGCACTGCTTTGGGAGCTATCCCCAGTGTTTTCCTTACTTGTTGCAAGTAAGAAAATCCCCTTGCTCAATCCTCCTTGGTTGTGGTCATTGGGCTATCACTCGCCAAGCATCCAAACTCACCTATTGTGGGGGTAACAACTGGATTGGAGATAGGGAGTGAAATTGACCATTTTTTTTTTTAAGGGAAGGTCTTATTATGATGCCCAGGTTGGTCTCAAGCTGTCCTCCCTCCTTGGCCTCTCAAAGTGCTGGGATTACAGGCATGACCCACCATGCCCATCCTGGGTCTTATGTTTTAAGTATAGAGGAGTATATAGAGAAAATACTACCACCTAGATGCCCCTCACTGCAAATACGACAAAATAAAATAATGGCTACACAAGTTAGAAAATTATTATTACATTTTTAAAATGTAAATTGACTTCTGATTCACTTTACCCCTTCTGATTCACTTCTGATAGCCTGTCCTATTCAGAAAATAATTGTGAAGGCATAAATGGTGATATTTTAAAGTATTAAGAATGGCATGGCCAGGCATGGATTCTTATAGGAACCACGCTATAGGATTATAGGGTGGTTCACACCTATAATCCCAGCACTTTGGGAGGCCGAGGTGATACAGGAGGGGGCAGGGAAGTGCTGGGTAGAGAAAGGCGGGGTCCCTGGCAAGGGCTCCACCCTGGGGCCTGTGCCTACAGACCTAACTGAGAACAGGTACTCCTGTTTCCATGCCCAGATATTGAATTTTCCAAGACCACTCTGGCCCACCATGCCCCTCATCCTGTGCCCATAAAAACCCAAGACCATAGCAGGCACACACACAAGGGGCTGGATGTCGAGAGGAGCAGAAGAGCAGAAGAACACACCAACAGACACCAGCAGACACTGACAGGCCATCGACAACAGGACAACGTGGAATTCTGTCAGGGGTGGTTCTTGAAGAGCCCAGCCGCTAGGTGGCGCAACTCCAGGGGAAGACCACCTTCCCACTCCATCCTCCTTCTGGCTCCACATCCATCTCACTGAGAGCTACTTCCCCCACTCAATAAAACCTTGCACCCATCCTCCAAGCCCACATGTGATCCGATTTTTCCAGTACACTAGGGCAAGAAGCCGGGATACAGAAAGCCCTTGTGATAAGACAGAGAGTCTAATTGAGCTGCTTAACACAAGCCACCTGCAGAGAGCAAAACTGCAAGAGCACACTGTAACACAGGCCCACTGGGGCTTCGAGAGCTGTAAACACTTAACCCTAGATGCTGCTGTGGGGTCGGAGCCCAAAAACACTCCCCAGTACCTGCATCCTCTACATGCTCCCCCTAGAGGTTTGAGCAGCCGAGGACTGAAGAAGCGAGCCACATCCCTGTTGCATGCCCTGTGAGGGGGATAAGGGAACTCCTCCAGTTTCAGAGGCAGGCGGATCGCTCGAGCCCAGGAATTTGAGACTAGCCTGGGCAACATGGTGACATCCTGTCTGTATCAAAAATACAAAAAAATTAGCCAGGCATGGTGGTGTGTACTTGTGATCCCAGCTACTCAGGAGGCTGAGGTGGGAGAATCATCAGAGCCTGGGGAGGTCGAGGCTGCAGTGAGCCATGATCTCACCACTGCACTCTAGCCTGTGCCACAGAGTGAGACCCCGTCTCAAAACAACAACAACAACAACAACAAAGAATGGCATGAACATATATTCCAACATCATGACATCTAATTTTATGAAATTACATATCAGTTCACTCTATCCATAAACTCTGGAAAATTTTCCTTCTCAAGCCATCCCATTACATAGATGAGACTAGCTTATCAGTTCAAATCACAACTTTGGTTCCAGTTTAGTCAGCCCCGGATTGTGAGAATAGAGGGATTAAGGATAGTGAGGATATTAATCACTCCGTATGGACCCTCAATAGTCTAGCTCATGATTCTCAGGTAGAGCCACTAGGAAAATATCCAGTTCTGACATCAAATATATTATCAAAAGTAACCATTCATAGAAAAAAAGTTATAAAACATTCAGTTCATAAACAGTGTACAAAATTGTAGCTGATAACACCCATTCTTCACTTTCCATAAATCAGACGTTTTCATTTTATTTTATTTTATTTTATTTTTTGGGTGCGGGGACAGAGTCTTTCTCTGTCACCCAGGCTGGAGTGCAGTGGCACAATCTCGGCTCACTGCAAACTCTGCCTTCTGGGTTCAAGTGAGTTTTGTGCCTCAGCCTCCCAAGTAGCTGGGACTATAGGTGCACACAACCAGGCACAGCTAATTTTTGTATTTTTAGCAAAGGTTTGGTTTTGTCATGTTGGCCAGGCTGGTCTTGAACTTCTGGCTTCAAATGATCCACCTGCCTCAGCCTCCTAAAGTGCTGGGATTACAGGCCTAAGCCACCGCACCCCAACCTAAATTTTTTTTCTTTAATTCTCATCCAAAATCTTCAATCTTCATGTCCAAAATAAAATATTATTATCTTTTTTATTTAAAGGTCAGTTATCCTGATTTTGTCTTCTAGAAGGAAACTTATGGATACTTTAAATTTATTTTCAACAAATATTTATTGTCTACTATATTTCAGATGGATACATTTGTGAATAAAACAAACCAAAATAAAAATTAGACTCATGGAGCTCACAGTATCTTGGTGGAGGCAGATAGTGAACAAAATTAATAAGTAAAATACGTATTACATTACATGATGACAAGTGCTAAGGACAAAAATAAAGCATAGAAGGGCATGAAGGTGCAATTTTTTTTTTTTTTTTGAGACGGAGTTTCACTCTTGTTGCCCAGGCTGGAATGCAGTGACGCCATCTCGGCTCACTGCAACCTCTACCTCCCAGGTTCAAGCAATTCTCCTGCCTCAGCCTCTGAATTAGCTGGGATTACAGGTGCATGCCACCACACCCAGCTAATTTTGTATTTTTAGTATAGACGGGGTTTCCCTACGTTGGCCAGGCTGGTCTTGAACTCCTGACCTTAGATGACCCGCCCACCTGGGCCTCCCAAAGTTCTGGGATTACAGGCATGAGCCACCATGCTCGGCCATAAAGGTGCAATTTTACATAGAGTAGGAAGGGAAGGCTTCATGAAGATATTTGAGTGCAGGGTGAATGAGGTAAGGGAGCAAGCCATGTGAAGATGAAGGGGAGGAGCTGCTCCAGAGGGAACAGCAACTGCAAAGGCTCAGAGGTGGCAGCCTTCCTAGATGCTTGAGGACTATCAAGGAAGCCAGTATGGTTATTGAGGAGACACTAAAGGGAAGGTAGAAGATGAGACTCAAGAGGTAATGAGTGTCAGCAATCACAGAGCACATGGAGAATTTCGGAACATTTTAAGGGAATCTCAGAACCAGAAGATGCATTCGAGATCATCTAGCTCACTGGGTTTTGACATTTGTTTACTTTGATCCAAAATAAATACATTTTATTTCTTGACGTGGCACACACATGTGTACATACATACACACACGTTCACACATACACACATAGTAATGAAACAAAAATTTTATGAAACAGGCCAGGTGCAGTGGCTTATGCTTGTAATCCCAGCACTTTGAGAGGCTGAGTCAGGAGAATTGCTTGAAGCCAGGAGTTGAGACAAGACTGCATACAAAGGGAGACCCTGTCTCTACAAAAAATAATAATAAGCCAGGCTCAGCAGCATGCATCTATAGTCCCAGCTACTTGGGAGGTTGAGGTGGGAAGAGCACTTGAACCCAGGAGTTCAAGGCTGCAGTGAGCTGTGATCACGCCACTGCACTCCTGCCTGGGCAACAGACAAAGGCTCTGTCTCAAACAAACAAACAAAATCTATGAAACATATTTATCATGATGTATGATACACCCTGACATTTTGTTTTGAATTCTGGTGGTTACTTACCAAATTGACTTTACAATTCCCCTCTGTTATTTTTGGTTTTTTGTTTGATTTTGTGGGCTTTCTTTCTTTCTTTTTGCAGAATTTTGCTCTTGTTGCCCAGGCTGGAGTGCAATGGCGCGATCTTGGCTCACCACAACCTCTGCCTCCCGGGTTCAAGCGATTCTCCTGCCTCAGCCTCCCAAGTAGCTGGGATTACAGGCGCACACCACCACGGCTGGCTAATTTTGTATTTTGGGGGCTTCCTTTAGCTTTCAGAAAGCATAGCAGAAATAAACAACCCTCATTTTGAAAAACACTCAACTCTTTCAGTTGTAGCTCAATCTTTTTAGTTTCCAGATGAGGAAACAGAGACCCAGAGAGAGCAAGTGATTTGTCAAAATTTTCCCAAAGGTAGTAGCAATGCTGGGACAAGAACCCAGGTCTCCCGACTTCTGGTCCAGGGCTTTGTACAGCAAAAAGAAGCCAGATCCTCCTCTCCAGCACTTCTCATGCTTCATTTTAGTTTTTGAGTTTTTATTTGTTTGTTTGGTTTTGTTTTTGTCTTTTGTTTTTTGTTTTTTTTTTGTTTGTTTTTTTTTTGAGACAGAGTCTCACTCTGTCTCTCAGGCTGGAGCATAGTGTCGCGATCTCGGCTCACTGCAACCTCCGCCTCCTGGCTTCAAGCAATTCTCCTGCCTCAGCCTCTGGAGTAGCTGGGACTACAGGTACGTGCCACGACACCCGGCTAATTTTTTTGGATTTTTAGTAGAGACGGGATTTCACCGTGTTAGCCAGGGTGGTCTCGATCTCCTGACCTCGTGATCTGCCCACCTTGGCCTCCCAAAGTGCTGGGATTATAGGCGTGAGCCACCTGCCCGGCCTGGGGTTTTCGTTTGTTTGTTTTTATTTTTTTGTCTATTTTGTTTTTGTTTTTGTCTTTGAAACAGGATCTTGTCCTGTCACTCAGGTTGGAGTGCAGTTGTACAATCATGGCTCACTACAATCTCAGTCTCCCAGGCTCAAGTGATCATCTGCCTCAGCCTCCAGAGTAGTAGGAACTATGGGCTTGCACTACCATGCCTGGCTAATTTTTTTTTAAGGTTTTTTTTTTTTTTTTGAGACAGAGTCTTGCTCTGCCACTCAGGCTGGAGTGCAGTGGAATAATCTTGGCTCACTGCAACCTCTGCCTCCTGGGTTCAAGCAATTCTCATGCCTCAGCCTCCCAAGTGGCTGGGATTGCAGGTGCCTGCCACCACACCCAGCTAATTTTTGTATTTTGGGTAGAGACAGGGTTTCACCCTGTTGACCAGGCTGGTCTTGAACTCCTGATCTCAAGTGATCCACCCACCTTGGCCTCCCAAAGTGCTGAGATTATAGGCGTGAGCCACTGCGCCCAGCCTTTTTTAGGTTTTTATGGAGACGAGGTCTCACTTTGTTGCCCAGGCTGGTCTCAAACTCCTGTGCTCAAGCAATCCTCCTGCCTTGGCCCACCAGAGTGTTGGGATTACAAGCATGAGCCACCACACCCAGCCATTTTCACTTCTTAAAAAAACATATTAAAGCAGAATTTCCTGAGTAATAGCTTAACTAGCTTTCTTAAATGTGCTCTACTTGCCTTATTTTTTAAGCTTAAACTTTTATAAACACAAATATAACATAATATTTTTAATTAAAATATTAAATTATTTATACCCAGCATGCATAATACAAATATACTTAAAACTGAATTCTTCCATGGATTATTCAAAGGCACATTTTCATAATCATAACATTAATCAAATGAGTCATCATAAATCTCATGAGGTTGTGTGCAGACGGCACATATAAAAGTTCAAGGTCATACACAACTATGGTTAACATACTTCATTTCAACTCAATGGGCATTTAAATAACATCTACTGGCCAGGCGTGGTGGCTCATGCCTATAATCCCAACACTTTGGGAAGCCAAGGTGCGAGGATCACTTGAGGCCAGGCATTTGAGACCAGCCTGGGCAACATAGGAGACCCTATCCCTACAAAAAATTTTTTTTAATTAGCTAGGCATGGTGGTGCGCACATATGGTCCCAGCTACTCAGGAGGCTGAGATGTAAGGATTGCTTGAACCCAAGAAGTTGAGGTTGGACTGAGCCATGATTGTGCCACTGCGCTCCAGCCTGGGAGACAAAGTGAGATCCTGTCTCAAAAAAATAAAAAATTTTAAAAAAGGAACATCTACTATGTGCTAATTGTGCATGTTGGGAAAATAACTATCAATTAATAAGTCCTTCTGGACTTCAGGAACTTACAATCTAGTAAGAGAGATAGTCAAGCCAATAGCCATAATTCAATATGAGAAGATATATGAGATATATATGAGAAGATGTATATATGATATCTCAGATATCAGAGAAGTACAGAGTACTCGTTCCTTAACTACTATAGGAACACAGATGAGGGTTAAGTTAATTTTCCTTAGGGTTAGAGATGGTTCAGAAAGACTAAAAAGAGGAGAAAATATTTGTTCTGGGCCTTAAAAGATGAGTAGAAATTTGCTGACCAGGTGAATAGTGAAACAGGTATAAGGAGAGGAGAGAATAGTATGAATAAAAAGAAAAAGTATAGCATGAAAAGCATGTCACATAGAAGAATCATCTGACTAGACTGTGGATGCCCTCTTATGTGGATGCCCTCTTATGGGTCAGACATGACATGACTAGGTATTTAGACTTTATTCTAGAGCAAATGAGGAATCATCAAAGATCTTTAATAAAGTAATTCTGGAAGCAAAGTAGAAACTAAACATGAGGCTGTTATGGGTTGAATTGAGTCCCCTAAAAAAGATATGTTGAAGTCCTAGGCCCCAGTACCTCAGAATGTGACCTTATTTGGGGCCGGGCACAGTGGCTCACGCCTGTAATCCCAGCACTTTTGGAGGCCGAGGCGGGCAGATCACTTGAGGTCAGAAGTTTGATATCAGCCTGGCCAACATGGCAAAACCCCATCTCTACAAAAATACAAAAATTAGCTGGGGGTGGTGGTGCCTGCCTGTAATTCCAGCTACTGGGGAGGCTGAGACAGGAGAATCACTTGGACCTGGGAGGCAGAGGTTGCAGTGAGCTGAGATCATGCCACTGCATTCCAACCTGGGGTGCCTGGGTGACAGAGTGAGACCCTGTCTCAAAAAAAAAAAAAAAAAAAAAAGAGAATGTGACCTTATTTGGAAACAGTCTTCACAGATGAAGTCAAGTAGTTAAGATAAGGTTATTAGGGTGGGCCATAATCCAATATAATTGATGTCCTTATAAAAAGGGGACATTTGGACACAGACACAGACATGCTCAGAGGGAAGACTGCATGAAGAGACTAGGAAAATGCCATTTGGAGGTAGAGGATTGAGTGATACATCTACAAGCCAAGTGTTGCCAAGATTGCCAGCAAACCACCAGAAGCCAGGCAAGGGGCATGGAACAGATATCCTCCTTCACAGCCCTCACAAAGAACCAACCCCACTGACACCTGGATTTTGGACATCTAGCCTCCCAAACTGTGAGACAATAAATGTCTGCTATTTTAAGCTGCTCTGTTTGTGGCTTTGTTATATACTTTGTTATGGGAGCCCTAGGAACTAACATAGAGGCTACTAAACAGTGCAGTCTAAAGCGATGAGAGATTGAACAAAAACACTGACAGTGGGGAGTTGAGAAAAAGTCACAAATATGAAAAATATCACTGAGGTAAAAGCAGCAATGTTTAGTGATTGGCTGAATACGGCAAAGGAGAAAAAGGAGTCCAAGATGGATGAAGCTCTTATTCTACCTTAATCCATCAATGTGGTGTCAAAACTATCTTGGTGTCCTCATTAGATTGTTCTTGAGGCCAGGGACCTTATAAAAATTCCCATGCCTTTTCCCCTGGCTAAATTTAAAACTTTCTTTGGACTGGAGTCCTCAGTTTTCATTCTATTGGCTTATAACTTCCTTCTCCTTCCCCTTCCCCTCGTCCTCCTCCTCCTCTTCCTCCTCCTCCTCCTCCTCCTCCTTCTTCTTCTTCTTCTTCTTCCTCTTCTTCTTCTTCCTCCTCTTCCTCCTCTTCCTCCTCCTCTTCTTCTTCTTCTTCTTCTTTCTTCTTCTTCTTCTTCTTCTACTTCCACTTCCTCTTCTTCCTCTTCTTCTTTTTTTCTTCTTCTTTTTTAATAGAGATTGAGGTCTCACTATGTTGCCTAGGCTGGTCTTGAACTCCTGGGCTCAAGTGATCTTCCTACCTCAGCCTCTGAAAGTTCTAAGATTACAGGCACGAGCCACCACACCTGGCCATTATAGCTATATTCCGCTCCTTCTACCCAGTCCCTTTAAGAGGTTTCAGTTGACCTGCCAGCTTTCCATTCCGTTTTATTAGTTTTGCCTTGGATGCTGTCTATGAAATTATCTTTAGCTCTACACTCATCCACCTTTATTCCATTCCATCTCTCTGCTATACACAACAAAAACCCCCACCCTCCAGCTCAGATTCAGTACAAGCCCTCACTTGTCTAGGGAGCTAGCATAGATACTAAAAGCCATTAACCAACCTATAAAATATAGCAAAAGAAGACATGGCAAGAAAGCTACTAAGTTCATTTTCTGACATTCTAGAAAATAAATTTTTGATCCAAAGAGAAGCCATTGATCCACCCTTTCTCTAGGACTGCAAATATTCCATATATCCCATCAAAATAGATTGACCTACTGCATATGCCTGTCCCACTGTATCTCTTTGGTACAAACACCTGTTCCAAACTGAGACAACTAGGTTGTCTTTACAGAGAAGTGAAAATAAGTGTCTGTGTGTGTCTAGATACCTAACAGGAAACTGCAGCAGCTAGTCTTCCACATGGACTAAGCAGCAGAGAAAGTGGGCCTGCAGAAAGTCAAGAATTAGCAGATGTCAGAAGGAAGTGGAGATGAAAGAGACAGAGAGACATTCTCCCTTGCAGCTTTCTCTTTTTTTTTTTTGAGACAGTCTTGCTCTGTCACTCAGGGTGGAGTGCAGTGGCACGATCTCCGCTCACTGCAACCTCTGCCACCCGGGTTCAAGCAATTCTCCTGTCTCAGCCTCCCAAGTAGCTGGGACTACAGGAGCATGCCACTGCACCCAGCTTATTTTTGTATTTTTAGTAGAGGCAGGGATTCACCATATTGGTCAGGCTGGTCTCGAACTCCTGACCTCAGGTGATCCACCTGTCTTGGCCTCCCAAAGTGCTGGGACTAGAGACGTGAGCCACTGCGCCCGGCAGCAGCTTTCTCTTTCCCAGTTCAAATACCTTTCTGATGCCAACATCATTCCTGCCTGCGGATTCTGTAAAAACACTCTATATCTTTAGAATAAGTGCTCTCATCTTTTAATATCACCCTAACTGAAGTTTTTTTCAAAGAATCCTAACCAACACAGATACGTAGAGTCTGAAATGCATATCCAATATCTAAGAGAAGTAGTTGGAAATGCGGGTCCTGAATACAGAGCAGAGATTGGGGGAAGACATTTGATATGGGTAAGGGGGTAACTGAAGTCACTGGAGTACATGAGGTTGCCAGAAAAAGCCCAAAGTGAAGGTAAAAGTGGGGAGAGGGAAAAGAGATGAAGGAAGGATCTCTTAAGATCTTCAGTATTGAAGAAATGAATCATAGAAAGAGGAGTCATTGAAGAAGGTTAAAAAGAACAGAAAATTAGGAGAGAATGCTTTTGTGGAAGCCAAGGAATAAGGGTGTTCAGGTTGTGCTTACAGAAAATTCAGTCATGGCCAGGTGCAGTGGCTCATGCCTGTAATCCCAGCACTTTGGGAGGCCAAGGGGGGTGGATCACTTGAGGTCAGGAGTTCGAGATCAGTCTAGCCAACATGGTGAAACCTTGTCTCTACTAAAAATACAAAGATTAGCTGGGTGTGGTGGCCCACGCCTGTAGTCCCAGCTACTCAGGAGGCTGAGACAGGAGAATCGCTTGAACCCAGGAGGCGGAGGCTGCAGTGAGCCAAGATCGCGACAGAGCAAGATTCCGTCTCAAAAAAAAAAAAAAAAAAAGGAGAATGACAACTAAAACTAGATGACACTGCAGTGGGGTGGTGGTGAGGATGGTGGGGGTGGGGGCTTGGATTTAATAATTAGGATGTCCCTGACAGCCTTATCAAAAGCAGTGGTATATTAGGCACAGAGAGTATGTTAGGGGTATATAAGCCTCCTTGAAGACTAACTGGTAGATGAGAAATGATAATAGATCATCATTTCTGATATTTGAAAAGGAGAATGATGGAGGAGTCAACAATCTGAAGGGGAAGCGTAATGAAGAGGTGTTTTGCTTAGTTTTAGAATTGTAGATAATTGAGCATGTTTATAGGCTGAGGAGCAGAAGCCACTGGAGAAGGGGAGATTCAAGGTATAAAAGGTATGAAATAAAAGTCAACTGTTGGGAAAAGCCCCAAAAAGATAAGTGAAAGGGGATTAAACACAGCCAACACCAATTCCTCCAAAACAGCAAAGGAAATAGGGATGAATATCGATATAAGAATTTGGGATGTGCACAAGAAAAAAGTGGAATTGTTGAAAATTTTGTTTTGGTAAACACACACTTTTTTTTTTGAGACGGAGTTTTGCTCTCGTTGCCCAGGCTGGAGTGCAATGGCACAATCTCGGCTCACTGCAGCCTCCACTTCCCGGGTTCAAGCGATTATCCTGCCTCAGCCTCCCAAGTACCTGGGGTTACAGGCATGTGCCACCATGCTTGGCTAATTTTTGTAGCTTTTTTTTTTTTTTTTTTTTTTTGAGACGAGGAGTCTTGCTTTGTCGTCCAGGCTGGAGTGCAGTGGCACCATCTCAGCTCACTGCAACTTCTGCCCCCCAGGTTCAAGCGATTCTCCTGCCTCAGCCTCCCGAGTAGCTGGGATTACAGGCGCCTGCCACCGTGCGTGGCTAATTTTTGTATTTTTAGTAGAGAGGAGGTTTCATCATCTTGGCCAGGCTGGTCTTGAACTCCTGACCTTGTGATCCACACACCTCGGCCTCCCAAAGTGCTGGGATTACAGGCATGAACTACTGCACCCGGCCATTTTTGTAGTTTTAATAAAGACGAAGTTTCGCCATGTTGGCCAGGCTGGTCTCGAACTCCTGACCTCAGGCGATCTGCCCGCCTCGTCCTCCCAAAGTGCTGGGATTACAGGCGTGAGCCACTGCGACCGGCCTAAACACACACTTTTATTTATTTATTTATTTTCTTTGAGATGGAGTTTCGCTCTTGTTGCCCAGGCTGGAGTGCAATGGCACGATCTCAGCTCATCACAACCTCTGCCTCCCGGGTTCAAGCAATTCTCCTGCCTCAGCCTCCCGAGTGGCTGAGATTACAGGCATGCACCACTACGCCCGGCTAATTTTGTATTTTTAGTAGAGACGGGGTTTCTCCATGTTGAGGCTGGTCTCGAACTCCTGACTCAGGTGATCCACCCGCCTCAGCCTCCCAAAGTGCTGGGATTACAGGCGTGAGCCACCGCGCCCGGCCTAACACACACTTTTAAACTGTTTCACTTTTTAAAGATAAACCTTGACGTCACTATTACTCAATTTGAGGAAAGGCACAAGAAAGTAGTAAGATCTCACCAGAATTTAAGTTCTGCTTTGTTTACTTACATCATTAATCAGACATGAGCTAAGAGACCACCTGTTCGCTTTTTTCTGACTTAAACAATGGAGACCAAGGAGAGCTGAAAATTTCATGAGCTTCTCAACATTTCCCCGGCTTTTTTTTTTTTTTTTTTTTTTGCCACTGTCCCCAGGGTTGGAGGGCCCCAGAGGGTATGGGGATGATACTTGGCGTTTCTCACTCTTCTGTGGTACTCATAGCAGTGAAGAACAGACAGTGGCAGCACGCAGCAACAGCCAGAGCCCTTGCTAGAAGCACCCAGAACTGGCTGTGCAAATTTATTTCAATCCTGCCCAAAACTCCTTCACCTTAAAATGCCTTGGAGGTGGCTCTCATCAAGACAAGAAAGCAGGGTGTGGTGGCTCACACCTGTAATCCCAGCACTGGGAGGCTGAGCCTGGAGGATCACTTGAGGTCAGGAGTTCGAGACCAGCCTGGGCAACACAGCAAGACCCCATCTCTACAAAAAGTTAGAAAATTAGCGGGATGTGGTGGCCCCCGCCTGTAGTCCCAGCTACTCAGGAGGCTGAGGTGGATGGATCGCTTGAACCTAGGAGTTTGAGACCAGCCTAAGCAACATAGCGAGACCACATCTCTAAAAAAAAAATTTTTTTTTAACCCAGAAGAAAATTAGCCAGGTGTGATGGCTCACACCCGTGGTCCCCGCTGCTTGGGAGGCTGAGGTGGGCAGATCGCTTGAGGCTGCAATGAGCCGAGATCTCACCACATCAATCCAGCCTGGGGGACAAAAAAAAAAGAGGAATCAAAGCAATGACCCAAGTTATGGCCTCAGGGACTTCCAAAATCAGAGCCCTAATCTGACCAACCCGCCCTGACGCCTGTAAGAAAACGACTCTCACTTTTCATTGGCTGACCCTCCCGGAGTTGAGACCTTGCTTCATTTTCCTTGGTTGTTGCTGCTGTCACGTCTTCCCGCCACGCCCACTTTCCTGCCGGCGCCCAGTGAGCGTTGAGGGAGAGTGATTTGCAGCCGGTCAGGGGCGGGAGTTCGCGGCAGCAAACCTGCTTCCCCCTCCCACGCGCCACCGCCCCCGCCCCGCCCCCGTCCAGAGGCCCCGCCCCTAGCCGGGCCTGGCCCCGCCTCTCTCTCCCGAGAGGGCGGGCACCAGGCGGCGGCCGCAGCCGCAGGAATATGCTGGAAGGCGGCGGGCGGGCGCCCGCGAGGTGCTGAAAGGACAGTTCCCGCCGCCGAACTTAGCCCGCGGGTGGGGCGGCCCGGGAGCCAGCGGGGCACGTGAGCGATGGAGACCATCTGGATCTACCAGTTCCGCCTCATCGTGATCGGGGACTCCACCGTGGGCAAGTCCTGCCTCCTGCACCGCTTCACCCAGGGCCGCTTCCCCGGGCTGCGCTCCCCCGCCTGCGACCCCACCGTCGGCGTGGACTTCTTCTCCCGCCTGCTGGAGATCGAGCCGGGCAAGAGGATCAAGCTACAGCTCTGGGACACGGCGGGACAGGAGCGGTTCAGGTAGGGACCCCGGGGACCTTGGGCACCGCGCCGCCCCCTCAGCCCGCCCGGACGCCCCTTCCCCAGGCGTCCGCCCCGCCGGCCCTGGTCGGGAGAGGCTCTGGCCCTTCCCTCTCGAAAGTGCAAACACTCCATTCTCGCTTCCCCTTTGCCCCTCCTCTTCCAGGGACGACTTCCTCCTCCGCAATTTCTCACTTCTTTCTTTGGCGCCCATTTCCTGCGCCCCCTTTCCATCTTTCCTTTCCCGCCTGAACCGGGGTCGTCCTCGCCGCCCCCTCTTCCCCAACTCTTTCAGCCCCTGTGGGTATTTTTATCCCCTCCGGCTCCCCGGCTGCCTTCTTCCCAAACTCGGCTTCCCTGGCTGCGCACAGCATGACCCGACCACCCTCCTCCAAGCAGGCGCCCCTTTTCCTACCCTAACCCAGCGGCTCCCACGCTGTGTGGCCGGGGAGAACCGCGAGGGAGGGTTCCCAGATTCGTGATGGATCCTTTAGCTTCACAGCAAGGAGCGCTCCAACCCAGGTTCCTGCATGAGCTCACTGGGCATGGTTCACAGAGAGGTGGATGCGGTAATGGTTTGGGCACCTCACAGCACTGAATGTGGTCATCAGAAATACTGGGTCATGACCCGTGGGAATGGGTCTTGTAGGTTAACTAGATGCAACATCAGGGACACTGGCACAGCTGAGGGTGTGTGTGTGTGTGTGTGTGTATGTGAAGGGTTGAGTTGTCTTTAGAAGTTTGTCATGTTTGGTGGGAAAAAGACATATATTGAGATTCGCCAGGAACTTTAATTTTGCTTATGATCAGTACTTAACGTTCCAGGGTGATAATATTTCTAAAGACAGAAGGAGGGATCCAAATGAATAGTCTCCTCCTAAATATCCGCTGGGGACATGAAGGGTTTCACAAAGGCGACTTGTGTAAATAAAAAGTAAATGAAATTATATGCATTTCCTGAATATTTGAGATGGAAGCAGGTTTAAAGCAAATTTTAAATGTCTAGGATTCAAAGGCACTTCGTTTTAGAGGAAGATGGTGAAACTGATGTATTGTACTGTTCTGTTTCTTAAAGACTGCATTATCCATTGGAACTCATTTAAGGAAGCATTTTGCGTTAGTCAGCAAGTACTCTGCTTGTGAAATGCAGTGTTCCATGAGGGGACTTCCCAAACATGGCTTCCCCTCGCCCCCAGCCAGCATCACTGCGAATGAGATCAGCCTACATCTGTGAGAATGGTCCAACATTCAAAGTTTTGGCTTCCGTTCCTAGCAATGATGCTGATTCATAGAGATAATGAGTGAACTGCTTAGCTTGCTTATACCTTAGTTTTCGTGTGTGTGAAGTGGAAAGATGGTAAGGCCAGCGCTTCAGAGAGGTGTTAAAAGATTATTGATTGGATTTGTACAACACGTAGAATTCCATGAAAAATGTTTTTCCTTTTCAAGAAGCCTCCTTTTATTAAAATAATTTTTCAAATGTTTGATTCCTCATCTGTAAAATGAAAGTCGTCGTGATCTCTAACATTCCTTCCAGTTTTACCATTCTAAGTTGATTGCCAATTCCTTCACATGTGATCTCAATCAGAGGTAAACTTTGCGATATATCAGGCTCAGAAAAAAAGCATTTGCTGTTAGCTCTTGACCCCCCCTCTGAAGTGAATACAATAAAAACCTTTATGTCTTAAACTTCTAACAGCTACTTTGAGTTGCAACTACAAGACACATGGGTAATAAAATCTTATTGTGTTTAATTAGTTCCTTAAAAGTAGCTCAACTTGGCTGGGCAGGGTGGCTCACGCCTGTAATTCCAGCACTTTGGGATACTGAGGCGGGTGGATCACAAGGTCAAGAGTTCAAGACCAGCCTGGCCAATAAGGTGAAACCCTGTCTCTACCAAAAATACAAAAATTAGCTGGGCATGGTGGTGTGTGCCCGTAGTCCCAGCTACTCAGGAGGCTGAGGCAGGAGAATCGCTTGAACCTGGGAGGCAGAGTTTGCAGTGAGCCAAGATCACGCCACTGCACTCCAGCCTGGGTGACAGAGCCAGACTCAGTCTCAAAAATAAATAAATAAATAAATAAGTAGCTCAACTTATTGACAAGAAATTAAATGATAATTAATTTGTTAGACTTTAAAGACCTTTCTGCTAAATAGATGATAGAGATGATTGTTTTTTAACTTTTTTTTTTTTTTTTGAGACGGAGTTTCGCTCTTGTGGCCCAGGCTGGAGTGCAATGGCGCGATCTCTGCTCACTGCAAACTCCGCCTCCCAGGTTCCAGCAATTCTGCAGCCTCAGCCTCCCGAGTAGCTGGGATTACAGGCATGCACCACTACACCTGGCTAATTTTGTATTTTTAGTAGAGACGGGGATTTCCCCATGTTGGTCAGGCTGGTCTTGAATTCCCGACCTCGGGTGATCCACCTGCCTCAGCCTCCCAAAGTGCTGAGATTACAGGCGCGTGAGCCACCGCGCCTGGCCTAGATGATTGTTTTTTAATGCCTTGAAGAAGAATGTAAATAATAATTCATTTTATGTACATTATTAAAACCAAACAGTAACTCTCGCATTATAATGCAAGGACATTTAGGGAATGTTTACTGACAGTGAGTCATAATTTATTTTGTTTGGCTCTTTACCAAAGTTCTGTTTGTAAATACATACGTATTTCAGTAGCTACCTCCAAATACTTGCTTTTCTCTCATTTACCAGAATGTTTTACCTTAAGATTGCATTTAAAACAATTACTATTAAATCATTCTGTATCTTTCATCAAGAAATTACAGATTCTAATTTTGAATAATAGATATCATTGCATATTTTATTTTATAGAAAGGTACTGTAGGTCATGAAGATGTATTCCTGTCATTAGTCATAATCATATCATGAAGAATTTGTGGGAAATGTCATGTTTGAAGGTTTATTGGTGATTGGATATAAACTGACAAAAAGGAACCTACTTAGCTCATGAGGTAGCTTGAAAGCATAATAAATGTATTACAGAACAATAGGTTAGTGAGTTGGTAATTATGATCGTGATTAGCTTTCGTTTTCTTTCTTTCCTTCTTTTTTTTTTTTTTTTTTTTGAGACAGGGTCTGTCACTCAGGCTGGAATGCAGTGGCACAATGTTGGCTCACTGCAGCCTCCACCTCCCAGGCTCAAGCAATTCTCCTGCCTCAGCCTCCCAAGTGGCTGAGACTACAGACACACACCACCACGCCTAGCTAATTTTTGTATCTTTTTTTGTAAAGACAGGGTTTGGCCATGTTGCCCAGGTTGGTCTGAAACTCCTGGGCTGAAGCAGTCCACCCACCTCGGCCTCCCAAAATGCTGGGATTTCAAGCCTGAACCACTGCGCCAGGCCAGCCTTAGTTTTCAATGTTCAGACTAACATGCTAATAGAGGCTAACTACTTGCCTGAAATAAAAAGGGACAAAATCCAAGTGAAAAAGATTTAGAAAAATAATGTATATGTGAACATAACTGTAGATTTGTATATTAAAGAAATTTAGAATTACAGTGCCTTCATTAAAGATGAAAGTTTATTTCTCTCTTGTGTATAGAGTGGTCCAAGTTGGTGGAGTGGTTCTGCACCAGACCATCATTCAGTTTCCTTCTTCCTTAATTTTCTGCCATGCCTAGGATGTTACCATCATCTACATGAGCAAAGCTGGGTTATAAGCACACTGTGTGTCAGTTCAGGGGAAGGAGAAAGAGCAGCTCTATACCAAGCAAAGTTTCTTTTAAGCAAGTGAGGCCAACATGGTATAGATTCTTTCGGCTCTCAATTCATTGGGGAGATCTTAGTTACAAGGAGACACTTAGACTGGGCCATTATGTGCCTAGGATGTAGGAAAGATGCCTTTGGCACTGTAGGTGTTAGGGGAAGCTAGTAATCACTTTTTTATAAATTTTGGTTTTGTTTTGTTTTTTGAGACAATCTCGCTCTCTCATCCAGGCTGGGTGTGGTGGCCAGATCTTAGCTCACTGCAACCTATGCCTCCCAGGTTCAAGCAATTATTATGCCTCAGCCTCCCAAGTAGCTGGGACTACAGGTGTGTGCCGCCATGCCCAGCTAATTTTTGTATTTTTAGTAGAAATGGGGTTTCAACATGGTGGCTGGGCTGGTCTCGAGCTCCTGGGCTCGTGTAATCTGCCTACCTCAGCCTCCTAAAGTGCTGGGATTAGTTTAGCAGTAAAGGAAACGAGAATATTGTTTAATACAGTGTTAATAAGGATAACTATATTGGAAGAGCTAGGTGTATGGAGAGCATTAAGTGTAAGAATAGAAATTTTGAACTTTTCCCATAAAAAGCGTTTAAAGTTATATGAATATAATATGAGATAAATACATAGCAATGTTAGCTGTAGAATGGGAAACCTCTAGGCTTTGAGCCAGGTTTGGCCTTTTATCTGACGTTACCTGGCCTTTGGGGTATTAATGTCCTCCTCGTGCAGTGCTGTCAAGGAGTGCTCTGCAGAACACTCTTTCCTGTGATTCTTTATATATATATATGTGTGTGTGTGTGTGTGTGTGTGTGTGTGTGTGTGTATTTCTTTCCTTCTTTTTTATTCTTTCTTTTTTTTTTTTTTTTTTTTTGAGTCAGAGTCTCACTCTGTCACCTGGGGCTGGAGTGCAGTGAAACGATCGGCTCACTGCAACCCCCACCTCCCAGGTTCAAGCGATTCTCCTCCCTCAGCCTCCCGAGTAGCTAGGACCACAGGCATGCGCCACAGCACCTGGCCAATTTTTGTATTTTTAGTAGAGATGGAGGTTTCATCAAGCTGGTCTCGAACACCTGATCTCAAGTGATCTGCCCGCCTCGGCCTCCCAAAGTGCTGGGATTACAGGCATGAGCTACTGTGCCTCACCTGTGATTCTTTTTTTTTTTTTGAGATGGAGTCTTGCTCTTGTGCAGTGGCGCAATCTCGGCTCACTGCAACCTCTGCCTTCCAGGTCCAAGCGATTCTCCTGCCTCAGCCTCCTGAGTAGCTGGGATTACAGGCGCCCCAAGCTCAACTAATTTTTGTACTTTTAGTAGAGACGAGGTTTCACCATATTGGCCAGGCTGGTCTCGAACTCCTGACCTCAAGTGATCCACCCGCCTCAGCCTCCCAAAGTGCTGGGATTACAAGCGTAAGCCACCGCACCCAGCCTGTGATTCTTTTTAAAAGAAGCATTCTGTGATCAAGTAAGTTTGGAAATCCCTGTATTCCATATGGCACTCTCTTAAAAATTCATATCAAAGGCTCGAAGAAGTATTGCAGCAAAGAAACCTGTTTAACTTTGATTAACCTAGTATTTCCCAATTTATTTTAGGGGCTATTTTTAAAATATGAAAATCTAGGCTGGATGCGGTGAGTCACGTCTGTAATCCTAACACTTTGGGAAGCTGAGGCAGGAGAATTACTTGAAGCTAGGAGTTCAAGACCAGCCTAGACAACAAATCAAGACCCTGTCTCTAACCAAAAAAAAATTTTTTTAATTAGCTGGGCATGGTGGCATGGACCTGCATCCCCAGCTGCTCAGGAGGCTGAAGTAGGAGGGTGGTTTGAGCCCAGGAGGTCGAGGCTTCTGTGAGCTATGATCATGCCACTGCACTCCAGCCTGGGTGACAGAGCTAGACCCTGTCTCTAAAAAGAGGAAAAAGAAAATCTATGATAACTGGTGCTCTAAGGAGTATAATTTGGGAATAGCTCCCTTGATAAGTTGCCTTAGCATATTCTTTGAGCAGAACCACTAAATACTTGAGGTTTGTAGCAATGGAAGACCTGCAGACAAACTTAACCAATTAATTAACTTGGTTAAGGGCTGTAAGCAGTAAGTGCTATAAGAGAAAGCCTCAGGCCGGGCGTGGTGGCTCACACCTGTAATCCCAGCACTTTGGGAGGCCAAGGCGAGTGGATCACCTGAAGTCAGGAGTTCGAGACCAGCCTGGCCAAACATGGTGAAACCCCCATCTCTACTAAAAATACAAAAATTAGCCAGGCGTGGTGGCAGGCGCCTGTAATCCCAGCTACTCAGGAGGCTGAGGTGGGAGAATCGCTTGAACCCAGGAAGCGGAGGTTGCGGTGAGCCGAGATTACACCATTTCACTCCAGCCTGGGGGACAAGAGCGAGACTTCGTCTCAAAAAAAAAAAAAAAAAAAAAATAGAGACAGCCTCCCTCCTCTCCCTTCCCCACAGAATCTGGGAGCAGCCCCTAACTATTACCACTAAATCTTCCCGGCCTTTGCCTGCCTCTCCATGTTTTTTCCCCTAGCTCCTCTTCTGCTATGCATCTTTCTCCTTGCCAGGTGTCTTACTGTTACAGGAAAGGGGTCCCGATCCAGACCCCAAGAGAGGGTTCTTGGATCTTGCACAAGAAAGAATTCAGGGCAAGTCTGCAGTGTAAAATGAAAGCAAGTTTATTAAGAAAGTAAAGTGGTGAAAGAACAGCTACTACACAGACAGAGTAGGACGTACCTGAAAGTAGCAGGAGGAACGCATCCGCCCTAGGTACAATGCTTGTATATATATGAGGAGATGTGCTCTCTGCCACAAGGGTTTGTGATAAAGGATTAATTTTCTTTCTTCTTCTTTTTTTTTTTTTGGAGACAGAGTCTGGCTCTGTCGCCTAGGCTGGAGTGCAGTGGTGCGATCTCGGCTCACTGCAAGCTCCACCTCCCGGGTTCACACCATTCTCCTGCCTCAGCCTCCCGAGTAGCTGGGACTACAGGCGCCTGCCACCATGCCCGGCTAATTTTTTGTATTTTCAGTAGGGACAAGGTTTCACTTTGTTAGCCAGGCTTGTCTCGAACTCCTGACCTCAGGTGATTCACCTGCCTCGGCCTCCCAAAGTGCTGGGATTACAGGTGTGAGCCACCGCGCCCAGCTAATAAAGGATTAATTTTCTTAATTACCACATTTTGCAAGAATCGATATTATTATCTTTAAAGCAAAATTAGGAATGCCTTTGTTCTCCAGATATTGGAATATCTGGACACTCCCAAGTCTGGGTCTGTTTAGTAAACATTATTAATTTGTTCCCTTAGCCATAAACATCTAGAGGCTAGGAATGCCCAACTTTCTGGGGAACGCAGCCCAGCAAGTCCTGGCCACTTTTTTTTTTTTTTTTTTTTTTTTTGAGACAGTTTTGCTCTGTCACCCAGGCTGGAGGGCAGTGGTGTCATCCTGGCTTACTGCAACCTCTCCCTCTTGGATTCAAGCAATTCTCCAGCCTCCCAAGTAGCTGGGATTACAGGTGTGTGCCACCATACTCAGCTAGTTTTTGTATTTTTAGTAGAGACAGGGTTTCAGCATGTTGGCCAGGCTGGTCTCGAATTCCTGACCTCAAGTGATCCGCCCACCTCGGCCTCCCAAAGTGGTGGCATTACAGGCGTGAGCCACTGCACCTGGCGTCATTTTCCTAGCCCTTGCTCAAAATGGAGTCACTCTGGTTCGAATGCCTCTGACATTAGTCCCCCTCCAGCTTATTTTTATTTTTTCTTTACCCCTTTCCTCTGTCTATCCATACTGATGTTTACTTTCATCCTCTTCCCCCCACCCCATTTTTATTTTAATGTGTCTCTTACTCTTCCATTTCCTTTTAGCTTATCTTCCCTTATCCCACTGGCTTATCTTCTCTTCTCCCACTGGCTACCGCATGTGTCTGTTTTCTCTTCTGCCTCTTCCAAACATCCATATAAAGTTAATGTTTCAAAGTGATTTAATTTATGTACTCTGTTCTTAATTTTAAAAGCAAGCAATATTAACATTTTAAATTTCTTCTTAAGAGACTTTTTAAAATCTCTAAACTAAATTAGTTATTTTTGGTTTTGTTTCTTTTTAAAAAGTCCCTCATTTGATTCTCAGCTCCCTCACTGTGGTTCATGGCCTTCAAAAGAAAACGATTTTTTGTTCCTTCAGTAGAAAATGATTGGTACCAGTCTGGCAAACATGGTGAAACCCCATCTCTACTAAAAATACAAAAACAAATTAGCTGTGCATGGTGGTGCACACCTATAATCCCAGCTACTTGGGAGGCTGAGGCAGGAAAATCCCTTGAACCCAGAAGGTGGAGGTTGCAAGGTTGCAGTGAGCCGAGATTGCGCCCCTGCTCTCCAGCCTGGGTGACAGAGCGAGACTCCCCCTCCAAAAAAAAAAAAACAAATGAAGAAAATGATTGGTGGGTCCATAATTGCATAGGTAACAGAGCAGAGATGACCATAATCACTGCAGTCTACTGTAGTTCCAAGTTATTGTTAATAGAAAGGTCAGCTATAGTTCTATTATCAGGTAATATAATGTCTTAGTTAAAAGTGTATTGTAAGTAGTAGAAATCTAGCCAAATTCATTTATTTATTTGTTTTTTAGAGACAGAGTTTTGCTGTGTAGCCCAGGTTGAAGTGCAGTGGCACAATCATAGCTCACTGCAGCCCAAACTCTTGGGCTCCAGTGATCCTCTTACCTTAGCCTCCTGAGTAGCTAGGACTACAAGCACATGCTATGGCACCCAGCTAATTAAAAAAAAAAAAAATTTGTAGAGACAGGGTCTCGCTGTATTGCCCAGGCTGGTTTTGAACTTCTTGCTTCAAGTGATCCTCCCTCCTTGGCCTCCCAAAGTGTTGGGATTACAGCCATGAGCCACTGCACCAGGCCCAAATTAGTTTAATAGGGAATAAATTATAAATGATACAGATTTCATGAAAGCAAAAGCTCACTGAACATCCAGGTGTTTGGAAGTATGGAATTATTACTATTTTTTTTTTTTTTGAGATGGAGTCTTGCTCTGTCGCCCAGGCTGGAGTGCAGTGGCGCAATCTCGGCTCACTGCAAGCTCCGCCTCCTGGGTTCAAGTGATTCTCCTGCCTCAGCCTCCCAAGTAGCTGGGATTACAGGCACCTGCCACCATGCCCAGCTAGGAAGTATGAAAAATTTTAAAACAAGAGTTTGTGGACTTCCCCTCTAGTCTATTTCCCTTCTCCAACTCTGTTGGCTCCTAGCTCTCAGTCTCTGAGCCTCTTATTCAAACTCTTGAAAGAAAAAATATCTCATTGACTACTTAACTATCCAGTGAATCAGCTCCCCTGCAGTCAGGTTATTGAGTTACACAGACATATAATACAAATGTATTATAACATAAATATACTAAGTAGGTATTATGGGTCAGATAATGTAAATGTATCTGTAAAGGTCCACTTTTTTGGAAAGAGAAATTCACAGAGAAGGGAAATGAGCAGTCACCCCCAAAGTGTCTATTTTATGGTGTTTGAGAGTAAAATGGTATATAAGAATGAGATGGCCAGGCATGGTGGCTCACGCCTGTAATCCCAGCACTTTGGGAGGCCGAGCCGGGCGGATCACCTGAGGTCAGGAGTTCGAGGCCAGCCTGGCCAACATGGTGAAACCCAGTCTCTACTAAAAATACAAAAATTAGCCGGTTATGGTGCACACCTGTAATCCCAGCTACTCGAGAGGCGGAGGCAGGAGAATTGCTTGAACCCAGGAAGAGGAGGTTGCAGTGAGCCGAGATCACGCCACTGCACTCCAGTCTGGGCAATAGAGCAAGACTCCGTCTCAAAAAAAAAAAAAAAAAAAAAGAATGAGACAGCATCGTTTCTAACAAGTGCACCAGAGTGCCAAAAGATGATCTGTGTAGCCAGACATTTTTAGGCACAGTGGCTCATGCCTGTAATCCCAACACTTTGAGAGGCCAAAGCGAGTGGATCTCTTGAGCCCAGGAGTTCGAGACCAGTCTGGGCAACATAGTGAGACCTCGTCTATAAAAAAAAAAAAAAAAAAAAAATTAGGTGGGCATGGTGGAGTGCCCCTGTAGTCCCAGCTACTTGGGAGACTGAGGTAAGACTATCACTTGAGTCCCAAAGGTCGAGGCTGCAGTGAGCCATGACTGTGCCACTGCACTCCAGCCTGGGCAACAGAGAGAGGCCCTATCTCAAAAAAAAAAAAAAGAAAGAAAAAGAAAAAGATTATTTTCAGTGTCTACTCAGAGCATTCAGAACATTTTGTGTGGTTGTATGATCAGTATAGTCTAGAAGCTAGCCAGACATTTGAAAACCTGTGATTATTTTTCTTTCTTTTCTTCTCCAATAAATTAATTGGTTTAGCAGTATATAGCCACAACCTCAGTGTTGCATTAGTCTGTGTAGGTAATTAATACATCCTGAAGTAAACTATTCACGCCTGTAATCCCAGCACTTTGGGAGGCCGAGGTAGGCAGATTGCCTGTGGTCAGGAGTTCAAGACCAGTGTGGCCAAGCTGGTGAAACCCCGTCCCTACTAAAAATAGAAAAAAATTAGCTAGGCGTGGTGGCATCCACCTGTAATCCCAGCTAATTGGAAGGCTAACACAGAGGAATCACTTGAACCCAGGAGGTGGAGGTTGCAGTGAGCTGAGATGGTGCCACTGCACTCCAGCCTGGGCGGCAAAGCGAGACTCTGTCTCAAAAAAAAAAAAAAAAAAAAGAGAGAGAGAAGTAGTTGAACAACCAAGACACACAAAATTATTAATAGTTGAAAATAACGTGGCCGGGCGTGGTGGCTCACGCCTGTAATCCCAGCACTTTGGGAGGCCGAGGCGGGCAGATCACAAGGTCAGGAGATCGAGACCATCCTGGCTAACACAGTGAAACCCCGTCTCTACTAAAAATACAAAAAAAAAAAAAAATTAGCCGGGCATGGTGGCAGGCGCCTGTAGTCCCAGCTGGAGGCTGAGGCAGGAGAATGGCGTGAACCCGGGAGGCAAAGCTTGCAGAGAGCCGAGATCATGCCACTGCACTCCAGCCTGGGCAATAGAGCCAGACTCCATCTCAAAGAAAAAAAAAAAGAAAAAAAAAAAGGAAAAGAACGTAATGAGAGACCTGCCTGGAGTATTTATATTTTAAAGAGAAGGAACACCAAAAGAGATAGCACCTCACCTTGAAATGTTATTTCATCTTGAAATAACATTTCCCTGTTGCAGAAGTATTGATATGTGGCTGATGGGTGTTGGAATTTTCTCTCGTCATGCCACAGCAGTGACCACCTATTCTGACTCACTGGCTTCATGTTGAGCTTTCAAAACAAGGGCTAGAAAAAGTTAAAGATATGGTTGTGAGTCCATGGATCACCGCAGTGAAGTTGTGTGAAGAAAAGTGCTTTACTCAGTCCGAGAGATGAAATTTCCAGGCATTGTCAGTCAATTTGGCTAGCATGCAATGATTTTTTGATAATTTACCTTCCATAGCAATGTGACTTAAAAGTTTGAAGAGGAATTTCTTGGAATTGTCCAAAAATATTTATTTTAATATATAAAGAACCAGTTATTTGTGTCCTGACTGATTTGGAGGGAATTTCCTTTCTTCTGGCCTGCTCTGTCAAGCAGTGGCAAAGAAAGGTAAGCCCCTTAAGTGATACTGAGGTACACACACAGACACACACCAGGGAATATCATCGGATATAATTTAAGCAATATTTTTATTTTTATTATTATTATTATTTTTTTTTTAGATGAGTCACATTCTGTCACCTAGGTTCTAGTACAGTGGCACGATCTCGGCTTTCTGCAACCTCTGTCTCCCGGTTCAAGCAATCCTACCACCTCAGCCTCCCGAGTAGCTGGGACTACAGGCGCACGCCACCACGCCTGGCTAATTTTTGTATTTTTAATAGAGAAGGGGTTTCACTATGTTGGCCCGGCTGGTCTTAAACTCCTGACCTCAAATCATCTGTCTGCCTCAGCCTCCCAAAGTACTGGGATTACAGGTGCGAGCCTGTTTTAATTATCTCAAGAGCAAAATTCCTACAAGCTTATACTTCATGATTTTAATAAATCTGCCTCTAAATGTCAGTAACTGTTAATCAATTCTGATAATATATGATTCAGGGAAGTTTGCTTTAAAAATGACCACCTCGGCCGGGTGTGGTGGCTCATGCCTGTAATCCCAGCACTTTGGGAGGCCGAGGTGGTTGGATCATGAGGTCAGGAGACTGAGACCATCCTGGCCAACGTGGTGAAGCCCCATCTCTACTAAAATACAAAAAATTAGCTGGGTGTGGTGTGGCATGTGCCTGTAGTCCCAGCTACTCAGGAGGCTGAGGAAGGAGAATCACTTGAACCCGGGAGACAGAGGTTGCAGAGAGCCGAGATCACGCCACTGCCTTCCAGCCAAGCGACAGAGCAAGAGTCCATCTCAGAAAAAAAAAAATCCACTTCACACAATCTACCTGTCCTATTATAAGTTAGGTAGATACTAGGAAGTTCCTAGCTATAAGAGAAGACATTATGAAGAAAGATTATACGTTCTCAAATTATAGGCATTGCGTATCATTTTTCTTTACAGTAGCATTTTCAACATGATATTAATAGACGTAATTTGAGAAAAGGGTTTCTTGATCAAATAGTTTTGAAAATGCTGGGTCATTGCAGGACTTCTCAGACGACTTTTAATATACTAATACACATTGTGAACCCCCAAGGCAGATATGGTGTTTCCCAACCCAGAGTCCTATTACACAGTGTTTTGCAGTACTAGTGTTCTGCAAAACATACTTTAGGAACTGATACCTGAAAGAAAAAGTGTAGGCAATTCCTTAAATTTTAGGAATATATTTGAGGACCTCTTGCAGTTTATTCTCTCATATGATTCTCTATGTCTTGCTGATGCTTCTGGATGATTTCCTCAACTCTCCCTTTTTAAATACTTGATTACTATATTTTAGGTAAAGATCTAATAGCTCTTGAGAGTCCCTAATTTTTGTCCCCTCATTCAAAATTAAAAGATTTATCTTCTTGCCTGACCTCTAGTCACTTGTCATATTTTTACACAGATCATATAAAGTATTAGCACTTGTTTTAAGCACAAAGCCTTCCGATGAGAATCACTAGTAAATCTGGATGAAAGATAAAGGAGCAAATGGACAAATGATCATAATTTTAGATTTCTTAGATATAAAAAGGCTATAGAAAGTCTATGGGATTACGAAAGCAAAATTTAATGAAGCTAATAGGAGGGGAAATTTAAGACAGATTCGGGCCAGTCGCAGTGGCTCACGCCTGTAATCCCAGCACTTTGGGAGGCTGAGGCTGAGGCGGGTGGATCACTTGTGGTCAGGAGTTGGAGACCAGCCTGGCCAACATGGTGAAACCCTGTCTCTACTGAAAATACAAAAAGTAGCTGGGTTTGATGGCAGACACCTGTAATCCCAGCTACTGAGGAGGCTGAGGCAGGAGAATCGCTTAAACCTGGGAGAGGGAGGTTGCAGTGAGCCAAGATCGTACCACTGCTCTGCAGCCTGGGCAACAGAGAGAGATTCCATCTCAAAAAAAAAAAAAAAAAAAAAAAGACTGACATTTGATAGAACAGATGGGTAGATCCTAAAAAGATAATCAAAAATGGAATAGAAAGTATAATTTTTGTATAGCAGAGAACTTTTGGAAGAGAAGAAAAAGAGTAAGAGGTAAATTGAAAACAAAGTCCAAGTGAAGAAGAAAGGACACATGAGAAAACTACAGAGGTCAACCACGCTGTGGTCAACATTTTGGCCATTTTGATAGGTAAGTAACTACAGCCATTGGACTGGGAAGGAGCAGAGAGACAATCTAAAACAACAGTCTCTTGATTTATTTGTTTTTTGAGATGGGGTCTTGCTCTGTCACTCATGCTGAAGTGCAGTGGTGTGATCATAGCTCACTGCAGCCTGGAACTCCTGGGCTAATTTTTGTTTGTTTGTTTAGAGATGGGGTCTTGCTCTGTTGCCTAGGCTGGAACTCTTGGTTTCAAGTGATCCTCCTGCCTCAGCCTTCCAAAGTGCTGCGATTACAAGCATGAGCTACCAACACTCAGCCTCATTTCTTATATAATTAATGTCCATAGAGGCTGTTACTTGCCCAAGGCCTTATAGTTTATTAGTGGTTTGCACAAGAACCTAGTTCTCTGAACGTTTTCAGTGCTCTTCCTGCTATGCCCATCCTCTTGTCATGGTTGAAACAAGTTTTAATGGCATGTTGTATGGGGTGTGTGTGTGTGTGTGTATGTCTCCAGAGGGCAAGCTAGAATTTTGTATAATTTCTGTCCTGAAAAGTATTTTGGTTTGCATACAACTCAACTTCCCATCCCTGTAGACCCAAGTTCATTATTATGTTCACCCAAACCACTATTTTATTGTTATATTCTGAAAACAAAAGGAGAAATAGCTTTACACAATAGTAGCAATACAGATAACTGTCAGCAAACACCTATGGCATCAGTAACAAATAACCCTCCCCTCTGTGCAATACTCAGTGACTACACTGCTACACTTAGTAACAGTAATGAACTTTAACACTGAAGTGGAGAAACTTCTGTGAAATGGTTAGCCTTGTTAGATAAGAAGAAGTGTTGGGTATTGGGCAAAGCTGGGCACATACTGAATGTGATGTTCTAAAGCTTCATAAGTACTATGAAATAGCTTTCCAATCCTTAAATGCTGTCCCATTTTTTTTTTCTGGAGAAGATGAAATTAATCAGGACAGGCTGGGCGCAGTGGCTCACACCTGTAATCCCAGCACTTTGGGAGGCCCAGGTGGGCGGATCACGAGGTCAGGAGATTGAGACCATCCTGGCTAACACGGTGAAACCCTGACTCTACTAAAAATACCAAAAATTAGCCAGGTGTGGTGGCGAGTGCCTGTAGTCCCAGCTACTCGGGAGGCTGAGGCAGCAGAATGGCGTGAACCTGGGAGGCGACGGTTGCAGTGAGCCGAAATTGCACCACTGCACTCCAGCCTGGGTGACAGAGTGAGACTCCGTCTCAAAAAAAAAAAAAAAAAGAAATTAATCAGGACAAGGATTTACTTGTGGAAATCCATGCATTTATTTACCTTAAATATATGCCAGGCACTAAAGATAAAATAAATAAGTTATAGTCTCACATTCAAGGTCCATACAGTCTCTGTACTGGGTAGAATCCAGGCTACACTGCTATAACAGACTGCCAAGATATGGCAACTTAAATAATGTAGAGCTTTATTTCTCTCTTATAATAGTAGTCCAGAGGCTGGGTGCAGTGGCTCATGCCTGTAATCCCAGCCCTTTGGGAGGCTGAGGCGGGTGGATTACTTGAGGTCAGGAGTTCAAGACCAGCCTGGCCAACATGGTGAAACCCCATCACTACTAAAAATACAAAAATTAGCTGGACATGGTGGCAGTTGCCTGTAGTCCCAGCTACTTGGGATGCTGAGGCAGGAGAATTGCTTGAACTCAGGAGGCAGAGGTTGCAGTCAGCCAAGATCGTGCTACTGCACTCCATCCAGGGCGACACAGTGAGACTCCATCTCAAAAAAAAAAAAAAATAATAATAGTAGTCCAGAATGAGCAGTCCTGGATAATCAGGGGGCTCTGCCTCAACATCAGTTTCTAGGGTTCTCTAGTCATTTTCATTTCTTAGCAAGCAGGAAGGAAAAAGAGGAAGCATGGGCAATTGACTTCTTCATGTAGATGAATGTCAGACTGCACACGATCCTTCTTATATCCCATTGATCCAAATTTAGTGTCATGGCCACAACTAGCTGCAGGAGAAGCTGGGGAATATAGTCTCTCGATGGGTTGCTATGTGTCAGCTAAAACTCCTGGAGGTCTGTTAATAGATACTGGAGGCTAGTCAGTGGTCTTTCTCACAGACTTATAGCAAAGAAAGAAAATAATCTCGGCTCAAGGCAACCTCCACCTCCCAGATTCTCCTGTCTCAGCCTCCCAAGTAGCTGGGATTACAGGTGCGTGCCACCATGCCCGGCTAATTTTTGTATTTTTAGTAGAGACAGGGTATCACCATGTTAGCCAGGCTGGTCTCGAACTCCTGACCTTGTGATCTGCCCGCCTCAGCCTCCCAACGTGCTGGGATTATAGCCGTGAGCCACCGCGCCAGGCCAGAAAGAAAATAATCAAACAATTGCAGAAAAAGATGGTAAGTACTTAAATAAGTTTCAGTGACAGAACAGGAGGAGGAATTGTCATCTGTGCCTAGGGTGATGACCAGTTTCAGGGGATGTATCCCAAAGGAGGTGATGCTTGATTCTGGGACATGCTGAATATGTCAGTAGTAAGAGGACAGTAGGAAACATTAACAATAGAAAAAGAAGCCAGCCAGGCCAGGCATGATGGCTCACACCTGTAATCCCAGCACTTTGGGAGGCTGAGGTGGGTGGATCACAAGGTAAGGAGTTCAAGACCAGTCTGGCCAAGATGGTGAAACGCCATCTCTACTAAAGATACAAAAATTAGCCAGGCATGGTGGCAGATGCCTATAATCCCAGCTGTTTGGGAGGCTGAGGCAGGAGAATCGCTTGAACCCCAGGGGGCGGAGGTTGCAGTGAGCCAAGATTGTGCCACTACATTCTAGCCTAGGTGACAGAGTAAGACTCCATCTCAAAAAAAAAAAAGAAGCCGCCAGCCATGGTGGCTTATGCCTGTAATCCCAGCACTCTGGGAGGCTGAGGTCAGCAGATCGCCTGAGCTCATGAGTTCAAGGCCAGCCTGGCAACACAGCAAAACCCCGTCTCTACAAAAAAAAAAAAAAAAAAAAAAAGTGGTTTCTTGTGAAGATAGCAGATTGAACATCTGTGTCTATTTTAGCTTTTTTTTCCCCCTGAAACCTTACTAAAATGACAATAGTATTTTTTCCAACCATAAATCCCTGAACAAGGAAAACAGGTAGGAGCCAAGAGCAACAAAATTTTGGAAGCAGGAAAGCAAATGGGGAATGGTAAATGAATTCACAGATTCAAGAAAACTGATTTCTGAGCTAATGGTAAAAAAAATATCTAAAACCCAACCCAATGTATACTGTTGAATCCCCCCCTCCAAGGACTTGGGAAATGGTGACACCAGATACTTCTGGAAGTGGGAGTACTAAAATAAGGATCATTGAGTGTCAGTCTGTTTAAGAAGGATGGGATTCTGCCATTCCTTCCCCCATTCCATATATCAAACAATTTTCTCTCCCCCGCCAACCACATTGGCAAAAAACTGGAAACTTATTCTTTGAAAAGAATCAAAAATAGGGTCTTTGGCTGGAAGCACCAGGCATTTTGAGGTTGGGGTTCCTTATTGAAAGTAAGGGCTTTAAGTGAATGTTGTTATGTTGGATGCTAAAACTGTCTAGCCCCCTTTCTCCACTCAGCTCCTCAGAGTGCTGGCAGTCAAGCCTTCACCCTTCAAGCAATACACTGGTAAAATTGTTTCTGGGGATTCTGACCAAGCCAAGAGGAAAGAATTAAATATACCAACATTTGAGTTTGCTGAATTAAATGGTCCAGCATGATCATCTTACAGTGAGGCATTTAGTCTTCATGAAAGATTTCAAGAAATATTAGGAAATTTGTCATGTGAAACCTAGGGACCAAAACAAACAAACAAACAAACAGGAAACAGCAACTGGAGAAACAGAAACTTAAT
The DNA here is from genome assembly GCF_000001405.40 of Homo sapiens. Lineage (NCBI taxonomy): Eukaryota > Metazoa > Chordata > Mammalia > Primates > Hominidae > Homo > Homo sapiens. The sequence continues at coordinate 107,946,211 of NC_000011.10, forward strand.
AAGGGAAAAAGAGAATGTTAAAAAACAAAAAAAAAAACCTGTCCTTAATTTTCTCTGAGAGATAAGGAAAACATTGCAACCATAAAGGAACAGGATACTATATATATATATATATACACACACACACACACACATATATATACACACACACATATATATACACACATATATATGTGGGTGTATATATGTGTGTGTGTGTGTGTGTGTGTGTGTGTGTGTGTGTGTGTATATATATATATATATATATATATTTTTTTTTTTTTTTTTTTTTTTTTTTTTTGAGACAGAGTCTCGCTCTGTTGCCCAGGCTGGAGTGCAGTGGCGCTATCTCAGCTTGCTGCAAGCTCCGCCTCCCGGGTTCACGCCATTCTCCTGCCTCAATCTCCCAAGTAGCTGGGACTACAGGCGCCCGCCACCACGCCCAGCTAATTTTTTGTGTTTTTTTAGTAGAGATGGGGTTTCACTGTGTTAGCCAGGATGGTCTCGATCTCCTGACCTCATGATCCGCCCACCTCGGCCTCCCAAGGTGCTGAGATTACAGGCGTGAGCCACCGCGCCCAGCCGATACTATTTTTTTTAAAAAAAAGATTATTCTGTCTGGGCAAGGTGGCTCACACCTTTAATCCTAGCACTTTGGGAGGCTGAGGCAGGCAGATCACTTGAGGTCTGGAGTTTGAGACCAGCCTGGCCAACATGGTGAAACACATCTCTACTAAAAATAAAAAATTAGCCAGACGTGCTCGCTTGAACCCAGGAGGCGGAGGTTGCTGTGTGCACTCCGGCCTGGGAGACTTTGGAAAACACAATAGCAAAACTAAAACACTCAATATAAAGTTGAAAAAAAAAATCTCAAAAGGTAGGACAAAAAGACAGTGACTTAGAAAATAGAAAAAGATGATTTTTTTTTTTGAGACAGAGTCTCACTCTGTCACGCAGGCTGGAGTGCAGTGGCGTGATCTCGGCTCACTGCAAGCTCCGCCTCCCAGGTTCACACCATTCTCCTGCCTCAGCCTCCCGAGTAGCTGGGACTACAGGCGTCCGCCACCACGCCCGGCTAATTTTGTTTTTCTGTATTTTTAGTAGAGACAGGGTTTCACCATGTTAGCCAGGATGGTCTTGATCTCTTGACCTCGTGATTCACCGACCTCAGCCTCCCAACATGCTGGGATTACAGGTATGAGCCACCGCGCCTGGCCAAGATGATTTTTCTTTAAACAATAAAGGACTCTAGTCCAACAAGTTCAATATGCAAATATTAGGCATTCCAGAAAGATAGAAGAGAAAAAACAGAGGAGAGAAATAATTAGTAAAGCAATTCAAGAAAGTTTTCTAAAATTTAGGGACTAGAGTTTTCAGATTAGAATGGCCCACCACAATAGATGAAAATAGAAACACTAAGGCAGTCATTATGAAATTTCGGAGCACTGGAACCACAGAGAAGTTCCTACAAACTTCCAGAGAGAAAAAACAGGACACATTATAAAAAAGATCGATCAGGAATCAGATTGGCTTGAGACTTTCCAGAAACAACAGTGGAAACTGAAAGGCAGTGGAGAAATGACTTCAAATTTCTGAGAAAGGAACAGCATCAACAGGCAAAAAAAAAAAAAAAAAAAAAAAGAATAAAAATCTGAGCAAATTCTCTGTCTTGCCATATTATCACTCAACTGTGAGAGCAGAATAAATCAATATGCAAGATTTCAAAATATTACCTCATGTAGCTTTTTTTAAGGAAGCTACTTGAAGATGAAGATGTGCTATACACACACGTACACACACACACACACACACACAAGTAAACCAGGGGTGAAGAGGACATGGGGTACAAGGAACAGCTCTATCTCTGAAAAAGGCAAGGGAACCTCCCAGGAAGATGGTGAAGGGAGATCTTAGGATCACGTGTGTGCTGCAGATACCAAGGACAGCCATGCCAGATTGGAGCAGGGCAGAAGGTTGTAGGAGAGACCTCAGGAAGATGAAATTGACAGAAAAGCTAATGGAAATAAACGTCTTACAATAAGGCAACTGGCAGAGAGTTTGAGATTGAATTATTGAGAAGTACATGGAAAATTTAGCAAAAAGGAGAAAACGAGAAAAAGACGATGTGGTAGGGACATTTAGTGTTCGTATCTAATGCTTCTTTTTTTTCTTGACACATGGGAGGATTATATTTCCCTTCCCTATTGCACTTAGGCAGCGTCATGTGAATAGTTCTGGCCAGGGGATTTGAGCAGAAGTTGCATGTGGTGATTTTAAAGCACAGCCTTCACCCCGCACCCCTCCCCCGACCACCCCCAGCCGAGAGGGATTCTCAGTCTGTCGCCCATCCCCCAGGCTGGAGTGCAGTGGCGTGATCTCAGCTCACTGCAGCCTCAACCTTTCCGGGCTCAGGTGATTCTCCCACCTCAGCCTCCCAAGTAGCTGGGACTACATGTTAGCCAGGATGGTCTCGATCTCTTGACCTCGTGATCCGCCTTCCTCAGCCTCCCAAAGTGCTGGGATTACAAGCGTGAGCCACCGCGCCCAGCTAAAGTTTGTGTTTTTATAAGTTATCTGTATACTTACCACACATCCTCACTTTTCCTGTTCCCCCAACTTGTCAATATTGTTCACCTTAATTTTAGTAAGGTCATTTCTTAGCACTTAGGTTACTCTGACCATGTAGATACTTTTCGTTGTTGAGCCCTGGAGTACGCTATGACTTTCTTTTCCTTTCCTGCACAACTTTTCCTTCCGGTTAATTATCTTGCATATTAATCAAGATGGGCCAGGTTATGCTACAGTAACAAACAACCCAACTCTCAATAGGAAGAACATTAAAGAATTTGGAGCCAGGCCAATGGCTCACACCTGTAATCCTAGCACTTTGGGAGGCCGAGGCAGGCCAATTGCTTGAGCCCAGGAGTTTGAGACTAGCCTGGGCAACATGGAGAAACCCCATCTCTACAAAAATTAGCTGGGTGTGGGGCACGTGCCTGTAATCCCAGCTACTCGGGAGGCTGAGGCAGGAGAATTGCTTGAACCTGGGAGGTGGAGGTTGTGTGAGCTGAGATTGCGCCACTGTACTCCAGCCTGGTGACAGAACGAGACTCCATCTAAAAAAAAATAGAGAAAAGAACAAAAAGAATGATGTTTAAATGACTTGAAAATAAAAGCTGAATAATTTCAGAAATAAAATGAAATGAGAAAAAGATTCACATCAGTTACAAATTCCAGGATGTGGAAAGATACATGAAATCATACGAAACAAAGCCATATAGAAAAAGCCATATGGAAACAAGCAGCAGTCACAGAAATGGTGGGAGAATTATAACCCAAGAAAACATGTCCTTTCATTATGTTAGATCACATAATCCACTGTGTTATATGGAATATAAAATAATATTGAGAAGCTGGTCATTGTCTCATTATTGTTCTGCAAAAGGATACCAGAAAGCACTGGAATAAGTGCCGAAGTCTTTTATACACTTTCTGGTACCATATCAAATAGAAAATAAGCATCCTTTCATTATCACCTTGAAAACAATTAGTGAAGCTAGAAACATTTCTCATTAATTTCCAAATAAATTATTTCCATTTTCACACATAACTTGTTCTGCCTTCCAGAATCCACTGCAAAGTACGATTTAAATTACTACCCATTTAAATGCAGTAGTTCTTTAGAAAAGGTGGATGATTTTGGCCGGGCGCGGTGGCTCACACCTGTAATCCCAGCACTTTGGGAGGCCGAGGCGGGCGTATTACAAGGTGAGGAGATCGAGACCATCCTGGCTAACACAGTGAAACCCTGCCTTTACTAAAAATACAAAAACAAAAAAAATTAGCCGGGCGTGGTGGCCGGCCCCTGTAGTCCCAGCTACTCGGGAGGCTGAGGCAGGAGAATGGCATGAACCCAGGAGGCGGAACTTGCAGTGAGCCGAGATCGTGCCACTGCACTCCACCCTGGGTGGCAGAGTGAGACTCCGTCTCAAAAAAAAAAAAAGAAAGAAAATGTGGGTGATTTCACCTATATGTGTATAGAGTGTGCAATTTTCAGCCCATTTCTCCCCTTTTGACTTTACAAATCCCTACTGTAAATATTGAAAAGAAATAAGCTTTTTTTATATTTCTCTTTTATTCTCCCATTTCCTCAGCATTTGAATGCTGCCTGGGCACAAGCTAATGAGGTATGAACATATTCAGTTGTTTATTTGTTCATTTACAAATAGTGGTAGGACTCATGCATGCCCAGTGCAGTTTTAAACACTAGGGATACAAAGTTTAAAAGAAAAAAAGTCTGGGCGCGGTGGCTCATGCCTGTAATCCCAGCACTTTCGGAGGCCAGGGTGGGCAGATCACTTGAGCTCAGGAGTTCAAGACCAGCCTGGGCAACATGGCGAAACTTCGTCTCTACAAAAAATACAAAACTTAGCTAGGCAAGGTGGCAGGCGCCTGTAATCCCAGATACTGGGATGCTGAGGTGGGAGGATTAGTTGAGCCTGGGAGGTAAAGGTTGCAGTGAGCCAAGATCATACCACTGCACTCCAGCCTGGGCGACAGAGCGAGACCCTGTCTAAAAAAAAAAAAAAAAAGACAAAATCCTTGCTCTCATAGAGCTTATCTTCTAATCGGGTTATAACAAAATAAACTGTAAAAATTATATAGGATGTCAGAATGTATTAATTGCTACAGAGGAAAATAGAGTGTAAATGCTGAGCAGAAGAGAGTCCTAGGGATGGTAAGAAAGCATCACTATCATAAAATGATTATTTGTTATGAAAGAAAAATAAAAGCCACAGGGGAATTGATTCACATATTCAAATGGGAAATATGACCCATTACATCTTGTCAGTATATATATGGCCTCTACAACCACAGACTTGATTTTTGATGGAAAGATCCTGGAGTTACACAAAGAAAAAGAATCTTAAGATTGTTTGTATGAAGAAAGAATATTCTAAGTTACAAGTGCCAAGTTTCAGGATCTTAAGTGAGGGCAGGGACTGTTAGAGTCAATAATAATCAAAGGAGTAGGGAGGCTTGTGTTTTAGCCTCTTGAAAACAGTGCTGAGGGCCACAAGGCAAGTGAAGCAAATAAAATAAAGCATCAACACAATGACTGTTCCCAGAAGGGCAGTAGGAATGTAATGTCATGCTGAAAAACAGGCACCCACAAGGCTAATGCATTCATAGGCTACTTGATGCCAAGAGACTTTGGCATCAAAGTACTTTTGTCCTCTAAATGCCTATTTTACAGTTGGCAAAGCCACAAGAAGGGCATTTCCAGGGTGGGAACATCTGGTTCATTTTACCTAAGGAAGTCAGCAAGTGCTTACTATTTTGTTGCTTTTTTAAGAGGCCTGTGCGTATCCAACAAAATTCATGATAATAACACATAAGATCTATATAATCTTGCCATTTTCAGATTTTTTTTTTTTTTTTTTTTTGGAGACACGGTCTCAATCTGTCACCAACGCTGAAATTCAGTGGCGCAGTCATAGTTCACTGCAGCCTTGGACTCCTGAGTTCAAGCGATCCTGCCACCTCGGACTCCCAAAGTACTGGGATTATAGGTCTGAGCCACTGTGTCCGGCATCTACTATAAATAATCTTGAGCATTCCAGGGCCTATGGAGTTTTGTCCTTCATTTAACAACAGCATCTTATCTTCAGTGCCTTTTAGGAAACTAGACAACTGTTTAATCTGAGATATCATTTACATTTTTTAGAACCTCAGTAATCATGTCATTTGTGTAAAATTCCAAATTCCCCAATAGATCATTCACACTTGATTGCATTAATCATATATTAAGTAATCTTTGTAAATGTATGCAAACTCCAGTGCTGTCAAATAATCCCTTGTCTATATATTATTTTAGGAAAAATAATTAGAGAGGAAAATCAAACAGTTAATAATGTTTACATAAACAAGGCAACCATTTTGTCTCATTATGCTAAAGCAAATATGTATAAGAATGAACCTTGTGGATGAATAAAGTATGGCATATACATACAATGGAACATTATTCCATTGAGTAGAAGGAAATTCTGTCATAGGCTACAACATGGATGGACCTTGAGGACACTGTGCTAAGTAAAATAAGCCAGTCAGGCCAGGCCTGGTGGCTCATGCCTATAATCCCAGCACTTTGGGAAGCCGAGGTGGGCGGATCACCTGAGGTCAAGAGTTTGAGACCAGCCTGGCCAACATGTGAAACTCCGTCTCTACAAAAAATACAGAAATTAGCTGGGTGTGGTGGCGCATACCTGTAATCCCAGCTGCTTGGGAGGCTGAGGCAGGAGGATCACTTGAACCCAGGAGGTGGAGGTTGCAGTAAGCCGAGACCGTGCCATTGTGTTCCAGCCTGAGCAACAAGAGCGCAACTCTGTCTCAAAAATAAAAATAAAGAAGGCCAGGTGCTGTGACTCACACCTGTAATCCCAGCACTTTGGGAGGCCGAGGCAGGCAGATCATGAGGTCAAGAGATCGAGACCATTCTGGCCAATGTGGTGAAACCCCGTCTCTACTAAAAATACAAAAAAAATTAGCTGGGCGTGGTGGCACATGCCTGTAGTCCCAGCTACTCAGGAGGCTGAGGCAAGAGAATCACTTGAAACTGGGAGGTGGATGTTGCAGTGAGCCGAGATCACGCCATTGCACTCCAGCCTGGTGACAGAACGAGACTCCGTCTCAAAAAAATAAATAAAAATAAAAAATAAAACAAGCCAATCAGAGAAGGACAAATACCGTATGATTCCACCTATACATGAGGTATCTAAAAACTCACAGAAGCAGAAAGTGGAATGATGGTTCTTGGAGGCTGTGGGCTGGGGAAATTGGGAATTGCTGTTCATAGGGATAGGATTTTAGTCATGTAAGATGAGAAATTTCTAAAGATCTACTGTACACCTTGGCACTTAAAATTAACAGTGCTGTACACTTCACTGTACACTTAAAAATTGTTAAGAGGGTAGATCTCATGCTATGTGTGCTTCACTGCAGTTTTTTTTAAAAACTGAACTTTAGTCTTGTAAAGCTATGTTGAAAGATATAAGAGATTTGTGAGCTTGTTTTGTACCATTTTTTTCTTACAAAGTCTATGTTGACTCTATTGGTCAGGTCCTTGGTTGCCTGCAACAAAACCAGCTTGAGAACCTTATTCAAAAAAGAGAGTTAGTAGAAGAATGGTTGAGGTGCAGAGACTTGATGGGAAAGTGGAGGCCAGGCTTGGAATGAATCAAAAGATCCTGGGAGTCTGGGCAGTAGGAACTGCAGGAAGCCAGTGTGGTCCCCATGATACTGTTGCCCCCTTTCTGCCTGCTCACCCCCTGCCATAAGAAGCTCCAAATGGCTAGTCGGCAGCTTCAGCTGCTAATTCAGTAGAAGCATCACGGGGTTTTCTAGTGAAAGCATTTCTCCCTTGAATACTAAAACGTTTATATCAGCAAAGTTCAGAGTCACAGGGATTAGATGCAACAAAAAATTTTAGTGACTCATTAAGTGGAATTGTGAGAGGCACCATCACCCTATTTTCACCCTTTGCTTCCCACACCACAGCTTCTGTTTATGGGGAAAAAATACCACCTACTATCTTGCTCACTAATTTAGAATGTAGACATCCTGAAGGATTATGCTAAAATCTTACAAGGTGTCATCTCCTGGAAATGGGCACACCTACCTCTTAATAACCCATTTCACAGTTTTATAGGGCCAGACGCCTCTAGATGATAGTGGTGTGATATGATCAATGAATCCCATGGCATCATTCCATTTCCCTATCTCCACCACTGTTAAGTGAATTACTTGATCTGTGGCAATGTGTAGGATACCATGACTATGTATAAGGCAGTCTGCATGTTCATGGATGGTGGTACTAGCATGGCCTAAATCCAGATTAAATATATTACAATGAGGACATATCTGTGTCCCCTCAATGATGGTCCCCCAGAGTAAGGTACAATATTCAGGATGTCGGTAGCTACTGGAAAACTGGTAGTAAGCAATAACAGTTCAGGCCAACCTAGGTAAGATTAAGTCTATTGAGCCCAGGTACAGCTTCCATCTCCCTACCATGAGTTCAAAGTGGGATAAAAATACTGTTTGATAATTACAGGACAGGACATTTTGTTCCATTGATTATTAAAATTTTTTCATGGCGGGGTCTTTCGGTGGCCATTCACATAAGATACAAGAATGCACATACTCTAGACTCATCAACAGACCTCTTCCTCAGACCTCCTAATTACCAGCCCCGATCTTGTTTTTTACCCAGCATGCCAAACCCTTCGCGTCTGCTCATGACTTGGTGTGGATCTTTACCTACGTCTCTCCAACTCTTCCTCTGGAAAAAGTAAACAGTGAGATGTAGCACTAGAGATTCCACAAATGGAACTTTTCCACTGACCTTCAAGTTCTCCATTGAGCGTGGCTTACTGATGCCAGCATATTGTTTAGAGCCATTTGTAAGACAGACTTGAATTTTTTTCCTCTGTAATTATAGGGAAATCCAGATAAGGCCATGAGTTGAGAGGGTGCTGTAAGAATAGATGTGCTGGGTCTGTGAACTTTGTTATTCCAGGTCCATTCAGGTCCCACCGCATATTCCTTCCTATATATGTGACCTCTCCTTGGTGATGAAGCTCCAGCCTGGTGAATCAGAACACCCAGCTTATGATAGACATTCAGATTGCACAGTCACTTGGTGTTCTACCATCAGGCATTTAGTCTCTATCAAAGCCAAGTTATAAGCCAAGAATTATTTTACAAAAGTATAATAGTATTTGACAAAGAAAGCATGCTTTTTTTTTTTTTTTTTTTTTTTTTTTGAGACAGAGTCTCGTTCTGTCGCCCAGGCTGGAGTGCAGTGGCCCGATCTCGGCTCACTGCAAGCTCCACCTCCCGGGTTCACGCCATTCTCCTGCCTCAGCCTCCCGAGGAGCTGGGACTACAGGCACCCGCCACCATGCCCGGCTAATTTTTTTGTATTTTTAGTAGAGACGGGGTTTCACCATGTTAGCCAGGATGGTCTCAATCTCCCAACCTTGTGATCCACCCACCTCAGCCTCCCAAAGTGCTGGGATTACAGGCATGAGCCACTGCACGCGGCCAAAAGCATGCTTTTATTCCAAAATGCCACTTCTGTAATTGTCCAGTGGAGGTTTCCTGGGCCTGATGAGCATTCCAGGCTGCTAGAGGTACTTCAGGCAGGCACCATTAGATCTGATGGACCATGGGCCAAGTGGGCTTGCACTGTAGCTTGGACCAGCCGAAGGGACTTCTCTTGCTTTCAGCTCTATCAAAGCTAGCAAGCTTTTGGGTTTTCCACTTAATGGATCAGAGAAGCACATTATACTGATAATGTTTCCTCCAAAATTAAAAACGGTTCACGCCTGTAATCCTAGCACTTTGGGAGGCCGAGGCAGGCGGATCACCTGAGGTTGGGAGGTCGAGACCAGCCTGACCAACATGGAGAAATCCCATCTCTACTAAAAATACAAAATTAGCCACGTGTGGTGGTGCATGCCTGTAATCCCTGCTACTCAGGAGGCTGAGGCAGGAGAAGTGCTTGAACCTGGGAGGTGGAGGTTGTGGTGAGCCGAGATCACACCATTGCACTCCAGCCTAGGCAACAAGAGTGAAACTCCATCTCAGAAACAATTATAAAAATTTTAAAAAATGAAAAAGTTTCACCAAGTATTATGCATTTTTTTTTTTAGTAGGGGGTATAAAATATGGTAACTTTTCTTCTTTGGAGAGGTTTCATCAACATACCCCTGATTAAAGGACTCCCTTCCCCCAAGAAACTTCACAGAGATTGCTGGCTACTGTATTTTCATTGGATATATCTTTAGGATGTATGTATTTCTGAATATATAATTTATCCACCCCCTCCAACACTGATAATGCTCATAGCAACTCAATGACCTCAGTGTGAGAACATAAGACCACACTAGTAATAGATATAATGTTGGGCACCTTTCTTTTTTTGCACTGCTAGTATCTCTTTCCCTCAAACTTCCTCACTCTCTCTGATATTTCTCCTATTTTCACAACAGCTATGTAAGTGGCTTAGACCAAATCAACCATTCATTCATTCACTAAGGTGCACTGAATGCCCACTATGTGCTAGGTACTTGAAAACCATTGATATTCAACAGTGAGCAGTATTGACATGGCACCTGCATGACTCTGATAATCAGCAAGCCAGTAGCATGGATCCAGAAAGAGGAAAGGAGGGAAAAGGACGCTATACAAGAGTACTGACCTTGAACACACAATGATCCTGCCCACAGCCTAAGAAACATACTCTAGCCAAACAGAGCAGCCATTTGTCCTTCTATGGAGTGATTAGTAAGAGGGTTAAAATGTGCCTCCAGTTCTCTTTTATGGGGAGAGGAAGGTTGAATGGAACTTCCATTTCTTCCTATAGTAGAAGCATAAATGTGAGGAAAAAAGGAAGAGTTTCTCCTGTTATTAGCAGTATTCCTCAGCAGTGTTGAGTGCCCACTTGGGATTGGTTATAATTAATTCATAGTGACACCAGCCTGCCTGGTTGAGTGATTTTCCCCGGAAACATACAGCTGCATGCTGGACTGATCCAGAGATAGAAGTTTCCCAGATGAATATGACAGAGGGAAAGAGGCTTGGAAATTGAGATATTTCCAAGAGAACAATTATAATGATGTCTCATTGAACTCAAGATATGGAAGAAGGCAAAGGTAGGAGAGTATTAATGGATAGAAAGTGATAGAGTTGGTCAGTGGATTACAAATCTTGATGAAATTAAAGAATCACCACAGTAAAAAAGAATAGACAGGCTGGCAGACTGTGAGGTTTTGATATTTTTAGTGGACTGTGTAAATTTCCAGTTTTGGAGGTAATTAATATTTCTGATGAAAAGGAAATGGATAAGAAAGGAAGAATAGAGAGAAAGGTTTATTAGAGATGAGGGAGTCAAGGAATTTGAGAAGTGACACCAGGCAGCTCATCCAAATGGATGTTGAAATCAGTAAGCAGAATGACAGGAATTGAAACAGAAAGAAAAACAAAGTGCTAAAATCTTTAGTACATGGAGAATGACCAAGCAGTTGGAAGATGACAGCAGTTGGCAGAGCCAGATGGCATAAGCCTCAAAGGAGCAGGAGATTTTTTTTACAACAGGGGTTGGGAAAGAATAATTATCAGGAAGTTGCACTGGGGAAACAGAAGCCATCTCCTCCTGATCCTAGAGAATGGGCAACGTGAGTGTGCTGCAGGGGAAGCAGTGTTCTCAGGGACCAGCAGTTTTCAATTAAGGCAAGGAAAGGAGACTGCTCCTCTGGCAATGGGATAAGATTTGCTGATAGTGTAGCTTTCAAAGTATGAAAGAACCAGCAGCTTTCTTTTATAATTAAAACCAGATCTTCCACTTGAGAGGGACAAGCGACTGCTAGGAGCTTATAACCCCGAACCCTCTCCTCCAGAATTCACCTTCCCTATCATCACATCACCCTCACACTGTATTTAGGGGTTTTGTATCTGCTTTATCATTCTTGCCAGAGAATAGTCTCACCTCTTCATTCCCTCATAACACACCAGACCAGATTAGAATCCATGCCATTTATTTCTCTCTTCCTTCCTTGCTTCTGTTCTTTTCTTCCCTCCATTCCCTGACCCCACAATTTTTTTCCTTCCCTTAAATCATCCATTAATTCAGGGAGACTTTTTTTTTTCTTTCTTTTTTTTGAGACAGAGTCTCTGTCGCCCAGGCTGGAGTGCAATGGTGTGATCTCAGCTCACTGCAACTTCTGCCTCCTGGGTTCAAGCAATTCTCCTGCCTCAGCCTCCCAAGTAGCTTGGACTACAGGCATGCACCACCATGCCTGGCTATTTTATGTATTTTTGGTAGAGACGGGGTTTCACCATGTTGGCCAGGTTGGTCTCGAATTCCTGACCTCAGGTGATCTGCCCACCTTGGCCTCCCAAATTGCTGGGATTACAGGTGAGAGCCACTGCACCCCACCCATTCAGGGAGACTTTCAAAGCCTAGAGGGAAATAGACATAAAGTGCCATACTACAAGAGATTGTTGCTTAAAAATAATTGTTACTCCTCATCAACTCTTCAGTTCCTTACAGGGAGGCCTCCCTACCTAGTGCTTTTAGAGTCTGTTCCCTACCTTCTCATAATTCCTTCAAGAACTTCTAGAGACCTAAGTGTCTCAACTTATGGGAGGAAGGTCAAGAGAAAGATAGCTGCTCCCTCAACACCTCTGTAAGACCTGCCTTTCAGTTCAAGTTTTCCATCTGAAGCTCTGCTTCTTCCCCCAGATGATTGATAGCAACAGTGCCCAATTGTTTTAGGAAAAACACTACCTGCAGGACAACTATATCTGAATCTGAAGCCCCACAGACCCACACACAGAAGCTAGAAATCAGGTTATTACATAGAAGTGACAGATGTTATATTGAGTCCTTTTATTCCCAACTAATTATTAATAAGGGTTTTTTTATAATGTGTATTACATATACTTTGCTATAATTTTATTCTGTAGGATGATTTGCCAACTGTAATCTAAATGTGTTTTCAAAATTAAATACAATCAGTTAATAGGGTTGCTTATTTTAAAAAGAAAATAAAAAATAAGTTTTTTGAAAAGATAGTATTTCCTGGCCGGGCGCGGTGGCTCATGCCTGTTATCCTAGTGCTCTGGGAGGCCAAGGTGGGTGGATCACCTGAGGTCAGGAGCTCGAGACCAGCCTGGCCAACATGGTAAAAACTCATCTCTACTAAAAATTAAAAAATTAGCTGGGCATGGTGGTGGGCGCCTGTAATCCCAGCTAGTCAGGAGGTTGAGGCAGGAGAATTGCTTGAACCTAGGAGGCAGAGGTTGCAGTGAGCCAAGATTGTGCCATTGCATTCCAGCCTGGGCAACAGAACAAAAACTCCGTCTCAAAAAAAAAAAGAAAAGAAAAGAAAACATAGTATTTCCTACAGTGAAAAACATGCCTCTGTGTAATACATAAGCATTTCAGCATTGAGTTTTCAGCCACAAAAGGCATTTTTAAAATATTCTAGTAATGGTAAATTAAATGGATAGGAGGGATAAAAGTGATGCAGGCTTGATGCTGAGTAAATTCAAGCTTTCAGTCTAAGAACATAGCCTTAATTAGATTTCTCTTAAGACACTGCACATCTGCCTAAATTCACACATATAAAGATGAGTGACAAAACAATAACAAATTAGTTATCCCTCAAAGTTAAAATATAGCAACTGCATTATTCATAGCCTGCCAAAGATGGTGGGAGATTTTTCTTATTGTCAATTTCTTTTCTTTTTTTATTTTTAGAATCTAAGCATCGGGTTGGTGAAAAACTCAATTTCTCTATAATACTATAGTCCTTGACAAAAGTTTTTCAAAAATAGCCACTTGGGAATCTCTCTACTAGGAATTCTGAGGAGAAACAGGGAAGCAGGAGAAATAGAAAGAAAGAGGAGGTAAAATGGTTTGCACTCCCACAACAAAGCTATTTATGGCATCAGGGCACTGAACTGAGCTGTGATTTCAGCAATGAGGACAAGTAGGAAAGTATGACGGTAACAAATAACCCACTGGCCATTCACAAAGATCTTGGTGCCTCAGGCAAGTAGTCAGATGAGTTTGCTAAAAGACCATTGACAAACTGGAAACTGAGACTCATGGGATCTCTGGTTTATACAGCATTTAGCACTTTTCCTCTCCAATAAGGTTAATTAATCCAATATTGGCCGCGGTGGCTCACGCCTGTAATCCTAGCACTTTGGGAGGCCGAGGCAGGTGGATCACAAGGTCAAGAGATCGAGAGCATCTTGGCCAACATGGTGAAACCCTGTCTCCACTAAAAATACAAAAATTAGCTGGGGGTGGTGGCATGCGCCTATAGTCCCAGCTACTTGGGAGGCCAAGGCAGGAGAATTGCTTGAACCCAGGAGGCGGAGGTTGCAGTGAGCCAAGATCACGCCACTGCACTCCAGCCTGGGCGACAGAGCAAGACTCCATCTCAAAAAAAAAAAAAAAAATCCAATATAACAAACATTGTATGACATCTGTCATTTGCCATGCAGTATGATTGACATAACAGCAAATCCAGTCAGCATATCAAGAAAATTAAGATAATCATAATGGCAGAATGCCAGTGGTTCAGAGGAACTATAAGAAGAGTACCTAAGAAAGAGGTGAGTGGCAGGGAAGGCTGCTCAGATGGTATGATTATTGAGCTCACTATTGAAGCAGACATAGGAGTTTCTTAGACAGAAAAGGGGTAGAAGATATTCCAAATAGATAAAACAACATGTGGAGGGGCAAGAAACGTAAAACAGTATAGCCTTGACACCTTGCCTCATGATTCAGCCAGGAAACAGATGGCACAATTGTAGGTTAGCCGAAAAGAGTTTAATGAAGTGACTATTTCCAGAGATACAATCAGCATCAAGGATACTAATAAAGGATGGTGAAGCATTCAGAGCTAGCAACAGTGGGAAGCCATTGACCACCTGGTTGGAAGAGGAGAGGACAGAGAATGGTATTACCAGAACGTGGTGACAGCTGTAGCCATGGGAGAGGGTCCACCCTACAGAAACCCTGACTAGAAGCAGAGGAATACCACCACTGCTAAGCCACAGCCCAGCAGAAGCAAACAGAGGGATAAATACTCTGACTTCTCTTTCCTTCTGTCTCCAGCCAGCGCCTCCCATTGGCTGAACCCCCCTGCAAGCTGGAGGGCAAGGGAGTTTGGGAAAGCTTTTTGTGAAGGACAGCTTCCTCAGGCCTAGAGAAGGATGGAGACTAGATCTGGAGAGACATACAGAGAATCGTTAGCACACCTCAGATTCATATCCCAGGTCCATACAGTCTCCTGTTTCTTGAATAGGTGCAACACAAGACTGTACCTGTAACTAATACTGTGACAAGTCTGCTGTCTTCGTGAGTTTGGGCTGTTATAACAAATTACCACAGAATGGGGATTTAAACAACAGAAATTTAGTTCTCACAATTTTGGAAGCTGGAAGTGGATGATCAGGGAGATCCTGGTGCCAGCATGGTCAGGTTCCAGTGAGGGCCCTCTTCTGGGTTGCAGACAGCCACCTTGTATCCTCACATGGTAGAAAGAGGACTAGAGTGCTCTCTGGGGTATCTTTTTTTAAGGGCACTGGTCCCATTCACGAGGGTTCCACCCTCATGACCTAAATTACATCCCAAAGGCCCCTCCTCCTAATCCTAATACCACCACATTAGGGTTAGCATTTCAACATAAGAATTTGGGAGGGACACAGACATTCGATCCATACTACAGCCCTTGTTTCTTTTTCCTAAACTGATAGAGAGAAGAGTTCATTAAATTTTATGACAAGTGAGATTCTTAAGATCTAGTTTGTTGTACAACCTGTGCCCTTTACTCAGTCTTTCAATATGCTTATTTTTAACCACAATGATGTAATAATCTATCAGATTTTTGAAAGCAAAAACAAATAATCAGACAGTATGAGATGACATAGCATGTAAGTGCTTATTTGTCTAACTAAAAATAACTACTACTTTCGTGTTCTGTCAGTGTATGAAACTTGCGTATTAGTCCCATAGAATATTTTTGTTCACTTGAGATACCTCATATTTTATTTATAAATTCTAGTTAAATCATATTAAGATATCTTCAAATGTTATTATGGTGCTAGATTGTTGGAAGGAGAAGAAAAAGAACAAGTTGTCCTTATACAACCTTTTTTCTCTTCATTTTTCAGATCAATAACCCGATCTTATTACCGCAACTCAGTTGGTGGATTTTTAGTATTTGACATTACTAACCGACGATCTTTTGAACATGTGAAAGATTGGCTAGAAGAAGCAAAAATGTATGTACAGCCATTTCGGATTGTATTTCTGCTAGTGGGACATAAATGTGATTTAGCTTCACAACGTCAAGTTACAAGGGAAGAAGCTGAAAAACTGTCAGCAGACTGTGGAATGAAGTATATAGAAACCTCAGCAAAGGATGCTACAAATGTTGAAGAATCCTTCACAATCTTGACGAGAGACATATATGAACTTATTAAAAAGGGAGAAATTTGTATTCAGGATGGCTGGGAAGGGGTTAAAAGTGGTTTTGTTCCAAATACTGTGCATTCTTCTGAGGAAGCAGTAAAGCCCAGGAAAGAATGCTTCTGCTGACTTCAAACATGCTGAAGAACTAACAGGAACAGATTGGGTGTCAGTTCAGGATAAATACCAACATTAACAGCAGAATGATGCAATGAAAGAATTTAAAAAGGTTACAAACCCACACCAATACTATTTTATAAGGTATTTGATTCAGAGCATGATGCTTACTTGTTACACTACTAGATTGGGTATTTTGCTAAATTACCAAGCAAAGCAGACAATCTTTTTCTTGAAATTACCTCCATTCTTACTTTGTTAGCATACGCTGACCTTAGTGTCCAGATATGTCACTATTACTCATTTTTCTTGACAGTTCAAATGGATTTTTGTGCATATATAGTCAATTGAAAAGATTTTATCAGGAATTACATTCTCTTGAGTTAATTAATATTGAATAGCAAAATGCATTTAAATATGCACTGTTCACCTGCAGAGTAAACAATCTCAGAAGTATCGACTAGGACGTAAATAGCAGTTCCTTATATAAAGTACCAGGTTTTTTCCCCATTCTCTGGAAATGTTTGTCCTCCCTTAATTTTGCCTCAACACAAGAAAATAAGTTTTATGTCCATTTTTGTTCCCTAATTTATTGCTTCTAAAAATGCATTATGTTTTACAAAGATATCTAAGGATCCAAGCAAACTACTTTAAGCAAATATTTGTAAAATTAAAAACGGAGGACCGCTCACCAAATGTTTGAAATGTTGCTTTTTTTTTTTGAGACAGGGTCTTGTTTTGTCACCCAGGCTGGAGTGCAGTGGGGCAATCTTGGCTCCCTGCAACCTCTGCTTCCTGGGTTCAGGTGATTGTCAGTACCTTACCTCAGCCTCCTGAGTAGCTGGAACTGCAGATGTGCGCCACCATGCCCGGCTAATTTTTGTATTATAAGTAGACACAGGGTTTCATAATGTTCCCCAGGCTGGTCTCCAACTCCTCGCCTCAAGCAATTCGCCCCCCTCGGCCTCCAAAGTGCTGGAATTATAGGCATGAGCTGCCGTGCCTGGACTATCAGCAGCACATGTTTTGCTGTTACGGTGTACTGTTCGTATTTAGACAAGAAGAACAAAATTTATTTATGTATTGACATTTTCAAAGAAAGTAAATGCAATTTACTTTGAACTATTGTCAAAATTATTAATATAGGTAAACATGGAATGTTTTTAATAATAGCATTTTTGTCCAAGTAAATTTCCAAATTTCCTAATTTCCAATATGAAAAGAATGCAGAAAAGATTTTTCTGGGGAAGAAAAATTGGTTAGATGCTTGATATATTTAGCCTTCAAATTGCATTTTACAATCTCATCAGTACAAGTTAAGATAGAATAATCAATTAAGACAGTAAAATGACTTTTGAGTTTCCTAATTTTTAACTTATTGATTAAACTCTCCTGGAAGGGATATTTTGATCATAGTGTCAAATATTTTATAATGTACATTTCTATTCTGTTCTGTAAACTACTCTTAATCACAAAAGAGTACCAAGTGAAGTTTTTTGGAATCATAAGGTTTTTACTCTTAACCTTTAGTTGCTTCATTTGTTTGAAAACCAAAGTGGCATAGTAGAAAGAATATTTAATAAGAAATCAGAAAACTTGGTTACCAATATCTAACCATGAGTAAGTCACTTGACCTCTCTAAGCACCATTTTTCTTATCTGTAAAATTAGGCTAATAACCCCATTTATTAGTGTGTTTCATGGAAAATTATTTTGAGAATCTAGTGAATGATGCAACAAACACTTTGTAAATAGAGTAAGCATTTTGAGATTGATATGCTGCTCATGGGCATACTATTATATTTACAATGGGTGAGAATTTTGTTTTCTCATGATTTTTCCTTTCGTTCCTATGCAGAGGGAGTAGAAAAAGATGTGTGTCTTCATGGACCCGTAGGAATTCTTGATTGATGCATATCCTCTGCTTATTTTTTTTGGCGGGGGTGGGGGGCGAGGGGGCCGAGGTCTTGTTCTGTTGACCAGGGTGGAGCGCAGTGGCATGATCACAGCTCACTGCATCCTGGACCTCCCAGTCTCAAGCGAGCCTCCCACTTTAGCCTTCTGCTAGCTGGGACCACAGGTGCACGCCACCACGCCTGGCTAATTTTTTATTTTCTATAGAGAAGGGGTCTCCCTATGTTGCCCAGGGTATAGGTCTCATACGCCAGGGCACAAGTCTCATATGCCAGGGCACAAGCAATCCTTCTGCCTCGGAGTCCCAAAGTCCTGGAATTACAGGCATGAGCCCCTGCGCCCGCTTCCTCTGCTTTTTTTACCCTGAGCTATTGTTCCTGCAAAGTGGAAATAATAGAGAGGGACGTTCCTGCAGACTTAACCCAATCAAAAGTCACGTTTGTGCTTTTTGTGCATCTTTGAAGTAAATATTTAATTGTATTTTCAAATACTTGTACATTTTCTGGGTTCATGTATTTTTAATTGTGCTTATGGAGAGATTATAAATTATAACTATATAAGGTATGACTATTTATATTGTCAGCATTTTCTTGATATCATTAGGTTAATTTCACATGAGTTCAAACCGTAATTAACCAAATGAGAAAATACTTGTCCCCCAAAATGTGAAGTAGTCCATTTTACTGTTACAGTTTTCAATATTATATGACAATTTCCCATCAGTCCAAAATGGCATAAACCCCAACACTGAAAATTTAGCAGTTGAAAGTACAGTCACCTGTGCCTACTTCTAAAGTTAAATAGCTAAAACATAAAATATGATTTAAATTTCAGTGGACACCCTTTATAATACTAATGTCAGGAGAGACTAATATTTGGGCTGAAGGATATCATGTGTTCCAAAATTTAAACCAGAGCTAAAGAACTAGAAGAAACAAATAGGAAGGCAGGGCCCAAAATTCAAGGCATGAACAGAAGGAAGCCTAGAACTCGTCTCCTAGCACCTTGTTCACCACACTGTGCTTGGTGTGTGTATGTTGGGTGGAGGGAGGGGAAGGGAGGGAGAGGATGTCAAGAAAAGGGGAAATGTGTTCTAACTGAATCCACAAAATACTAAAATAGGGTTAAATAATTTTTATATTATAGAGGAGCTATTTATGGTAAAATAATAGTAAAGTGAACAACGATTACTGCAAAAATCTGAGTGCTTGTACAAGATTGCCAAACATCTGTCTAACCTTAGCCAGTTATCTTTATGCATTTATATATGTATATAATAGCTGACCTATTTTCTTACACATCGTTATAGAGAATATGGATAACGATGCCAAAATAGTAAAAATATTTGCTCCAGGCAAAATGCTTTTACCAAGTTTCTTAGAAATCAAATATCCTTGATTTTATATTAAAGTTACTTTATTTAAAATTTAATTTAAATTTTAAAATGTAAAACTAGTAAATGATGTAGCTAATTACTAAATAGTTTAAGTAAATGTGGTTTTTTTGTTTTGTTTTGTTTTTTGTTTGTTTGTTTTTTTTGGGACGGAGTCTGGTTCTGTCTCCCAGGCTGGAATGCAGTGGTGCAAACTCAGGTCACTGCAACCTCCACCTCCTGGGTTCAAACAATTCTCCTGCCTCAGCTTCCTGAGCAGCTAGGATTACAGGCGTGCACCACCACATCCAGCTGATTATTATTATTATTATTATTATTATTATTATTATTATTTTGTTTTGAGACGGAGTTTCGCTCTTGTTGCCCAGGCTGGAGTGCAATAGCGCGATCTTGGCTCACCGCAAGCTTCGCCTACTGGGTTCAAGCAATTCTCCTGCCTCAGCCTACCGAGTAGCTGGGATTACAGGCATGCGCCACCATGCCCGACTAATTTTGTTTTGTTTTGTTTTTTTAAGTAGAGATG
This sequence comes from Homo sapiens, assembly GCF_000001405.40. Classification (NCBI taxonomy): domain Eukaryota; kingdom Metazoa; phylum Chordata; class Mammalia; order Primates; family Hominidae; genus Homo; species Homo sapiens. Next base: position 107,966,190 of record NC_000011.10, read on the forward strand.
GGGTTTCTCCATGTTGGTCAGGCTGGTCTCAAACTCCGGACCTCAGGTGATCCACCCGCCTCAGCCTCCCACAGTGCTGGGATTACAGGCATGAGCCACCGGTGCCTGGCTGTAAATGTGATTTTTTTTTTAAAGAAATAATAACAGTCCAATTCTTATCGTAAACTTGTCCCTGATGGAAACTGCTCATCTTGAGCTGCATTCACACTCCCAGTTCATGTAGTGATGTGATAGTAAGTATAAGCCAAAATGTTTAATCAGAATGTTTTTTAATGTGGCTTTTATATGCATAATAGTGGCAAACAAGATTTCCTGAGCCTGGAAACTGGAGAGTTTATTCTAGATTTCCAAAAGTCTCAAGCATTCCATACTTTTTGTGTGTGGCAACCAAAACAGTCTTTTATATTATTGTTAAGATAACTTTACCGGAACAAAGTCTTTCTATCCAACTTTACGTCATTAAAAAATGAATCTATGGATTAATAAAATCATTTTAAGAGTATTTTTGTCAGATTTTATACTGCCCTTGGTTCAGTTAAGAACAAAGCTTTCAAAGCAGCTTTAAAGAGTGCACTGTATTTGAATAATTTACTGGCCGGATGCGGTGGCTCACGCCTGTAATCCCAGCACTTTGGGAGGCCGAGGCGGGCGGATCACGAGGTCAGGAGATCGAGACCATCCTGGCTAACACGGTGAGACCCCGTCTCTACCAAAAATACAGAAAAAATACAAAAAATTAGCCGGGCGTGTTGGTGGGCGCCTGTAGTCCCAGCTACTCGGGAGGCTGAGGCAGGAGAATGGGGTGAACCTGGGAGGTGGAGCCTGCAGTGAGCCGAGATCACGCCACTGCACTCCAGCCTGGGCGACAGAGCAAGACTCCGTCTCAAAAAAAAAGAATAATTTCTTTAGGTCTCACACAGTGAAAAGAACTCGCAAGACTAAAGACCCATTGATAAACTAACTTATCTGTTTCTCAGTAACTACCTAGAAAGATTTCACTTGGACATGCAAAGGAAACATGTAATCTTTAAGAAAAAACAGAAAGATCCTCTTTCAGCATGGGGAGCTGAAAAAAGAAAAAACCGAAAGACTACAAAGGTTTTACTTTTTATTTGTTTTTTAGAGACAGGGTCTTGTTCTGTCGCCTAGGCTGTAGTGCAGTGGCACAGTGATAGGTCGTGGGAGCCTCAAACTCCTGGCCTCAAGCGATCCTCCCACCCCAGCCTCCCAGAGTGCTGGGATGACAGGCATGAGTCACCACGCCCAGCCTATAAAGGCTTTAATCTTAGATTCTATGTATTTTAAATGGTAGGATACAATCCCAACCAGAAGCTAACTCTTGGAAATTTCACAGCTGATAAATAGACATCTCTGCTTCAGAATCTTTCTTAACTGAATGTTTTCACCAAATCTTTCTGAGCTACTGATCTTCACTTGATCTTAAAATAACAAACTGATCTGAACCTTAATGAACTGCTGCATGACCTGGTGTTTCTATACTGCTAATGACTGATGCAAGTAGACACATGAGTGATGAGCTGTGACAATCTATATCAATCATTACACAATCTAGTTCACTTACTGCACATAATCATGGTAGAAAATAAATGAAAACAAAATTTTAAGGTATAAAAAATTAGTGTACCTCATTATTATTTCTGGGTAAATTTTTTGTCTTTTAAAAAATAGTGCCTAAAACATTGTCTTATCTATGTGACATTCAGTGACTACTAATTGATGGTTATTGTGTTGAATTACTCCTATTAAATGTGGGTTCCACATACTTGGTTTCAATTTATACATTCCATGGAAGAATAGACATGTTTTATTATCATCATCTCTTGGCATTTTTTTTCAGGATAACAGACAATGGAAGTAGGATAAGTGTAAACTTTTTGAAGTATGTTATTAATGTTATTTGATTTTAAATAATGAATAAAAGAATGAGAATGAGAACTATGATTGTCATAGAATTATGGTATCCATCTTTTTTTTTTTTTTTTTTTTTTTTTTTTTGGAGCGGTAGCAAGGTTTATTGTGAAGAGCAAAAGAACAAAGATTCCACAGCGTGGAAGGGGACCCCAGCAGGTTGCTTCACGGTATCCATCTTTAACAAGCCATCTTTGGTGGTGCTTTTAAAATAGAAACAACTATTTAACTGCAATTTTGTGTGTATGTATTCACAAATGAAGGGCAAAAAAGAATCAATTTGAGATCCACAATACTTTACATATTACATCATACCATGGTGGAATGTGGGGTAGAACCCCATAATCAGACATTAATATTTGTACAGCAAATATATGAATATTCACACCATAAGAGATAAGATCTATAAATAACCTGTCATTAGTTCGGGTCAGGTTTTTGTTGCCAAATGAGTTGTAAAAAGAATCTTTGATTTTTCAAAGCTTTTTGGATTTCAGAATTGCAGAAAAGGGTCATGTACTATGTACTATGCCTTGTACTATGCTTTAACAGATGTTTCAAAATTTGTAACTTTCCTCTACTTGGCTCATCTTTGTCATGCTTCAACCTTGCACGTAGTGGGAGCTTATGAAATTTTGAATTGAGCTGTTAAATCACACAGAAAATATTTATACCTTCTGCATAAGCAGTTAACTATGTAAAATGTTTACAACAGTGCTTGGCACATAATTATATTATTATAATTATTATTTTTGAGACAGAGTTTTGCACTTGTTGCCCAGGCTGGAGTGCAGTGACGCGATCTCGGCTCACTGCAACCTCTGCCTCCCGGGTTCAAGTGATTCTCCTGCCTCAGCCTCCTGAGTAGGTGGGATTACAGGTGCCCACCACTACATCCAGCTAATTTTTTGTATTTTTAGTAGAGACAGGGTTTCACCATGTTGGCCAGGCTGATCTTGAACTCCTGACCTAAGGTGATCCACCTGCCTCGGCCTCCCAAAGTGCTGGGATTACAGGCGTAAGCCACTCCTCCCGGCCCTGTTTTATTTTTAGTATCATTCTTATTATAATCACTAAATTGTCAAGAAGCTAAGCTTAATCCTTATTGTTGGCTAGAAACTTGATAATGGCTCTCTGGCTAGTTCATTTTAAGTGGTCATGACTCCTTGAAATGGCCTGATTCTTAGAGAAGAATACTTCAGTAGTGCCCTAAAGGACATAGAGCTCCTGGGGATTGCTGGTCATCAACAACAGCATCTGACCAGATGGACAAGGGCTTGAAGGAGTGTCCCAACAGCAGTACTGCAAATTCACCAGCAGGAAGAGTTAGTGCATGTACCCAGTGTGGTAAGGACTGTGGGTCAGAGAACTAGGCTTTTAGTTTGCATAAAATGATTATCACTAGCATCATTTTCTAAAAGTTTTTTTTTTTTTGGTAACAGCTTTGACATATAACTTACATGCCATACAATTAAATCATTTAAAATGTACAATTCAGTGTGTGTTTGTCCACTTGTGCATTGCTTTAAAGAAATACCAGGCTGGGCACAGTGGCTCATGCCTGTAATCCCAACACTTTGGGAGGTTGAGGCAAAAGGATCACTTGAGGCCAGGAGTTCAAGACAAGCGAGGGCAGCATAGTGAGATCCCATCTCTACAAAATTTTTTTTTAAAAGTAGCTGGGCATAGTGGCACACACCTCTGGTCCCAGCTCCTTCGGAGGCTGGAACCCACCAGGCCCAACCTCCAACATTTAGATTACATTTCTACGTGAGATTTGGAGGGGACAAAATACCCAAACCACATCACAGTGGTTTTTAGTAAATTCAGTTGTGCAACCATCAACATAATCTATTTTAAAACATTTTCATGACCTCAAAGAGAAATCCCTGTACCTTTAGCTATCATCCCAACAGTCTTCATCCCCCCACTGTACCCTACCCAGCACCAGAGTCCTAAACAACCATTAATCTATATACTTGCCTATACTGGATATTTCACATAGATGGCAGGTAGGAGGTGGGACTCAACTTGGAAGCGGGGCTTGAACACCGGACCAAATTGAGTACTAGCTCAAACAGGGACTGGGTAGAAGCAGCTTTCCATAAGACACACCCACCAGTGTGCCATGTCAATTTACCATTGCCATAGCAACACCTGGAATTTACTGCCTCTTTCCATGGCAATAACCGGGAAGTTACCTCGCTTTTCCTAGAAATTTCTGTATGATCTGCCCCTTAATTTGCATGTAATTAAAAGTGAGTGTAAATATGACTGCAGACCTGCCTATGAGCTGCTTCTCTGGGCACGTTTGCCTATGAGGTAGCCCTGCTCTGCAAAGAGCAGTAGCTTTGCTGTTGCAGCCCACCACTGCTTCAATACAAGTTACTAACACCTCGCCCTTGAATTCTTTACTGAGTGAAGCCAAGAAACTGCGTGGACTAAGACCCAATTTGGGGGCTTGCTGGTCCTACATCAGATGGAGTCATATAGTGTGTGGCCTTTTGTGACCAGCTGCTTTCAATTAGCATAATGTTTTCAAAGTAGGAGCACCTGACTGGGCGGGGTGGCTCATACCTGTAATCCCAACACTTTGGGAGGCCAAAGCGGGTGGATCGTCTGAAGTCAGAAGTTCGAGACCAGCCTTGCCAACATGGCAAAATCTCTTCTCTACTAAAAACACAAAATTAGCTGGGTGTGGTGGCGTATGCCTGTAATCCCAGCTACTTGGGAGGCTGAGGCAGGAGAATCACTTGAACCCGGGAGGCGGAAGTTGTAGTGAGCCGAGATCACGCCATTGCACTCCAGCCTGGGCGACAGAGCAAGACTCCATTTCAAAATAAATAAATAAATAAGTCAAAGTAGTAGCATCATTTTAATTAAAAATTTTCCCATTATGTAATAAATACTAGTTCATTGTACAACATTTGGAAAATACAGAAACATAGAAAGAGAGAAATCGTCATTAGACTAGGTCCAGCTAATTATTTTTTGTAGAGATGGGGTCTCCCTATCTATGTTGCCCAGGCTGGTCTGGAACTCATGGGCTCAAGCAATTCTCCCACTTCAGCCTCCCACAGTGCTGTGAATACAGACATCAGCCACCATGCCTGGCCCAAAAAATCATTTATTTACTTCCAATAATAGACATTAAGATTGTTTTCAGAGCCAGGCATGGTTTCTCATGTCTGTAATCCCAGCACTTTGGGACACCAAGGGGAGGGGGGGCGGGGATTGCTTGAGCCCAGGAGTTCCGGCAGTACAGGGAGACCCCATCTCTAAAAAAAAAAAAAAAAAAAAATTAGCAGGGCACGCTGGCACACACCTGTGGTCCCAGATGCTTGGAAGGCTGAGGTGGGAGGATCACTTGAGTCTGGGAGGTTGAGGCTGCAGTGAGCCGATATTGCGCCACTGCACTCCAGCCTGGGTCACAATGAGAAACTGTCTTAAAAAAAAAAAAATAAGAACATTTGTTTCCCTCAGATCCTCATTAATACTTAATAATGGCAAAACCTGGTATATTGACAAATGATGGGCAAAAAAATCCCATTTAATTTACATTTTTCTGTTCTTCTGAGTACATTAGCTTTCATAAAATGTATTGATCATTTGTATTCCTTTGATGAATTGTCTAATTGTATCCTTTTCCAATTTTCTATTGGATTGTTAGAATTTTTCTTATTGATTTTTTAGGAATATCCACTATACTACGGAGAGAAATACTTTGTTTTGTATGTTGAAAGTATTCTCTTCCAGCCTGTTAAGACTTGTTTATGCTATCTTTTGTTGTGAAGTTTTCATTTTCAGGCATCTCAAGTCTATTTTTTTCCCTTGTGTCTTCAAGGACTGTGTCTTCATTAGGACCTTCTTCCCCAGCCCCAAATTATAAAATACTGTCCCATATCTTGTTTTTTATATTTATACTTTTAGATAGCAGAATTTTTTTTAATTTTTAAATTTTTAAATATATTTTTTGAGACAGGGTCTTGCTCTGTCATCCAGGCTGGAGTATAGTAGCACGATCTTGGCTCGCCACAGCCAACCTGGGCTCAAGCAATTCTCCCACCTTAGCCTACTGAGTAGCTGGGACTACAGGCGCATGCCACCACACCCAGATAATTTTCCTTAATTTTTTGAAGAGACAGGGTTTTGCCATGTTGGCCAGGCTGGTCTGGAACTCCTGGGCTCAAGCGACCCACCCGCCTTGGCCTCCCAAAGTGCTGGGATTACAGGAATGAGCTACTGTGCTTGGCCCAGAACTTATTTATATATGGTACAATATAGAGGGATTTTTTCTTTTCTTTTTTTTGATTCGGAGTCTCACTCTGTCGCCCAGGCTGGAGTGAAGTGGCATAATCTCAACTCACTGCAACCTCTGCCCCACTAGGTTCAAGGAATTCTCCTGCCTCAGCCTCCTGAGTAGCTAGGACTACAGGTGCACACCACCACACCCAGCTAATTTTTGTACTTTTAGTGGAGACAGGGTTTCACCAAGTTGGCCAGGGTGGTCTCGAACGCCTGACCTCAGGTGATCCACCTGCCTCAGCCTCCCAAAGTGCTGGGATTACAAGCATGAGCCACCGTGCCCAGCCGGGATTTTTTTCTGAGTAAGTAATTCATAATTCCAATGTCATTTATTCCTCTCTCCAAACATTTGAATTGCCATCTTTATATATACTTTCTCTATATTTATATATCTATATTTTAGCTCTATCTGTATCTATACAGAATCTGTTTCCAGACTATTCAGATCCACTTATTATTGGTTTAATGTTGAGCTAATACCACACTTTCATTTACTAAAACTTTAAAATATGGTTTGATGATGACTATCCCAGTTGCTATAAGCTCCCCCATCCCCACCAGCAACCAGACTATGGTCCCTAAATACTATTTCCCACTAAAAAGAACCAAGGTTTTTTGGTGAAATGGCTGATTCCTAGTCTGAGGCAGGAAATGTATAAAATGAGTCTGGGCATCTTGTCACACCAGAAAATAAGGAAGCTACAAAAGAATATTAAGAACTTGCCAAAGCACTTAGAAGCAAACCTGAAGAGGCCAAAGCTGGGACAATACGAATATCAAAATGAATAATAGTGGAGTAAAAGAACATTAAGTACTTATAAATCTATGAGTTCGAAATGACACTAAAATAATAATAATTGTGTAGTGAAAGGAGCCACTTACACTTTTATTCCATGATCCCTAGACCCATGGGGAAACTTTAGCATATAATGGTCTCTGATTCAAAGACTATACAATACTGCATCCTAAGAGACAGAACCCTATCCTTTCAGATTTGTATCTACTAAATGGCGGTATAACTGAGTCTTCAGTAAGCCATTTTACCTTTCAATTAGGTCAACTGCTTCTGGGCGATGAGATATGTGGTAAGACCAAATAATTCCATAGGCATGACCCCACTGCTGCAGTTCCTTTACCACGAAATGAGTTCCTTGATCAGACACAATGTTAGGGATGATGGCATTACCTGGATAAGGCATTCTGCAAGTTCAAGGATGGTACTGCTGCCAAAACAATTGCGAAGAGCAAAGGTAAAACCACATCCAGAATATGTATCTATTTCACTAAGAACAGATCTCTGCCCCTTCCATGATGGAAAAGGTCCAATGTAATTAATCTGCAATGGACAGCTGGTTGATTCCTGTGTGGAGGATTCCTAAGACCATGCCAAGGTTCAGTGATTCACCAGGAGGATTCACAGGATGCAGCATATAGTTGCACTCACAGTTGTGACTTGTTACCACCAAGGATACAAAGGAAATCACCCAAGGGAAAAGGTGCATGGGATGAAGTCTTGGGAGAAGGCACATGCTTCCAATGATCCTCTCTGGGTAGAGTCACACAGGATGTACTCAATCTCACCATCAGCTGTTGTGACAATATGTGTGAAATGTTGTCTACCAGAGAGGTTTGTTAAGAGACTCAGTGCCCAGGGTTTTTACTGAGGGCTGGTCACACAGGCAGCTTCTTCCTGGAACATGTCAAAATTCCAGACTTCCTGAAGGAAAGTAGGAATTCAGCATAAACTATATGGTTTATATGGACAGTTTAGGCATGATATACCATTTTTATCCATTCTGGGAATGGTGGGAACCCTCCTGAAACCCAAGTTCCTAGATGCCAGCCAAGGGCCAAGCTTGTAAGCAGACCTTTCAAAGTATAGCAGTCAGGCCTGCTATGTTAACTCTTTTCTGCCTGGTCTCCCTGGGGAATAATAACAAGTCAGGGGCCCCATGTTGGTCTCTTTTATTGGACATTCAGTGGGGGCAATAGCTAGGTCACAGTTGGCAAGTTGGGGCCCATGCTGTTGAGTTCAAGCACAAAGCAAGGCAAAGGAAGTTAAATTTGGTGCCAGAAGCCATCAGATGACAACTCTCAAAGCTGCTGCAATCTACTTCTTCATTTAAGTTTGGGAGCAACCCTCCAGGACTCCAGTGGACCTCTCCTTACAGGGAAACTTAAGAAGAAGAGGAAGGTTAGTGGAACAAAATACAAGAAGCTTCTTCGGCAACTAGTCTCAAGGCCACAACTGACACTCATCATCTTCTCCTCTACAATCCATTCTGGATTCCCCTCACCCTCATCTAGCATCTCTGCTGGTTACAACGATTTGCCTGATCATGTGACACAGACCCTCATCCCTGATATCGAAAGCACCTTAAACCCCAGGACCAGTGACTGTGTTAGCTTACACGGCACAAAGACTCTGTAGCCAGGTGTGGTGGCTCAGGCCTATAATCCTAGCACTTTGGAAGGCCCAGTAGGGTGGGTCGCTTGAGCTCAGGAGTTCAAGACCAGCCTGGGCAACATGGTGAAACCCCGTCTCTACTAAAAATACAAAAAATTAGCCATGTGTGGTGACTCATGCCTGTAGTCCCAGCTACTTGGGAGGCTGAGGTAGGAGAACTTGAGCCTGGGAGGCAGAGGTTGCAGTGAGCCTAGATCATACCACTGCACTCCAGCCTGGGTGAGAGAGTGAGACTCCATCTCAAAAAAAAAGAGAGAGAGACTTTGCAGAGTCCCCAGGCAAATATGTGATTGAGTTAAGGATTTCAAGACAGGAAGATTATTCTGGAATATCCAGGTAGGCAAGGGAATAACAAGGGAAAGAGGGAGGAAGCAGGAGAGTCAGAGTCAGAGAAGCTATGATGATGGAAGAAGAGGAGTGATGCCATTGTTGGAACAGGGCCATGAGCCAAGGGATGCAGGTGCCCTCTAGGAGCTGGAAAAGGCAAGGAACCAATTCTCCTTTACAGCTTCCAGAATAATGCAACCTGCTGACTTTTTTTTTTTTTTTTTTTTTTTTGGTAATGAAACAGGGTCTTAGGCCAGGTGCAGTTGCTTATGCCTGTAATCCCAGCATTTTGTAAGGCCCAGTCAGACAGGTTACTTGAGCCCAGGAGTTCAAGACCAGCTTGGGCAACATGGTGAAACCACATCTCTACAAAAAATATAAAAAATTAGCTGGGCATGGTAGCATGCATCTGTGGTCTCAGCTATTCAGGAGGCTGAGGTGAGAGGATTGCTTGAGCCTGGGAGGTCAAGGTGGTTGCAGTGAGCTATCATCACACCACTGCCCTCCAGCCTGGATGACAGAGTGAGACCCTGTCTTAAAAAAGAAAAGAAAAAAAAAAAGAGAGAGGGAGAGAGAGAGAGACTGGATCTAGCTCTCTCACCCAGGCTGGAGTGCAGTGGCACAATCATAGCCCTCTGTAACTTCAAGCAATCCTTCCACCTCCTGACATCTTGATTTAAGCCCATTAGACCCATTTTTGGACTTCTGGCCTCGAGACCTGCAAGATAACGAATTTGTGTTGTTTTTTTTTGTTGTTGTTGTTGTTGTTTTCTTTTTTTTTGAGACGGAGTCTCACTATGTTGCCCAGGCTGGAGTGCAGTGGCGTGATCTTGGCTCACTGCAAGCTCTGCCTCCCGGGTTCACGCCATTCTCCTGCCTCAGCCTCCCAAGTAGCTGGGACTACGGGCGTCCGCCAACACGCCTGGCTAATTTTTTGTATTTTTAGTAGAGACGTGGTTTCACCGTGTTAGCCGGGATGGTCTCGATCTCCTGACCTCGTGATCCGCCCGCCTCGGCCTCCCAAAGTGCTAGGATTACAGGCGTGAGCCACCGCGCCCAGCCCAAATTTGTATTGTTTTAAGCCACTGAGTTTGTGGCAAATTTTTACATCAGTAATGGGAAACTAATAGAATATGCCCTTCTCAGCCTGAGGTTACTGCACTTCTCCATTTACAATCAAACTGGACAAGGGAGTCCCACAAGGCACCCAAGTGATGCACATATTTTTCCCTGCCTCACTGCATAACAGCATCCTTACCCTCTCTGATAAAATTCTATTACCCTTGCCAGAATGAAGACTCCATTTCTTGTCTGCTGGTTCCTTGCCATACAATACAAAGTGCCAAGTGCAGACATAGCTTATAATTAACAGGACTCTTACTGTGGCCTCTGGCAAAACTGTTCCCCTTTGGAGATCGGGACCTCTTAACCTGCAGAGTCCAGGATTGCAGAGATAGAGAAACACAATTCTGAAGTCTCAAGTAGCTCACTGGGAGTGATGGTGAGGCCACTTCTGCTTTCACCCCTTAGTTCCTGGATCCATGTATTCTTCCTGTTGGGGACACTTGCTATAAATAGGTCTTCTATTCAAGGTAAACTTTGCATCATGGAGGATAGTGCCCATCCTTGTAAAGTATCTTCACCGAGCAGGCACATCAGCTCTGCCTTTAACAGGCCATTCTAATGCTCCATCAGGTCAGCAGTTTATGGGTGGTGCAGTATACGATATAATCAGGGATCTCATGGTCATGGCCCACCCCTGCACATTCTTTGATATAAAGTGGGTCCCTGATCTGGTGTGATGATATACTCGTGCTTTGCTGAGTCAACGCAAGCAAGAAAGGCAGAATCATACCTAGCATATGTGTCTATTCCTGCCAGAATTAACAATTGACCTTTCAATGTAGTCTACTTGCCACCAAGTTGCCAGTTAGTCACTTTGAGGGATGGTACTTTATCAATGACTCCGTGCTGGTCTCTGCTGCAAGCAGATTGGACATACAATGGCAGACATTCAACCTGGATAAGTGGGGGCCCATACTGTTGGGTCTATGTACAGCCTTCCTCCCTGCCATCACGACTACTTTGCTCACATGCCCTTTATGCCAGAGCTGAATGGGCAATGACAGAGGCTGGCTGATTCCAACTGGGAGAGTAATTTTGTTTTCTTGGTTGTTTAGTGCCTCTTCTGAGGCACATGCTCTCATTAGTGCTAACATGTGATATGAAGACCTTCATAATCAGTACCTGCTTCTATATATTCACTCGGCCCCTATCCTTGACTTCTTTGCCCTCAGTCATCATCCCCTCACGCCCTGATCAGAGAGCCATGCCTTTCCCACTGCCCAGGAGTCTGTCTATTCTACTTCAAGCCATTTCTCTTTCCACACAAACTGAGTGACCAAGGTATCAAAAAAAAAAAAAACAGATCTGGATATTAGTTAAAGTGGTAAAAACAGATTTTACTCAGTAACTATTACAATAGGGGGAAAGGGACTTTGGTATAGAACTGGACTCAATTTGGCCAGGCTCAGTGACTCATGCCTGTAATCCTAGCACTTTGGGAGGCCAAGGTAGGGGGATCGCTTGAGCTCAGGAGTTTGAGACCAGACTGGGCAACTGTGATGTTTAATACTGAGTGTCAACTTGATTGGATTGAAGGATACAAAGTATTGACCCTGGGTGTGTCCATGAGGGTGTTGCCAAAAGAGGTTAACATTTGAGTCAGTGGGCTGGGGAAGGCAGATCCACCCTTAATGTGGTGAGCACAATCTAATCAGCTGCGAGCAAATATAAAGCAGGCAGATAAATGTGAAAAGAAGAGATTGCCCTGGCCTCCCAGCCTACATCTTTCTCCAGTGCTGGATGCTTCCTGCCCTCGAACATTTGACTCCAAGTTCTTCAGTTTTAGGACTTGGGTTGGCTCTCCCTGCTCCTCAGCTTGCAGACAGCCTATTGTGGGACCTTATAATCATGTAAGTTAATACTTAATAAACTCTCCTCTCTCTATATATATATTAGGCTACATCGGTATATTCTATTAGTTCTGTCCCTCTAGAGAACCCTGACTAATACAGATTTTGGTACCAGAAGTGGTTTTAGAGGAACAGAATATTAAGGATGAAGTTCTTTCGTTGTTTTGGAGGGGTTTCTGGAGTTGGCTGCTTAATATGATTAGACCCGAATATGCTAAGGACTCTACTTCTAATAGTATGAAAAACACTGATAGCCCTTGGTGTGAACTGTTTAGGGAGCTATGCCAAATAAATGCATTTTACACTCCTGGTTCACTGCTCGTGAGAGGCAAGGAGTTAATACATTTGACCATATGTGGAGAACCAAGAACATAATGAAGCTGATTGGTTGCTCCTAAGTTCAGTGGACAAAGTGATGAAAGAAAATGATGAACTCAGGGATCCTGTCTCCCAGCTTCTGAAGCAGATACTAAGCCTCAAATCTACTAAGATTGCCGTGAGTGAGAGTCTTACCTCCTGTAGAGAAAGTGCTGAAATTGTGGAAAAACAGACACAAGCTCTTATCATGCAAGTGGCTGACCTGCAATGAAAGATGCATGCACAGCCTCACCAGGTATCTACTGTTAAAGTGAGGGCATTGACTGGAAGATAATGGAACCTTGAAACTTGGAATGGGGATGTGTGAGAGGACCATGGTGAAGCTGGGGACACTGAGTTTGTAAACTCTGATGAACCTTTTTTGCCAGAAGGAACAGCTTCCCCATCCCCAGCAGTGGCAACATCCCCTCCCCAACCCATGCTGCCATCAGCCTTTCCACCCTTGTCTGAGGAGATAAACCCTGTGCTGCCTGAGGCAACTGTGATGCCCTCCCCTGAGGCAGTTGCCACGCAAAATAATGTTGATTCTCCTTAGGAGTCACCCCCAACACCCCTGCTTGTTTCTAGACCTATAACTAGACTAAAGTCCCGGTGGGCCCCTAGAGGTGAGGTTGAGAGTGTGACCCATGAGGAGGTGTGCTACGTTCGAAAAGAATTTTTGAGTTTTCTAACTTATATAAACAGAAATGTGGAGAACAGGCATGGGAATGGATATTAAGGATATGGGATTATGGTGGAAGGAACATAGAGTTGGATCAGGCTGAATTTATTGTTTTGGGCCCACTAAGTAGGGACTCTGCTTTTAATGTTGCAGCTTGGGGAGTTGAAAAAAGTTCTAATAATTTATTTGCTTGGCTAGCTGAAATATGGATTAAAAGATGGCCCACTGTGAGCAATCTGGAAATGCCTGATCTCCCTTCGTTTAATGTAGAGGAAGGGATCCAAAGGCTTAGGGAGATTGTGATGGTGGAATGGATTAGTCACTTGAAACCTACTCATCTCAGCTGGGAGGGTCCAGAAGATATACCCTTGACCAGGCCCTCGCAAAATATATTTGTGAGGGCAGCACCTGCATCTTTGAAGAGCCCTGTAATTGCTCTTCTCTATATGTCAGATCTAATGGTGAGAACTGCAGTCACTCAACTACAAAATTTAAATACAATGGGAATAATTGGATCCCAAGGGGGCAGGGACCGAGTGGCACCACTCAACCATCAAAGGCAAAGTGGGCATGGCTACCATAATGGACAGCAGAGGGAAAGTGGCAATCAGAATAGTCTGACTGGTGTAGAGCTCTGGCACTGGCTAATTAATCATGTTGTTTCTAGAAGTGAAGTTGATAGGAAGCCTACTACCTTCCTACTTAATTTATACAAGCAGAAAACTTCTAGGTCGAATGGACGAAAGACTAGTTTGAATTATAAAAACAGAGAATCACGGCCCCTCAATCAATTCCCAGACTTGAGCCAGTTTACAGACCCAGAACCCCTTGAATGAAGGGGAGGCCAGGTCCCCTTGAGGAAGGACCTCACTACATTACCAACAATTTATGCAGTGAATTGTTCTCCCATCCTTCCCCAAGGAGACCTCCAGCCTTTTACCAGGGTAACTGTGCACTGGGGAAAGTGAAATGATCAGACATTTCAGGGACTACTGGACACTGGCTCTGAGCTGACATTGATTCCAGGGGACCCAAATGTCATTGTGGTCCTCCAGTTAAAGTAGAGGCTTATGGATGTCAGCTAATTAATAGAGTTTTAGCTCAGGTCCAACTTACAGTGGGCCCAGTGAGTCTCCAGACTCATCCTGTTGTCATTTCCCCAGTGCCAGAATGCATAATTGGCATAGACATACTTAGCAGCTGGCAGAACCCCACATTGGCTCCCTGACTGGTAGGGTGAGGGCTATTACAGTGGGAAAGGCCGAATGGAAGCCATTAGAACTGCCTCTACCTAGAAAAACAGTAAATCAAAAACAATATCGCATCCCTGGAGGGATTGTGGAGATTAGCGCCACCATCAAGAACTTGAAAGATGCAGGAGTGGTGATTCCCACCACATCCCCATTCAACTCTCCCATTTGGCCTCTACAGAAGACAGATGGATTTTGGAGAATGACAGTGGATTTTCATAAGCTTAACCAAGTGGTGACTCTAATTGCAGCTGCTGCACCAGATGTGGTTTCATTGCTTAAGAAAATTAATTCCTGATACCTGGGATGCAGCCATTGACTTGGCAAATCCCTTTTTCTTCATTCCTGTCCATGAGGCCCACCAGAAGCAATTTGCCTTCAGCTGGCAAGGCCGTCAATATACCCTTACCGTCCTACCTCGGGGTGTATCAACTCTCCAGCTTTGTGTCATAATCTTATTCAGAGAGACCTTGATCACTTTTCACTTCAGCAAGATATTACACTGGTCCATTACATTGATGACATTATGCTGATTGGATCCAGTGAACAAGAAGTAGCAAGCCCACTGGACTTATTTATTTATTTATTTATTTATTTATTTTTTGCAGTTGCAAGATTTAATAGAGTGAAAACAGAGCTCCCATACAAAGGGAGGGGACCCAAAGAGGGTAGCCGTTGCTGGCTCAAATGCCTGGGTTTATATCTCGATCATTGTCCCTCGTGCTGTGCTCTCAGGCGATAGATGATTGGCTATTTCTTTACCTACTGTTTTTGCCTAATTAGCATTTTAGTGAGCTCTCTTTACTACCTGATTGGTCAGGTGTGAAATAAGTTGCAAGCCCTGTGTTTAAAGGTGGATGTGGTCACCTTCCCAGCCAGGCTTAGGGATTCTTAGTCAGCCTAGGAAATCCAGCTAGTTCTGTCTCTCAGTCCCCGCTCTCAACAGGAAAACCCAAGTGCTGTTGGGGAGGTTGGCCGACAACCGCTGTAACAGCTTCCTGCCAAATTGAGGCATAGTAGGGGTTGTGCGGTTGAGATTTCCTCGGGAGGGGTGCCTTCGACGTCATCAATGTCGGAGTGTGGGCTAGCAGGCCGGTCCAGGGGTCTGCAGTAGATCTTAGTCATGGACTGCATCTGGGGCTCCATTTGAAGAACAATTTGTAGATTTACAGCTTCAATTCTGGAAGAGACAAACTTAACAAGGAGGTTAAAGATACAGGGATTGAAATGTATGGCCTGCAGTGTAGGGGATTATTTCTTTGGCACACTTTACAGGCCCTGACTATCTGCTTGATAATTTTTTAAATGCCTGGTCCAGTAAATAATAATTTGGCCATCTGATGGATGCTATCAATGCCTAAGTTTAAGGTTTGGTGAAGGGTTTTAAGTAATTTTCATCGGTTAGCTGCAGGCAAAAGTATTTTTCCTTTGTTGGCTAGCCATCCTGAGGGTGGGTTCCCTATTCTATTTCTCCTGTTGAGTACTGGGGCTTGGCTTCCTGGAGGGGATTACCCCATAGTAGGGGTCTTTCTATAAGCATTTTTAATGGAGGGTCCTGCCTTGTGGCTCTTTTGGCTTCAATATTCTCTTGGCTATTCCCTTTTATTTTCTTTTCCTTTCCTTTCTGATGACCCCGGCAGTGTAAGACTGCCACCTCTTTAGATTTCTGCACAGCCAATAATAATCTCCTGACGGCTTCCTGATGTTTGATTGGTGTTCTCTCGGAAGTTAGGAATTCCCTTTCTCTCCATATTGCTGCATGGGCATGGAGGACTAGGTAAGCATACTTACAGTCTGTATCTCTATTTACCCTTTTTTCTTTTTCTAATTTTAGTGCCCAAGTGAGGGCTATTTTAGTTTTGCCAGCTGAGTGATAGTTTATATTAGTTTTGCCAGCTGAGTGATAGTTTATATTAGTTTTGCCAGCTGAGCGATAGTTCCTGGAGTGAGGGGATTACTTTCAAGTATTTTATTATTACTGACCAGTGCATACCCCGCCTTTCAAATTCCTTTTTCAACAAAGGAACTTTCATCAGTATACAAGTTGAGGTCAGGATCAGTCAAGGGAACCTCTAGAAGGTCCCCTCGAGTGGCATAGGTTTGAGCAATCACCTGTTGACAGTTATGTTCTATCTTTTTTTCATTGTCTGGAAGAAATGTGGCTGGGTTAAGAGTTGCACAAGTGTGCAGCCACATCACTGGCCCTTCAAGTAATAGAGCCTGATATTTAAGTAAACAGTTGTCTGACAGCCACAAGTCTCCTTTAGCAGTGAGTATGCCGTTGACATCATGAGATGTCCACACAGTAAGATCTCTTCCCTGTATCATTTTAACTGCTTCAGATACTAAGACTGCTACTGCCGCCACTACCTGTAAACAGTGAGGCAAACCCTTTGCCACTACATCAATTTCCTTAATCAGGTATGCCATGGGTTGCAAGCTTGTCCCTTGGACCTGTGTAAGGACTCCTAGAGTTATTCCTATTTTTTTCTGTGACATATAAAGAAAAGTCTTGCCCCGTTGGCAAGCTTAACACTGGGGCTTGGGTTAGTGCCTTCTTTAGGGCCTGGAAAGCCGCTTCTGCTTCAGGTGTCCATCTTACTAAATGGGTATTGGCTTTCTGAGTTTCCTTAATTTCACTGGACTTATTGGTGAGACATTTGCATGCCAGAGGATGGGAAATAAATCTGACTAAAATTCAGGAAACTTCTACCTCATTAAAATTTCTAGGGGTCCAGTGGTGTGGGGCCTGTTGAAATATTCCTTCTAAGGTGAAGGATAAGTTGCTGCATTTGGCCCCTCCTACAACCAAGAAAGAGGCACAATGTCTAGTGAGCCTATTTGGATTTTGGAGGCAACACATTCCTCGTTTGGGTGTGTTGCTCTGGCCCATTTATCGGGTGACCCAAAAGGCTGCCGGTTTTGAGTGGGGTCAGGAGAATGGTTTGCAACAGGTCCAGGATGCTGTGCAAGCTGCTCTGCCACTTGGGCCATATGACCCAGTAGATCCGATGGTGCTTGAGATGTCAGTGGCAGAGAGGAATGCTGTTTGGAGCCTTTGGCAGGCCACCATAGGTGAATCACAGTGGAGGCCTCTAGGATTTTAGAGCAAGGCTCTGCTATCTTCTGCAGATAACTACTCTCCTTTTGGCCTGCTGCTGAGCTTTGGTGGAAACTGAACATTTGACTATGGGTCATCAAGTCACCATGCGACCTGAACTGCCTATCATAAACTGGGTGCTTTCTGGCCCATCTAGCCATAAAGTGGGTTATGCACAGCAGCATTCCATCATCAAATGGAAGTGGTACATACATGATCAGTTTCGAGCAGGTCCTGAAGGCACAAGTAAGTTACATGTGGAAGTGGCTCAAATGCTCCTGCCACCCTGCCTTCTCTTCTCCAGCCTGCACCAATGGCCTTATGGGGAGTTCCCTATGATCAGTTGACAGAGGAAGAGAAGACTAGGGCCTGGTTTACAGATGGTTTTTCATGATATGCAGGCACTACCCGAAAGTGGACAGCTGCAGCACTACAGGCCCTTTTTAGGACATCCCTGAAGGAGAACAGTGAAGGGAAATCTTCCCAGTGGGCAGAACTTTGAGCAGTGCACCTGGTTGTGCACTTTGCATGGAAGGAGAAATGGCCAGATGTGTGATTACATACTAATTCATGGGCTGTGGCCAATGGTTTGGCTGGATGGTCAGGGACTTGGAAGAAGCATGATTGGAAAATTGGTGACAAAGAAACTTGGGGAAGTGGGTATGTGAATGGACCTCTCTGAGTGGTCAAAAACCATGAAGATATTTGTATCCCATGTGAGTGCTCACCAACAGGTGACCTCAGCAGAGGAGGTATTTTAATAATCAAGTGGATAGGATGACCCATTCTATGGACACCACTCAGTCTCTTTCCCCAGCCACCCCTGTCATTGCCCAATGGGCCCATGAACAAAGTGGCCATGGTGGCAGGCATGGAGGTTATGCATGGACTCAGCAACATGGACTTCCACTCACCAAGGCTGACCTGGCTATGGCCACTGCTGAGTGCCCAATTTGCCAGCAGCAGAAACCAACACTGAGCCCTCGATATGGCACCATTCCTCAGGGTGATCAGCCAGCTACCTGGTGGCAGGTTGATTATATTGGACCTCTTGCATCACGGAAAGGGCAGAGGTTTGTCCTCACTGGAATAGACACTTAGCCCAGATATGGGTTTGCCTATCTTGCACGCAATGTTTCTGCCAAGACTACCATACATGGACTCATGGAATGCCTTATCCACCATCATGGTATTCCACACATCATTGCCTCTGACCAAGGCACTCACTTTGTGGCTAAAGAAGTGCGGCAGTGGGCTCACGCTCATGGAATTCACTGGTTTCACCATGTTGCCTATCATCCTGAAGCAGGTGGATTGACAGAATGGTGGAATGGCCTTTTGAAGTCACAATTACAACGCCAACTAGGTGACAATACTTTGCAGGACTGGGGCAAAGTTCCCCAGAAGGCCATGTATGCTCTGATTCAGTGTCCAATATATGGTATTGTTTCTCCCATAGCCAGGATTCACAGGTCCAGGAATCAAGGGGTGAAAGTGGAAATGGCACCATTCACCATCACCCCTAGCGATCCACTAGCAAAATGTTTGCTTCCTGTTCTTGTGACATTACGTTCTGCTGGCCTATAGGTCCTAGTTCCAGAGGGAGGAATGCTGCCACCAGGAGACCCAACAAGGATTCCATTAAACTGGAAGTTAAGATTACCACCTGGACACTTTGGGCTTCTCCTACCTTTAAGTCAACAGGCTAAGAAGGGAGTTACAGTGTTGGCTGGGGTGATTGACCCGGCTAACATTTTTCCTCAACATGAAATCAGTCTACTACTCACAATGGTGGTGAGGAAGAGTGTGCATGGAATATGGGAAATCCATTAGGGCATCTCTTAGTATTACCATGCCCTGTGATTAAGGTCAATAAGAAACTACAACAGCCCAATCCAGGCAGGAGTACAAATGGCCCAGACCCCTCAGGAATGAAGGTTTGGGTCACTCCACCAGGGAAAAAAAACACTACCTGCTGAGGTGCTTGCTGAAGGCAAAGGGAATACAGAATGAGTAGTAGAAGAAGGTAGTTATCAATACCAGCTATGACCACGTGACCAACTGCAGAAACAGGGGCTGTAATTGTCATGAGTATTTCCTTCTTTTTTTTTTTTTTTGCTCTGTCGCCCAGGCTGGAGTGCAATGGCGTGATCTCAGCTCACTGCAACCTCCGCCTCCTGGGTTCAAGCGATTCTCTTGCCTCAGCCTCCCACGTAGTTGGATTACAGGCATGTGCCATCATGTCCGGCTAATTTTGTACTTTTAGTAGAGATGGGGTTTCACCATGTTGGTCAGGCTGGTCTCGAACTCCTGACCTCAGGTGATCTGCCCACCTCAGCCTCCCAAAGTGCTGGGATTATAGGCTTGAGCCATCATGCCTGGCCATTTCCTCCTTCTTTTGCTAAAAACATGTTGGTGCATGTATACACTTGTACTAAGAAAATATCTTTATTTTATTTCCTTGTCCTTTATCATGTGACAAGATTTATTGACTTCACATGAGAGTTTAAGTATTGTTAACTTTATGTAATAGTATTTGAGTTGGGGATTATTGCATTTCCAGTTGTACGAAGGACAGTGGTATTATGTTGGGCATAATTATGAACTTATTGTCTTTATTTGAAGATTATGTATGATCTCAGGAGATGTGTATGGGTCCAAGTTGACAAGGGGTGGACTTGTGATGGTTAATACTGAGTGTCAACTTGATTGGATTGAAGGATACAAAGTGCATGGTGGTGCATGCCTGTAGTCTTAGCTACTTGGGATGCTGAGGTGGGATTGCTTGAGTCAAGAAATTCAAGACTGTGGTGAGCTATGATTGCATCACCATACTCTAGCCCATGCGAGACCCAGTCTCTTAAAAAAAAATAATGTTGGCATGCACGCATATGTTCATTGCAGCACTATTCACAGTAGCAAAAACATGCAATCAACCTAATTGGATTGAAAAAATATAGTCCATATACACCATGAAATACTATGCAGCCATAAACAAGAACAAGATTATGTCCTTTGCGGGGACATGGATGGCTGGAGGCCATAATCCTTAGCAAACTAATTCAGGAACAGAAAACCAAATCCCAGATGTTCTTACTTATAAGTGAGAGCTAAATGATGAGAACACATAGACACATAGAGGGGAATAACACACACTGGGGCCTTTCAGAAGGTGGAGGGTGGAAGGAGGGAGAAGATCAGGAAAAATAACTAATGGGTACTGGCTTAATACCTGGGTGATGAAATAATCTGTATGACAAACCCTCATGACACAAGTTTACCTAAGTAACAAACCTGCACATGTAACCCTGAACTTAAAAGTTAAAAAAAAAAAAAAAAGTGTTGGATGACACAGGATTCCAAGCTTCTTGCCTGCACAGCTTGCTTGTGCCTGCAGTATGACTTGTGCTTGATCCTGGATGCACCACTTCCATCTCTTAAAATAGAGTTGCAGTGCTTGGTGGCTCTGATGGAAACCAACTGACGAAGGGCAAGTGTAGCCCTATGGTCATTTGGTGCTTAATGGTCAGGCTTTTCACCTCTCTCAGTGCCCAGTATCATGCTAGTAGCTTTTCTTAAGGCATATAATTCTCTACTATGGATGGAACAACTATGATCCAGAAACCTAGGGCTGCTTGTGATTCTCCCATTGAGTCTTACCATAAACTCCATTGGGTGTCTTTCCCTACCGCCGACACGTTTAATGCTATAGGATCTGCGGGTTGTTTGGTTCAAGCAGCAAGGCCACTTGCATGACAATACAGACCTGCTTCAGAGCCTTTTCCTTTTCTAGAAACCTGGTACATGGGTAAAACAGCATTGCCTGATTGGACTAACTTGCCTTCAGAATCTGAAGAGACCCAAGATTTGTTCTCCCTTCTTCATAACAGGAGATGTAAGATGCAGCAATTTATTCCTTTTTTTTTTTTTTTTTTTTTTGAGACAGAGTTTTGCTCTGTCACCCAGGCTGGAGTGCAGTGGCGTGATCTTGGCTCACTGCAACCGCCACCTCCCGGGATCAAGCGATTCTCCTGTCTCGGCCTCCTGAGTAGCTGGGATTACAGGTGCCCACCACCACACCCGGCTAATTTTTGTACTTTTAGTAGAGACGGGGTTTCACCATGTTGGCCAGGCTGGTCTCAAACTCCTGACCTCAAGTGATCCACCTGCCTTGGCCTCCCAAAATGCTGGGGATTACAGGTGTGGGCCACTTCGCCCAGCAGCAATTTATTCTTTACTTCAGGTGAAATATCCCAGCATGCACCTGATCACTTTTCACTCTTGTGTCAAGTTCCTGAGTCTTTATAGGGTTTATTTCACATCTCGGAAGTGAATGTAGCTTCCAGCATCATAAAGACTTCCAGCATTATAGCCACGTCTTGCTCATTCCACCTGATAGCATGATGTCATTTATCAAAATGATGTTGAACAGGATGTTGACATAGTCCAGATCTCTTTGGACTATAGGATGACAGAGGACAGGAGAGTTAACATAGCCCTAGGGCAAAACTGTACATTTCTGCTGTGGTCTATTACATGTGAATGCAAACTGTTTCTGATCCTATTTTCTTATGGGGATAGGAAAGATTGTATTCACCAAATCAAAAGCCATAAGCCATGTACCTAGGACCATGTTAATCTACTCAAGCAAAGATACCTCATCTGGGACAGTGCTACGATTGATGCCACTGGTGCCATAATTGGTTGAGTTTGAGAGTCTACTGCCATTCTACAATATCTGTTTAGTGTTTTCAGGGGGAGGACTGGTAAATTAAATGAAGATATATGAGGATTACCAGCCCTGAATCCTAAAATGTCTAACAATGGTCCTAATTTTCACCATCTCCTCCAGTATATATTTATTATCTTGGCCAGGGAACATGTGCACTTTCGGAAGCTACTACTTCGCCTTCCCCACTACGCTAGTTTTTACTACACAATGAAAAGGGGAACAACACACACTGGGGACTTTCAGAGTGTGGAGGGTGGGAGGAGAAACAGGCTAATGATCTAGTATGTGCCAATTACCAGGCACAGTCATGTTGCTTAACAATGGGATGTGTTCCAGGAAATGTGTTATTAGGCAATTTTGTCATTGTGTGACCGTCATAGAGTGTACTTAACAAACCTAGATGGCATAGCCTACTACACACCCAGGCTGTGTGGTAGAGCCTATTGCTCCTAGGCTACAAACCTGTACAGCATATCACTACTGAATACTGTAGGCAATTGGAACACAATGGTAAGTATTTGTGTATCTAAACAAAAAAGGTACTATAAAAACATGATATAAAAGAGAAATAATGATATACCGGTATAGGGCACTTACCATGAATGGAGTCTGTGGACTGGAACTTGCTCTGGGTGAGTCAGTGAGTGAGTGGTGAGTGAATGTGTTGGCCCAGGACATTACTGTACCTACTGTAGACTTTATAAACCCTATATGCTTATGCTATACTACACTTATTTTTAAAACTTTTTCTTCAATAATAAATTAGCATTAGCTTACTATAATTTTTTTACTTTATAAACTTTTTCATTTTTTAAGAACTTTTTGACTCTTGTGATAACACAACTTAAAACATAAAATACACGTACAGCTGTACAAAAATATTTTCTTTCTTTATATCCTTATTCTATAAGCTTTTTTCTATTTTTAAATTTTTTTATTTTATTTTATTTTTTTAATTAATTAATAAATTTATTTATTTATTTTGAGATGGAGTCTTCTCTGTCACCCAGACTGGTGTGCAGTGGTGTGATCTCGGCTCACTGCAACCTCCACCTCCTGGCTTTAAGCTATTCTCCTGCCTGAGCCTCCTGAGTAGCACTGGCCTTTATTTTTATTTTTTAAACGTTTTTTAAACGTTTTGTGAAAAATGAAGACACGGCTGGGCACGGTGGCTCACGCCTGTAATCCCAGCACTTTGGGAGGCTGAGGCGGGCAGATCACGAGGTCAGGCGTTCAAGACCAGTCTGGCCAACACGGTGAAACGCCATCTCTACTAAAAATACAAAAAATTAGCCAGGCGTTGTGGTGTGTGCCTGCAGTCCCAGCTACTCAGGAGGCTGAGGCAGGAGAATGGCATAAACCCGGGAGGCGGAGGTTGCAGTGAGCCAAGATTGTGCCACTGCACTCCAGCCCGGGCAACAGTGCAAAACTCCGTCTCAACAAAAAAACAAAAACAAAAATCAAAAAACAAAGATACAAACACACACGAGCCTAGGCCTACACAGGATCAGGATCATCAATATCACTGTCTTCCACCTCCACATCCGGTCCCACAGGAAGGTCTTCAGGGACAATAACACATATAGAGCTATCACCTCTTAGGATGACAATGCCTTCTTCTAGAATAAATCATGATGGACAGAACCTACCTGAAGCTACTCTACAGTTAACTTCTTTTTATATAAATAGAAGAAGTTCACTTTATTTTATTATTTTTTGTTGTTGTTGAGGTAGAGTTTTGCTCTGTCACCCAGGGTAGAGTGCAGCGGTGCAATCTCGTCTCACTGCAACGTCTGCCTCCCAGGTTCACGTGATTCTCCTGTCTCAGCCTCCTGAGTAGCTGGGATTACAGGCAGATGCTACCATGCCTGACTAATTTTTGCATTTTTAGTAGAGATGGGTTTCACCATGTTGGCCAGGCTGGTCTTGAACTCCTGACCTCAAGTGATTCACTCGCCTTGGCCTCCCAAAGTTCTAGGATTACAGACATGAGCCACCATGCCGGACCTGAGTATACTTTAAAATAACCACTTAAAGTATAGTATAGTAAATACAGAAGCCAGTATTATCATTATCAAGTGTTACTTACTATACATAATTATATGTGCTATACTTTTATATAACTGGCAGTGCAGTAGTTTTGTTTATACCAGCAACACCACAAACACTTGAATAATGTTATGCTATGACATTATGACAACTGTGCCATCACAGGCAATAGGAATTTTTTACCTCCATCATAATTTTATGGGACCACTGTTATATAAGCATTGTTATGTGGCACATAACTGTATGTCTATTTCGATTATACATTTGAGGAATGAGGAAATGACCACTGGATGAGTCTCTAGATACAGTGAACCCACGTGAGCTGTAAGCTGTCCCTAAGCAGGGGATCATTTATTACCTGATCCCTGTATGCCCCTATTCTAACAGCGGACCCATGATGACACTTCAGGTCTCTGAGTGTCATCAGAGTCAACTTGGACCTTGTGTCCAATGGTCCTTGTGCATAGTTACCCAAGTAAATGGCTACAGTTCTCTTTGGAAAAGGATGGAGGCAAACATTACTCTAATACGTACACTTGCTGAGGTGTTGCAGGGTCTTTCCTTCTGGAGACCCAACCTCTTCTTCTTTTTTTTTTTTTGAAACGGAGTCTCACTCTGTCGCCCAGGCTGGAGTGCAGCGGTGCCATCTTGGCTCACTGCAAGCTCCACCTCCTGGGTTCACACCATTCTCCTGCCTCAGCCTCCCGAGTAGCTGGGACTACAGGTGCCTGCCACCACGCCCGGCTAATTTTTTGTATTTTTAGTAGAGACAGGGTTTCACCATGTTAGCCAGCATGGTCTTGATCTCCTGACTTCGTGATCCGCCCGCCTCGGCCTCCCAAAGTGCTGGGATTACAGGTGTGAGCCACTGCGTCTGACCCTGGAGACCCAACCTCTTCTAAAGTCAGTAGACTCTGGATCTGAAAACTGGCTCAGTTCTGAAAACCGGGCAAGGGATTATGACTTTTTATTGGGGTGACTGTTCTCAACCTCCTGATCATACATCCTTGATTTATTTTGATCATATAGATTGAGTATACCAGTTTGGTGGCCCATCTATTTCATTTTAAAAAGTATATTTATTTATTTATTTTTGAGACAGAGCCTCACTCTGTCGCCCAGGCTGGAGTGCACTGGCGTGATCTCAGTTCACTGCAAACTCCACCTCCCAGTTTCAAGCGATTCTCCTGCCTCAGCCTCCCGAGTACCTGGGATTACAGGTGCAGGCCACCACGCCTGGCTAATTGTTGTCTTTTTAGTAGAGGCAGGGTTTCGCCATTTTAGCCAGGCTGGTCTCGAACTCCTGACATCAGGTGATCCACCCACCTCAGCCTCCCAAAGTGCTGGGATTACAGGCATGAGCCACCACACCCAGCCTTGGTGGCTCATCTATTTTTATAACAGGGACATGTATTAGTTAGGGTTCTCTAGAAAAACAGAACCAATAGGATGTTTACGTACAAAGAAAGAGATTTATTGTAAGGAATTGGCTCACACAATTACAGAGACTAGCAAGTCCAAAATCTGCAGGGTGGGCTGGCAAGCTGGAGACCCAGATGAGCTTATGCTGCAGTTCAAGACTAAAGCCTATCTGCCGTAGAGCCAGGAAGAGCTAATGTTGCAAATTAAGTCCAAAAGCTGTCTGCTGGAGCATTCCCTCTGTCTCAGGAGAGGCTCGTTTCTCTCTCCTATTCAGGTTTTGAATTGGTTGGATGAGGACCACCCACATTGTTGTGAGTAAGCTGCTTTACTCAAATTCCATTGATTTAAATGTTAATCTCATCTAAAAACACCCTCACAGAAACACTGGGAATAATATTTGTGGGTACTCCTTGGCCCAGCCAAGTTGACACATAAAATTAGCCATCAGACACCATGTTCTGCAACTATCTCCATAAATCTCTGCAAATAAGACCCCCTCTGACTGCCCCTTTGACCTTGACATACTTTATGATCATTGTGTCGTTATGGTTTCTAAGAATGAAGTGTCGCCATCTAGACTCTGTTTTAGAGTCGTATCATTGCCAATCCTATCAGGGAGCCTAGTTCTGTAAGGACCTCTCCTACCATCAGCCCTATCCTCCGGAGAAGAGCCACAGTTGACCTTCTTAGTGAGTGACACAGACGCCCCTCTTACCAGGACATTCCTTATTGCCTCGGTAAATGATGTATCTCTGGGCCCTTCTGTGGTACAGAATCATCTGGAGGATTTTTCTACTTTTCTAAAATATCCATTTCAGCATGCCCAGTTCTCAGAGCCATTTAACCCTTTCTTCTACTACCTGCCATGTCCCTTAGTCCAGGGGTGCCCAACCCCTGGGCCGTGGACTGGTACTGGTCCATGGCCTGTTAGGAACCGGGCTGCACAGCAGGAGGTGAGTGGGCGAGTGAGCATTACTGCCTGAGCTCTGCCTTCTGTCAGATCAGCAGTGGCATTAGATTCTCATAAAAGCATGAACCCTATTGTGAGCTGTGCATGCCGGGGATCTAGGTTGTGCGCTTCCTCTAAGAATCTAACTAAGGCTTGATGATCTGAGGTGGAACAGTTTCATCCCAAAACCATCTCCCCTCCCCACCATCCACGGAAAAATTGCCTTCCACAAAACTGGTCCCTGGTGCCAAAAAGGCTGGGGGCCGTTGCCTTAGTCCATAGCAAGTGTTTAAAAAAAAAAAAAAAGGCCAGAAACAGTAGCTCACGCCTGTCATCCCAGCACTTTGGAGGCTAAGGTCGGGGGATCACTTGAGGTCAGGAGTTTGAGACCAGCCTGACCAACATGGTGAAACCATGTCCCTACTAAAAATACAAATAAAATTAGCCAGGTGTGGTGACACACCACTGTAATCCCAGCTACTCAGGAGGCTGAGGCAGGAGAATCACTTGAACCCAGCAAGCAGAGGTTGCAGTGAGCCGACATCGTGCCATTGCACTCCAGCCTGGGAGACAAGAGCAAAACTCCATCTAAAAAAAAAAGAAAAGAAAAACCCACCTGTCACAACAATTCTGGCATCTGGCATCTAACTCCGGTTAGTGTGGACATCATCTTTTCTATGTTTCTAGAAGGCATCAACAGAGAAAGTTGGCACTACCTCCTCGGGTTCTTGCCAAAACATTAAATCCAATATCCTATGAAAGAGCTCCAAAATCAATAAAATTTTCCTCACTCAACCTTATATTCTGGCCTGCTGATCAAACACCTTCAGAGACCGATAGCATGCACAATACTCCAGCACATATTGGCAGTCCTATAGCTCTTTTTGGAATACAGTCTCTTTCCTCCCTTATCAAGCCCAGCACATTTTTAACTGGGTTATACAGGCCCACCTCAGAGATATTGCAGGTTCAGTTGCAGATTGTTGCAATAAAGTGGGTCACAAAATTTTTTTTGTTTGTTTTTTTGAGACGAAGTCTCGCTCTGTTGCTCAGGCTGGAATGCAATGGCACAGTCTCGGCTCACTGCAACCTCTGCTTCCCGTGTTCAAGCAATTCTCCTGTCTCAGCCTCCAGAGTAGTTGGGACTACTAGCTAATTTTTGTACTTTTAGTAGAGATGAAGTTTCACCATGTTGACCAGGCTGGTCTGGAACTCCTGACCTCAAGTGATCCACCTGCCTTTGCCTCCCAAAGTGCTGGGATTACAGGCGTGAGCCACCGCACCTGGCCTTTTTTCCTTTTTTTGTTTTTTGTTTTTGTGTTTGAGGCAGGGTCTTGAGCTGTTACCCAGGCTGGAGTGCAGTGGTGCTAGTCTTGGCTCACTGCAGCCTCAACCTCTCAGGCTCAAGCGATCCTCCCACCTCAGCCTACCAAGTAGCTGGGACTACAGGCATGTGCCACCAAGCCTGGCTAATTTTTGTATTTTTTGTAGAGGTAAAGTTTCATCAAATTACCCAGGCTAGTCTCGAACTCCTGGCTCAAGTGATCTGCCCACCTTGGCCTCCCAAAGTGCTAGGATTATGGCATGAGCTACTGAATCCAGGCTTTTTTTGTTTTTTTGTTTTCCAATCCTGCACCTTCTGTAACAGAATTTTTTGTTTGTTTCCCACTGTATATATAAAAGTTATGTTTTTACTCTACTGTAGTCTATTAAGTGTGCAATAGCACTATGTTTGAAAAAATAATGTACATACCTTAATCTAAAATGTTGTGAAAAAAATGCTAATGAACCTAACCTTTCAGCAAACCATAGTCTTTTTGCTGGTGGAGGGTCTTGCCTGGAAGTTGATGGCTGCTGACTGATCATGGTGGTGATTGTTGAAGGTTGGGGTGGCTGTGGCAATTTCTTAAAATAAGACTATGGTGAAGTTTGCTGCATCAGTTGACTCTTCCTTTCATGAAAGATTTCTCTGAGGCATGCCATGTTGTTTGATAGCATTTTATCCACCGTAGAACTTCTTTCAAAATCAGAGTCAATCCTCTCAAACCCTGCTGTTGCTTTATTAACTAAGTTTATATGATATTCTAAATCCTTCATTGTCATTTCAACAATGAAGGATTCAGCATCTTCACCAGGAGTAGATTCCATCTCAAGAAATCACTTTTCTCTGCTCATCCATAAGAAGCAACTCCTCATGCATTCAAGTTTGATCATGAGATTGCAGCAATTCAGTCCCATCTTCAGGCTCCACTTCTAATTGTAGTTCTCTTGTTTTTTCCATCCCATCTGCAGTTACTTCCTCCACTGAAGGCTTGAACACCTCAAAGTCATCCATGAGGGCTGGAATCAACTTCCTTCAAACTCCTGTTAATGTTGCTATTTTGACCTCCTGCCATGAATCACAAATGTCCTTAATGTCATCTAGACTGGTGAATCCTTTCCAGAAGGTTTTTGATTTATTCTGCCAAGATCTGACAGAGGAATTGCCAGCTATGGCAGTTACAGCTTTAGGAAATGTATTCCTTAAGTAATAAGACCTGAAAGTCAAAATGACTCCTTGATCCATGGGCTGCAGAATGGATGTGAGCTAGCAGGCATGAAAACAACATTCATCTCTGTTCATCTCTGTCAGAGCTCTTGAAGCATTTTTGATGAACTGTAGCATTTTGAAAGAAATCTTTTTTTCTGAGCAGTGGGTCTCAACAATGGGCTTAAAACAGTAAACAATGCCACAAACATATGTGCTTTGTCTAGGCTTTATTGTTCCATTTCTGGAGCACAGGCAGAGTAGATTTAACATAATCCTTTTCTTTTTTTTTTTTTTTTTTGAGATGGAGTCTTGCTCTGTCACCCAGGCTGGAGTGCAGTGATGCGATCTCTGCAATCTCGGCTCACTGCAACCTCGCCAAAGTACTGGGATTGTAGGCGTAAGCCATTGCACCCAGCCAATTTAACATAATTCTTAAGGGCCCTTGGATTTTCTGAATGGTAAATAAGTACTGACTTTAACTTAAAATCACCAGCAGCATTAGCTTCTAACAGGAAAGTCAGCCTGTCCTTTGAAGCTTTGAAGCCAGGCATTGACTTCTCTAGCTATGAAAGTTCTAAATGGCAACTTCTTCCAAAAGAAGGCTATTTTGTCTACATTGAAAATTGTTTATCACAGTCACCTTCATCAGTCATCTTAGCTAGATCTTCTAGATAACTTGCTGCAGCTTCTACATAAGCATTTGCTACTTCACCCTGCACTTTTAAGTTACGGCGACAGCTTCTTTCCTTACACCTCATGATCCCAACTATGCTAGCTTCAAACTTTTTTTTTGCAGCTTCCTCTCAGCCTTCATAAAATCGAAGAGTGTTAGGGCCTTGCTCTGGATTAGGCTTTGGCTTAAGGGAACGTTGTGGTTGCTTGGATCTTGTATCCAGACCTCTAAAACTTCCTCCATATCAGCAATAAGGCTGTTTGGCTTTCTTATCACACAGAAAGGGTGTGGCCTTGGGTAACGTGGCTCTCTGCCACTGAGGCAATCCCTGAGGAAACTGCTAGCTGAATGTTGCCTGTCAACAGCACTGCCAGAATCTGGGGCAATAAGTCTTTCACAGAGGGATGATCAGAGTGGGGTATCTCAGTGTCCATCTTAGAAGATTATGAATTAGAAAGACTTAAGGGATATATCAACCACCTATATTGTGTTGATCATATGTTCCTGATTCAACCACAGAAAAGATTTATGTGGCTGGGCATGGTGGCTCACACCTGTAATCCCAGCACTTTGGGAGACCAAGGTGGGAACATTGCTTGAGTCCAGGAGTTGAGCCTGGGCAACATAGTGAGACCCCATCTCCACAAAAAATACAAAAATTAGCTGGGAGTGGTGGAATGTGCCTGTAGTCCTAGCTACTTGGGAGGCTGAGGCAAGTGGATCACTTGAGCCTAGGAAAGTGGGGCTGCAGTGAGCTATGATCACACCACTGCACTCCAGCCTGGGCAACCGAGCACGACCCTGTCTCCAAAAAATAAAGGAATGATGTGACAGTCAGGGAAATTGGAATACTAAACAGTGATATTAAAACATTATTGTTAGCTTTTTGGTGTGATAATGGTATTATTTTTCTAAAGAGCTCTTATCCTTTAGAAATACATACTAAAATGTGTATGAATGAAATGATACGCTATTGATTACAAGTGGGTTGGAGTATACATGAAATAAGAGTGACTATGAGTTGCTGGTATGTGTAGAAGACAAACAATGGCCCCCTAAAGATGACCACATCCTAATTTCCAGAATTTGTGAACATGTTACCTTACACAGCAAAAGAGACTTTGCAGATGTTGTGATCAAGTTAAGGATCTTGGGATGGGGAGTTTAACCTTTTCCAGATGGCCACAATATAATCACAAGTGTCCTTATAAGAGGAAGGCACGAAGGTTAAAGTTAAAAAAAAAAAAGACCACGTGTAAATGGAAGTAGAGGGGAGCAGATCAAAGACAGAAGATGCTACACTGCTGGCTTTGAAGATGGAGAAAGGAGCCACCAGCCAAGGAATTTGGGCAGCTTCTAGAGGCTGGACAAGGCAAGGAACACATTTTTCCTGAAACCTTTAGAAGGAGTGCAGTCCTGCTGACACCTTGATTTTAGCCTTCTGACCTCCAGAACTATAAGAGAATAAGCTTGTATTGTTTTAAGTCACTAAATTTATTATTTATTTATTTATTTTGGAAACAGGGTCTTGCTCTGTCACTCAGGCTGGAGTGCAGAGGTGTGATCTTGGCTCACAGCAACCTCCACCTCCTGGGCTCCAGCTATCCTCTGGCCTCAGCCCCCCAAGTAGCTGGGACCACAGGCACCCGCCAACATGCTTGGCTAATTTTTTTGTATTTTTTTGTATAGATGGGGTTTCACCACATTGCCCAGGATGGTCTCAAGTGATCCTCCTGCCTCGGCCTCCCAAAGTGCTGGGATTACAGGCATGAGCCATCAAGCCTGGCCTTCTTCAACATTTTTTTAAGCCCATATCTTAGTATGTCCTTCCACATTTTATCTCCCTAATACATTTTCAATTGTCTTGTCAAGTTTCTGTTAAAAAAATGATTGAAGTATTATATTGAAATTTTATTGAATATGCAGATTAATTTGGCAGAATTAATTTCATATTAGAGGTGAATGTAACAGGCTGTTCCTGCTAGTCTGAGTTGATTGTGTATACCTAGTGGGAAGATTCAGGCTATCGTCCCTTCTAAGTTTCAAGAATTGAAGGGAGGTCTGTGGTTCTCCAGCCAGTCCACCTATGACAGAATGCACAAGTTCTATTCAAACAAAAGAGAGGGAAAAATGACCAGCTGGGGCCTGGTGTGGTGGCTCACTCCTGTAATCTCAGCACTTTGGGAAGCCAAGGTGGTGGATAACTTGAGTCCAGGAGTTTGAGACAAGCCTGGGCCACACAGTGAAACCCCATCTCTACAAAAAAAGCAAAAAATTAGCCAGGATGCTCAGGAAGGCTGAGGTGGGAGGAACGATTGAGCCCAGGAAGCTGAGGTTGCGGTGAGCTGTGATCTCCCCAACTGCACTCTGGCCTGGGCAACAAAGCTAGACCCTCTCTCAAAAAAAAAAAACAAACAAAAAAAAAACCACTTGACCTTTCAAGATGCAATCTACAATACAGCTTTACTACCACAATGTAAATATTTTAAGCCCTGTTTGTTCCCTTATGCATATTCTCAATTGGCTCATAATTAGCATTTCTAATTATATTTTTTGAAATCACCAATATATTTTAGATAGCTGACTAAATTATGGAGCTCAATGGAGCAGAACAACATAAGCAGAATTGATCCTGAGCATTTTGAAGCATGCCTTGGAGACTAACAAAATAAAACAAAATTTAAAAGTGATAGGGGAAGTGGAGGCTAGTAAAAGGAGCAGCAAAATTTAGGTATTAATGTCGATGTGGGCCAGGAGCAGTGGCTCATGCCTATAATCCCAGCAGTTTAGGAGTCCGAGGTAGGTGGATCACTTGAGGTCGGGAGTTCGAGACCAGCCAGGCCAACATGGTGGAACGCTGTCTCTACTAAAAATACAAAAATTAGTTTGGCGTGGTGGCGCACGCCTGTAATCCCAGCTACTAGGGAGGCTGAGGCAGGAGAATTACTTGAACCCTGGAGGCAGAGGTTGCGGTTAGCCAAGATTGCACTGCTGCATTCCAGCCTGGGCAACAGACCAAGACTCTATCTCAAAAAAAAAAAAAAAAAAAAAAGTTGATGTGACCTCATTGCCTAGACTTGTGAAGTCTTGCAGTATTTTGATTTTATAAGTAATAAGTAGTTTACTAAGCAAAAGTATAGCACAATGCATCCTTTATACTATAACTATTAGATAGCTTTGGCACAGCAAAAATACTCTGACAATTTACTTCAGATATGAATCAATTAAGAAATTGAATTTCATGTAAAAAGTAAATCTGTAAATTACATTACTAAAATCTTATTTTCAAATGGTTCATTTTTATCTTGTTAATTGTCTGAACTGAGCATATTTAAAAATAAGTTATGCCAGGCCCGGTGGCTCACGCCTGTAATCCCAGCCCTTTAGGAGTCTGAGGCAGGCAGATCACGAGGTCAGGAGTTCGAGACCAGCCTGACCAACATGGTGAAACCCCATTAGCTGGGCGTGGTGGTGTGCCTGTAATCCCAGTTACTCAGGAGGCTGAGGCAGGAGAATCGCTTGAACCCAGGAGGCAGAGGTTGCAGTGAGCCGAGATTGCGCCATTGCAATCCAGCCTGGGTGACAGAGTGAGACTCCATCTCAAAATAAATAAATAAATAAATAAATAACATAAAAATAAAGTTAGATAAGGCTTTTAAGTAATAGTAGCATAAATAAAAAGTATTATTATAAAATTTAAAAATAAAATTCTAGTTAGATGAAGTCTCCCAAATGATAGCATTAATAAAAAGTGTCATAATTCTCCAACGGCTGCTCATTTTTGTTTCTTCTACTTAGTGCCACTTAGACAAGATAAATTGTTTGTCTTTTCTGGTATTTAAAAAGTGAACAGTTATGGATAATGAAACAAGTATCAGAAGTGTTGGTATATGTGTGTTGTGTACGTGTGTTTCTTTGAGGGTCTGTCTGAAATTCTCCTTAAGCCAAGTCAACCTGATCTCAGGTAGCTCTTGCCAGTGTAGTTAACTGATATTCCACTGGGGGTAGCTGTTGAAATAGAGTTTTGAACACCACCCATCCCAGCTGCTGCAAACCCAACCGTGGCCACTGAGGGGGCACCAAAGTGGGAGGTTAAGGAGCCTGGAGTTGAAAACCTCAGACTTGCATTCTTTCCAAGGAGAGTTTCCAGCGGCTGGAAAATCTATTTACTGACAGAGGAAAGGAGAGGGGTGAGCTTGACTTAGTCACTGGAGCAAACAGGTCTAGAGGATAAGAAAACACATCCAGTAAAAACATCAGAAAACCTAGAACCATCTCAGGTTAACCACCTGCCCCATGTGAAGAGTCAGGGTACATTGTGGGAGCGAGTCCACAGTTGTAGACAGGGGCACAGAGGAACCAGGGTCGGAGGCAGCCACAGGAAAGGTGAAGTGAAGGTTCAGAAGTGAAGGGTCCACCTCACAGGACAAGAGAAGCATGCCCTGAGCATTTTGGTCGCTGTTTTCTTTGATTTTATTCTCTGAAACCATCCTTCAGGCAGGAAAAGCCTTGGATCACAATTTGGAAGACCTGCATCTAGTCCCAGTTACATCCATCAACAACACTAGCTAATACAGTGGAAGATAAACCGGCCCTAAGCAAATCCACAGGGTGCAAGTTGGTCAGCCCATCGGGTTGGTTAAAATATCCATTTGTGGCTGACTGTGGTGACTCCTGCCTATAATCCCAGCACTTTGGGATGCTGAGGTGGGCAGACCACCTGAGGTCAGGGGTTTGAACCAGCCTGGCCAACGTGGCGAAACCCCATCTATGCTAAAAATATAAAATTAGCTGGGCATGGTGGCACGCACCTGTAATCCCAGGTACTTGGGAGGCTGAGGCTGGAGAATCGCTTGAACCCAGGAGTGGGAGGTTGCGGTGAGCCGAGATCGCGCCATTGCACTCCAGCCTGGGCAACAAGAGCAAAACTCTGACTCAAAAAAAAAAAAAATCCATTTTTTCCGAAAACCATATACCTAAGCACTGTTTTTTTCAAGAATTGATAACTCTGGTGGTGCATAAGGATGTGGTTTTGCAATATTTAAAATTTTTAGACACTTTTGTTATTTTTCAGTATTTGGGGTTGTTATATAAATAGAATAGTATAAGCCCCATATTATTTTATTTTTATTTTTATTTTGAGACAGGTTCTCGCTATGTCACCCAGGCTGGAGTGCAGTGGCACAATCTCGGCTTACTGCATCCTCGACCTAATGGGCTTAAGTGATCCTCCCACCTCAGCCTCCTCAGTAGCTGAGACTACAGCATGCACCACCACGCCTGGCTAATTTTTGTGTTTTCTGTGGAGATGGGGTTTCACCATGTTGCCCAGGCTGGTCTTGAATTCCTGAACTCAAGTGATCCTCCCTTCTTGGCCTTCTAATGTGTTGGAATTACAGGCATGAGCCACCATGACCAGCCAAGCCCCATATTATTTAATTCATCCTTGAATTAAATAATATATCATTATTTATAGAAAATATTTATAGCAAATATAATTGAGGCATAAGCTTTAGGCACTGGTTAACGATTGGTTAACAAACGAAGACTCTTGAAAGGGTAAGTGACTATACAAGAGTTAGAGAAGAATAGCTCCAAATTAGTCATTAAAATTTGTTCCCCAGAATTCTCAGTACCCCAGATAAACCCATTCTCTCCCTGGGTTCCCTGCCTCTTCTAGCAAGGATTAGGAGCATTCCCAAAAATCCTGTGGACTTGGGATAAAAGTGTCCCTCCCCAGCTTCTGCACTTACAACTACAGCAAAGAAGTCCGTTTACTTTTTTATTCTAAGTGAAACTTGGTTCCCTCCTGAAGTCACTGTTTTTTCTGCATCTCTCTCACAAGATGGCTGATGTACCACCGGGCCTACAGTTCGTGCATGGGTCCTCTTTGCTCCCACTGCCACTTCCAGATCATCCTCCCCATTCCCTAAAAACGCTCAGCTCTGAGTCTTGTGTCAGTCAGCTACTCATGCATTAATGCTCCTTTTCATTCATGTAATGACTTCCCAGATCATATGCCCTCATTCCTTAATGAATTTAGATCTTGACTCCAATATCATTCTCTCCAGCATTATTCCTGTGGTCATTCTTAGTGATTTCAACTTCTATATAAAAGATTATTAGTTACTTGGGAGGGTGAGGCAAGATAATTGCTTGAACCTGGGAGGCGGAGGCTGCAGTGAGCCGAGATTGCGCCTCTGCATTCCACTCTGGGCGACAGAGCAAGACTCTGTCTCAAAAAAAAAAAAAAAAAAAAAAAAAGATTATTAGTACCCTGGTGTTTTATTAAGGTTTCTCCTGAAAGCGAGTCTGAAACAAGGACCTGGGATAGAAGTGATTTCTTTGGGAGATAACCCAAGAGGCAGGAATGAGAAAGTAGGGAGAGTAAGATAAGGAAGGAGGAAAAGTGTGCCATCAAGGTCACCACCATGAACAAAGGGGACTCAGGTCCACTGAGATCTCTGGGAAGCATCCTGAGTGCCCCATAAAATTGTCCACCAATGGAACAGAGGTTGGGACACATATCCAGTGGCTGCTGACTCTCCTGGTTGGCAGTTGTCCCCAAAAGCATTGTCTTCCTTGTGCTTTGCTGCACTTGTCTGTGGACCTAGCAGGCTCCTGGACCTTCAGAGAAGACCTTGAGGTGAAAGCAGAAAGGAGAGGTGCTCTTTTCATGTGGGAAGGTATCAGGGACATCTGAGCTCACATAGAATGTTCATAGCCGCTGATGAAATCAGAAATAGGTCAAGAGGATGTGACTGAACACCGAAAGCGTCTGGTATGCCTGGCTTCTCCATTCCTTAACCTCCACTTTTCTAATGATTCTGTTCTCCTGTTCTCCAACTCAACTACTCTCTCTCTCTCTCTCTCTCTTTTCTTTTAGACAGAGTCTCACTCTATTTCCCAGTTAGTGGGTAATGGTGTGATCTCAGCTCACTGCAACCTCCACCTCCTGGTTTCAAGTGATTCTCATGCCTCAGCCTCCTGAGTAGCTGGGATTACAGGTGTGCGCCACCATGCCCAGCTAATTTTTGTATTTTTAGTAGAGACGGGGTTTCACCATGATGGCCAGCCTGGTCTCCAACTCCTGGCCTCAAGTGATCTGCCCTCCTTGGCCTCCCAAAGTGCTGGGATTACAGGCGTGAGCCACCGCGCCCAGCCAACTACTCTCAATCTTGATCAGAGTGTAGCCTTTGTCACTACCCATAATGCTCCCAATAACAACCTAAGCTCAATTTCATTCTCCAACTATCCCCTGCTATCTTTTCAGCCTAGTACCTCTTCCATCTTGACTCCAGCAATCCTTAGACTCCAATGTGAATGGACGGTACTTTGACCCTACTGTTTTTTCACTGTTCTTTGCCTCCTAATTCAGCTTAAATCCAAGGGTCGATCATCATACTCACTCCCTTGTATATATGCTCAATGCCCTCCATCATTCTCTCTCGGCAAAACCCCAACTTTGGTTACATCCAATTCTACGCCTGCACCCGAGTGGCTGAATATGTCTTTTGAATCAAACAGGTCCTGCCACGTAGGAGCTGTGAGACCTTAGGCACATTACTTAACCCTGGTGAATGTTAATTTCCTTAGCTATGCTGAGAGACCTCAATTAAAATCTGGGATAACTAGTCTCAAGTTGGCACTTAGGGATGCCCAGGAATCATTATATATTTCTCTTTCCTCTTCCACCATCATAGATAACAATTTCCCATCTTCTCCTTTTCTCCTTTCTTCTTAAACCTCACAGCATCCTCACTATCAGCTCATGACCTGGCTTCCAACTTCAATTAGAGAAGAGAAGCAATCGGAAGAGAATCTTCACTTCCAAGAGCCTATCGACGGTCTCGTGTCTATCCTCCTAGTAGGTGTGACTGTCCATGGTGCTAGCCAAGGTGCACCTCTCCCCATGTGTGCCCTAAGTGCCATCCTCTTGCCTTATCAAGAACATGGTTCTAGCACATTTTCTCCTTTCTATCCTTTCCATCATCATTTTTCCCCTTCTAAATGATGGATCATTCACATCAGCTACCTGACTCTTCCTCTTCTCAGGTGTGAAGTTTAAAAGATACTTAAGGCCGGGCGCAGTGGCTCACGCCTGTAATCCCAGCACTAAGGGAGGCCAAGGCGGGTGGATCACCTGAGGTCAGGAGTTCGAGACCAGCCTGACCAACATGGAGAAACCCCATCTCTACTAAAAATACATTAGCCAGGCATGGTGGCACATGCCTGTAACCCGGGAGGCAGAGGTTGCAGTGAGCCAAGATTGCACCATTGCACTCCAGCCTGGGCAACAAGAGTGAAACTCTGTCTCAAAAGAAACAAACAAAAAAAGATACTTAAGGTCTCCACAAGGAGGAATTAAATTCCTACATCAAATGTATTCATCTATGTAAAGTGCATAGAACTGTGTCTGACATATGGTAAGCATTATATGTTTTAGGTCTTATTATTACTACATTTACTGAGTGCTTACACGTGCAATACATTTTTTTCCTTTTTCTTTTTCTTTCTTTTTTTTTTTTTTGAGACAGAGTCCCGCCCTCTCACCCAGGCTGGAGTGCAGTGGTGCAATCTCGGCCCACTGCTCAACTCCCGGGTTCAAGCGATTCTCCTGCCTCAGCCTCCCCAGTAGCTGAGATTACAGGCACCCACCACCATGCCCAGCTAATTTTTGTATTTTTAGTAGAGACGGGGTTCCGTCATGTTGGCCAGGCTAGTCTCAAACTCCTGACCTCAGGTGATCTGCCCGCCTTGGCCTCCCAAAGTGCTGGGATTACAGGTGTGAGCCACTGTAATACATTACATTACAGATACAGACAAGGAAACTATGACTCAGCAGGGTTAAGTAATGTACCCAACGTCTCGTAGCTCATAAATGGCAGGATCTGTTTGGTTCTAAAGCACACATTCTTAAGTATTCTATGAGAAATTCTGGGCCACTGATGCACAAGAATTCTTGGCCACTGGTGTACAAGGAAAGTCACCTGGGATGCTTAGGGAAAAGGTAGATTTGGGGCCTCACTCCTGACCTGTAGAATCAGAATCTTCAGAGGGTAGAGCCTAGAAATCTGCTTTTAAAATAAGCACCCCAGGTTATTTTGATGTAAATGATCAGCCACATTTGACAAACTCCTTTATATATATTTTACTGCATACACAGAAAACAAATGAGAAGAATAAAACAAATGGCTAACAGTGGATATTTTAGGAGGTGGGAGAGAAAAGTTTATAGAGAACTTTCATTTTGTAAGGTATTATGGTTTAACATGATGGCTACATTTTCTTAAATTAGCAGGTGATTTTTTTTTTTTTTTGGAGACGGAGTTTCGCTCTTTGTTGCCCAGGCTGGAGTACAATGGCGTGATCTCGGCTCACCACAACCTCCCACTCCCGGGTTCAAGTGATTCTCTTGCCTCAGCCTCCCAAGTAGCTGGGATTACAGGCATGTGCCACCAAGCCTGGATAATTCTGTATTTTTAGTGGAGACAGGGTTTCTCCATTTTGGTCAGGCTGGTCTCGAACTCCCGACCTCAGGTGATCTGCCCACCTCAGCCTCCCAAAGTGCTGGGATTATAGATATGAGCCACTGTGCCCAGCCAGCAGGTGATTTTTAAAAAGATTTTAAATAAATAGAAGTAAAATTATCCCATTTTCTACTACTCACAAACACTGGTAACATTTTGAATATTTTTTCCAGTTTATCCACTATTCAGAGTAGGAAATAAAACTGTAGCTTTCTTTCTTTACAAAGTTGGAATTGTGGCACATATGTGGAATTTTGCATCCTATATTTTTACCTATTATATTCTGAGCATTTTCCCATGTAATTAATCACATAAGAGGCTATGAAATATAAGAAGGAATGGTTGATTTTTATATATGTCTTATATAAATATAAGAAGAAACATATGCTCATTTCTACTTGCCAACATAATTTCACGAAGCCCCTCTTACAACTTAAAAGCTTTGACTTTTAAGGTCAAAGGTGAGGTATGATGGCTCACAGCTGTAATCCCAGCGCTTTAGGAGGCTGAGGTGGGAGGATTGCTTGAAGCCAGGAATTTGAGACCAGCCTGGCCAATATGGTAAAACCCCATTTCTATACAAAAATTAGCCGGGCTTGGTGGCTCACATCTGTAATTCCAGCTATTCAGGCCGCTGAGGCGTTGAGAATCGCTTGAACCTGGGAGGTGGGAGTTGCAGTGAGTGGAGATCATGCCACCTCACTCTATCCTGGGCGATAGAGCAAGACTCTGTCTCAAAAAGAAGAAGAAGAAAAGAAAGTGTGAAAAAAAAAGGCACAAATTTTTTTTTCAGTAATTTATACCATACTGCTGAGTGAAAACAAATATGTTAAAGAATATATGTAGTATACCATCATTTGTGGGGAGAGAAAAAATAATACATACATGAATGCTTATACATGCACAGAATGTCCTAGGCATTCACAAGAAACATAACTGTTGTCTATGAGAAGAAAGAATGGATGCCTGGGGGACTGTGGAGGAAGGCAGGCCTATTTTTTAAAAATTTTCCCCGAATATTTAATTATGAAAAATTTTAAACATATAGATGAGTTGGTTTTACACAGGGAACCCTAGCATAGCCACCACCTAGACTCTACCATTAACATTTTACTATACTTGCCATATATATATATATATATATATATATATATACATACTTTTTTTTTTTTTTTGAGACAGAGTTTCACTCTTGTTGTCCAGGCTGAAGTGCAGTGGCGCAATCTTGGCTCACTGCAACCTCTGCCTCCTGGGTTCAAGCTATTCTCCTGCCTCAGCCCCCTGAGTAGGTGGGATTATAGGTGCCCGCCACCACTCCCGGCTAATTTTTTGTATTTTTAGTAGAGACAAGGTTTCACCATGTTGGCCAGGCTGGTCTTGAACCCTTGATCTCAGGTGATCCACCTGCCTCGGCCTCCCAAAGTGCAGGGATTACAGGCGTGAGCCACCACGCCAGGCCCGCTTTATCAGTGTTTCTACCCAACCATCAGTTCATCTTATTTTTTGATACATTTCCAAGTAAATTATAAATATAGATTCACTTACTCCTAAATTCTTCAGTATGGGTAGCATTAAACTTCAAATTTTGTTAACTATTTTCTCTTTGAATTAAATGCACATTTTTTAAAAATTTTATTATTTTTTATAGCGATAGCTACTTTGCACAGGCTGGTCTCGAACCCCTGGGCTCAAGTGATCTGCCTGCCTTCGCCTCCCAAAGTGCTGGGCTTACAGGATTGCACCACTGTGCTTGGCTGAAATGCATAAATCTTAAGGGTATACTGGCTGAGTTTTGACAAGTGCATACACCTGAATAACTGAAGTCCCTACCACAATATAGAACATTACATCACCCCAGAAAGTCGAAGGAAGACTACTTTTGATTGTATTATTTTTAGCACCTTCTGAATTTTGTATTATGTGCCTGCGCTATTTTTAAGAAATAAATATTTAAGCATTTTAAATATTTAAACATTTTTATAACAGTGGGCCGATTCTAAATTGGATGAGAAAGAGTGAAAACAGGAGATGGCAGATAACAGGTGGGGTCAA
Source organism: Homo sapiens (assembly GCF_000001405.40). Lineage (NCBI taxonomy): Eukaryota > Metazoa > Chordata > Mammalia > Primates > Hominidae > Homo > Homo sapiens. The sequence goes on from NC_000011.10 coordinate 108,007,519, forward strand.
TGGAATGGAGAACTTATTGAAGTCAGAGTTGTAGCAGTGGTGTTTCCAGAACAAGTGAGTTAGGAAAATTGGAATGCTTCGGTTGACAGTAGGACGCTGAAATCAAGCTCTCAAAAGTTGTCTTAAGGTTCAGTTAAGCATAAGCAAAGGGTGGCTTGGGTAGATGGAGATTAGGATACTAGTTTCCTTTCCCTTCCTACGCTCTCAAGTGCACACTGTATTTTTTTGTTTGTAGTTTTTTTTTGTTTTTTTTGTTTTTTTTTTGAGACAAGAGTCTCGCTCTGTCGTCCAGGCTGGAGTGCAATAGCGCGATCTCGGCTCACTGCAATCTCCACCTTCAGGGTTCAAGCGATTCTCCTGCTTCAGCCTCCCGAGTAGCTGGGATTACAGGTGCCCGCCACCATGCCCGGCTAATTTGTGTATTTTTAGTAGAGACAGGGGTTCACCATGTTGGCCAGGCTGGTCGCGGACTCCTGACCGCAGGTGTCTCGGCCTCCCAAAGTGCCGATTATAGGCGTGAGCCACGGGGCCCTATAGGGATTATAGGCGTGAGCCACTGCGCCCGGCCTCTTTGCAATATTTATCACAACTCCCACTAAGTAATATTTGACTTGTGTAGCCATCCTTAACATTTGGCTACCTTATTAGGCCATAAACTCCAAACGAGCAGGGGTCTTCTCTTTTATTTAATCCTGTATTTCCTGTGCCTAGTATATACAAGTGCTCAAACAAGTATTAACTACTTGATTGGATTCTTTAAGTAGGCCCATCCCTCTTCTCTTAGTCCAGAGCTCTTACTTATTTCTACGCATTATGGCCGTATGAAGGCTGTTTGTAAACCTGCAAAATACAATACCAGGTATCCTGCAGGTTCCACATGTAAATTATATTATCTCATTGGCCAGTGGTGTGTGGTCTGAAGGGGTAAAACCCGGAGGCTTATGGTTTAGGATCTTCTAGGATAATGTGCCTTCAGAAAATCGAAGATTAATATTCATTCTCTAAACAATCTTTTTTTTTTTTTTTCAAACTTTTTTGTAATGACGAGGGTGTTGAACTGGCCTCAAGTGATCCTCCCCCTTCGGCCTCCCAAAGCACTGAACAATATTTTATCTAAGTGCCAAGCATTCCTGAATAGAAATATTAAGAGTCATCACGCTTGTGCAGTCAACACATATTTACTGGGCGCATTCTATGCACGAGTTATTGAAGACAGCTGTTGTAAGCATTTCAGGACAATGCACCTCCCTTAACACCGAGTCCGGGATTTGGGGCGGGGTGCCGGAAAACGCCAGGTCCCGCCAGCAGAGGGCACGGTCCCGGCCTCGCTGCAGCCTCGGGACCCACCGAGGCTTCCAGGCTCCCACGCTCGCTCCCGAGCGCGTCCCCGCCCTCGCGTCACGTGACGTGGCCGCGGAACCTGAGCTGCGGGGCCTAAGCCGAGCTAAATTCGTTGCAGGTGGCCGCGGCGGGTGCAACCACAAAGGCTAATCCGAAGGAGTCGGGGAGGCTCGTGGAGTCGATGCTTCCTCTTCCAAGTCAGGTCGGCTCCCGTTACCTTCTCAGCATTCGCCGTTCCGGTCTTCCTGAGCGCGTGCATGAGGTCTTTCGCGTGGGGAAGCTCCGGTGACCATGTAGGGGAGAAGAGTGAGGAAGCTCCTGGTGCTTGGGACGAGGTCAGCGCTGTCGGCGCGCTGCTCCAGCGCCCACCACACCCTGGTGCGGGCCGACGGGCCCTGGGCCCTGGTGGGAGCTCCGGCCTCCGGTCAAGGCCTGGCCGGGAGCGCCACGAATTCTCGCGTCGTCTCGCGAGAGTCCAAGTTAAAGAACATGGCGACGTCTAATCTGTTAAAGGTAAGACCCTCACTCCAGCTTGGGTTTTACTGTGTGGCCGCCGGGTTCGGCTCTTTGGGAAAGGCACGGCTCAGGTTCAGCTGCGAAGTGTGGGAGTGTTCAGGGGTTGTCCACTGGCAGGGAAGCCGCGGTGGCAGCCGGCGAGTACCGGAACGCGGGTCTGTGGCCTTGGGGTCGACAGGCTCTGGTGGTCGCTCCCGCCGACTGGCCGCTGGGAGAAAAGCCTGGCTGAGCGCTGGCGAGGAGCGATGCTTTCAAGGGACCAGCTCTGGCCGGGAGCGGGAGATGAATGGTCGTGCGGTGTCCTGACCAGCTGGGCCGTTAGTACTGTTAGGTCTCAGTTTCTTGTAAAGCAATGTCTAAGACGCATCAAAGGAAAAACCAAGAAAATGCTGCCTAACAGGTTTCAGTGACTCGACCCCCCACTTCTTCCATTTCTGTTCTCGTTCTGTCTGCACGAAATTCCGAGTCAGACCAGCAGTGCCTCCCACTCCACCCCCCTTCCTCCCTTTTCTGCGTGTTACACCTTCCCTCCTAATTCTCCCATTCTTGAGTTCATCTTTTTCCTTAGGAAACTGCTTTCTAACCCCCACCCAGTTACAGGACACAACCAGATGACAACTGATGAAGCGATACCATCGTTTTAGGGCGCAGGAAAGTTACCTTGTCAAAGACAGTATTTAAAGTTAGTTTTATATAGCAAGGGAGATCTAGGCCCACAGGGGCAGATTCTCCACCAGTTAAAAAGTTTGGAGAAGAATGAGGAAGACTTAGAACTAGTCTGTTCTGTGTATGTGTCTGTAGTAGTTAATCATTTGCCTTAAAAGTACGGACAGAAATGGGGGTAGTGAATAGCTCAGGGAACATAATATTAATGGCAAAAACCGCAGTCACTTTTGCACCAGCCTAATACAAAGGATGAACCACTTCTTCCTGAGGCCTCTCATGCCTTCAGGCAATGTGGATGAATACTAGAAAATAATAGAAAATATACAGGAACCTAACCATCATGTCTTCTTTAGACCACTGATATTTGATTGTCTAATAGATGGGACTGTCTCATAAAATGAAGAACAAATTTTACTAAGAGGCAGTACTGTATATCACCTTTTAAAAGGGAGAGGGGCCCTAGAATTAGACTCCCTGAATAGCCACCACTTAAAAGCTGTATGACTTTGGGCAAGTTTCCTTATGAGTAGGACAGCATTATCAGTAGCGCCTGTATCATAGGAACATTGTGAAGATTAAATTAGTTAATATATCTATAATGCTTAAAACAGTGCCTGGCACTTAATTAGTATAATACAATAAATTACTATAACTACTCCCCCTCTTTCTTTAAGAAAACTAATTCGGGGAATTGAGTAACCCATCCCACTCTGCTTTTCTCTTTTATAATGGTATAGCAAATTTCTCATGCTTTACTTCAGAAAGAAAATTTGTGGGCTGGGCACAGTGGCTCACTCCTGTAATCTCAGCTCTTTGAGAGGCCAAGGTGGGAGGATTGTTTTAGATACATTAATTTAATCTTCACAGTGTTCCTACAATATAGGTGCTATTGATAATTCTGAGTTAGAGGTTATAGTTAACTATGATCACGCCACTGCTCTGTGAGACTCTAAATGAAAAAAGAAAAGGAAAGAAAATTTGTTTTATTTCTGAAGACTCCTATTAATGCATCTGTGTGTTTACATAAACAGTATGCTATTAATTGAAACGTGTTTAAGAAGTAATTTTGTCCGTGATTCTGGAAAATTTTGACTTGTTGATTACCTGGATATAAAGCAAGGTCTTTTTCTCCCGAAAAATAACTCTCAGAAAAGAGTAAGTCACTGTTCTACTTACAAAACCTCACAAAGGATTGTTTGGAGGAGAAGCTACTTTGGTCTATATTAGTTAAGTACTTACCTGTGGAAGCTATTTTGGTTCATATTAGTTAAGTACTTACCTGTGGAAGCTACTTTGGTTCATATTAGTTAAGTACTTGTGGAAATTCTGAATCTACATCCACAGCACAGACCTGTGAATGGGAAAACTGCCTGAATATACAGAAAACGGGGTACTTAGGGTTTAGGTTTAAAAGCTCACAAGAATTTAAAAAGTGTTTTAACTTGAACATTTACAAATAAAGGGAAGGTGATAATATTTTGAAAAAAAGTAAGTGACTCAGTGACTCTAGTGAACTTTCTTGATGTGTAACTTAGAAGTTAGAAGCCAATGTCATAAAAAAAACCACCAGCTTTTCTTTCTTTTTAATTTTTTTTTTTTTGGAGGGGGACGGAGTCTCGCTCTGTTGCCAGGCTGGAGTTCAGTGGTGCGATCTTGGTTCACTGCAACTTCCGCCTCCCGGGTTCAAGCGATTCTTCTGCCTCAGCGTCCCGAGTAGCTGGGACTACAGGCGCACGCCACCACGCCCAGCTAATTTTTGTATTTTTAGTAGAGACAGGGTTTCACCATGTTGGCTAGGATGGTCTCCATCTCTTGACCTCATGATCCACCCTCCTCGACCTCTCAAAGTGCTGGGATTATAGGCGTGAGCCACCATGTCTAGCTGCTTTTCTTTTTTAATATTGGAATTTGACTCTAATAATTTTATTGTCTGTTTAAAGCAAGTGGACTATTGCTGGATCTTAGAAGTCTTTCAGCTATGTAAAGATTTGTGTAGCACATTTTGACATATACAGTTAACTGCTTAGGGGTTTTGTATCTCTGAAAACCTTTCCATGTAACTACTTTATCTTTGTTGTTTTTCCTTACAGAGTGAGTCTGTAGAACATTTGTAGGGATCTGATATTATAATTTTATCTTCTGTTTTAGATTACTTTGAACATGTAATTGTGATTGTTCCTTTTCTTTTGCAATTATCATCTGGGCCCTTAGTGCTCATTTTTTTCATTTCCAGTTTATTGTTCCACCCCAAACAGCAATTGTTTAAACCTTTTCTTGCTGAGCCTCACCCCTCTTAATTCTTAGTACATTACTTTACCCAGCTATTTGAAGTGCCCTTAACTTCCTTGGTCGATACCAAACATTTTTCTTGTTTCTCCTATGTTCTTCTCTGTTCCATGCTACCTCCCAAATTGTCTCATTCTGCTTGTTCTTTTTCAGTCCTCATCTTCCCCCCAGGACTTGGTGGTATGTCCCCTCTTACTTTTTTTTTTTTTTTTTCAGTTTCCCTTTTTTCTCCTATGCCTATAAGAAAGTTCATATGTCGCGTCATATAAACTTTTCTTTTTTTTGGAGATGGAGTTTCGCTCTTGTTGCCCAGGCTGGAGTGCAGTGGTGTGGATCTCCACTCACTGCAACCTCCGCCTCCCAGGTTCAAGCAATTCTCCTGCCTCAACCTCCTGAGTAGCTGGGATTACAGGCACACGCCACCACACCCAGCTTATTTTTGTATTTTTAGTAGAGACGGGATTTTACCATATTGGCCAGGATGGTCTCAAACTCCTGACCTCAAGCGATCCGCCTACCTCGGCCACCCAAAGTGTTGGGATTACAGGCGTGAGCCACTGCACTCTGCCTCCTCATACAAACTTGTACTCTGCCTCTGCCTCAAACTTCTGTTTCTCACTGTCACAGTTCTTGGAAAAGCAGCCCCCATTTGCTGCCTTTATAATTCTTTGCCCTTTAACTTAATGATATGGCTTACTCTTCTCTCCCACCCAATTGTATAGAACCTGTCAGTCATAAAAGTATTAGCAACCTCCTGATTATCAAATGAGATTCTTCTCTGATAATATTTATCCTCTTTTCTGGTATTATTGCTCATTTCCTCTGCTTCTCTTTTGGTTTTTATGACATTCCCTCCTTGGTCTTCTCTCTCTCAAATCACGTTTGTTTTTCACTGACTTCCCTCCCCTGTCCCCAATAGAATTATTTCTCAGGATTTTATCTTCAGCCCTTTTCTATCTTTGTATATTTTTTTCTGGGACAGTCTTAACTCCCATGATTTCACTATTTTTATCTCTTAGCTCTGATCTGAGCTCTAGATCAAAATGCAGTTCTCACCATATCACTTTCCTGTTCAGATACCTTTGATGATTCAAATTATTTGAGATCTTTCCAGCTGGGTCTTCTCCTGATAACTAGTATTCTCTCTCTCTGTCTCTTGTCTCTCTCTCTCATACATGTGTGCGTACACACTCCTACTTAGCTGGTTACTTGTTGGCTCACTAGCATGCCAGAGGTCGTCATCTCCCTAATAACTAACTCTTAACTTTCATTCTCTCTCCTTCTGATTGGATCTAGTGAGATGGAGGCACAAGAAGGCAGTAGTATATAACCGAACCACAAGATAAATCAAACTTTAAACTGAAATATGATTCATACTACTTTTCTCAGTGGACTTTTTTTTATCCTTTAAGAGGAAAGAAAATGGAAATGTAAAGCAGTGATTCAGAGTGTCTATAGAGGCCGGGCATGGTGGCTCATGCCTGTAATCCCAGCACTTTGGGAGGATGAGGTGAGAGGATTACCTGAGGCCGACCTGGGCAATGTAGCAAGACCCTGTCTCTATAAAACAACAACAATAAAAAGTGCCTGTAAAAGTTATTCATTATTAAAATAACTTTATTGACATCCATATGCAAGGTACCATGGAGAATGCAAAGATATGTAGAACAATGTCCATGCTCTTTGGGAATTTACCATATGCTAAAGGAGAGTAAAAGGTACTAATGATTTATGATAAGGCAAAAGTTTCAGATGTGTTACCAACTGCTCTATGCTCCCTCACAGATTGAGGAAATAATTTCTGGTGGGATGATCAGTGAAAATTTTATGGAGAAAGTGTTGGAGCTGGATTTTGAATAAAGTGTTGGAGCTGGATTTTGAATAATGGGTAAGCTTTTTGTATTGGTAATTAGGAGAAAATTTGGTAGGAATCTAGGCTAGATCAGTGTGGCTGCAGTGTAAGCAGGGCTGCATGCTGTGTTAGATATTCTATATGAATAGTGTTCCTTGGGATTGTTGCAGCATAGAAACCCAGAATACAGGGAAACAACAAGAGGGATAGGAGTGAAAGGGAAGTCGGGTCAGATTACAAAGGGCCTTCAGTGCTAGGCAAGGGGTTTGAAATAAAGTTCTATAGTTACTGAGGAATATTTGAAAAATATGTGGGCAGAGATACTCTCAAGCCCTCAATCTATTTTTGGCTTTTACACATAAATAAAAGTTATTATATTTTCTGTATATTTATAATCTGCTTGTGAGATTGGCCATGGATGAGGGGCATTTGTGCCAGTGACATCTTGTTCATTGAAACCGTAACCATAGCAGGAGTAATTAAGTCTATGGGAAATACATTTATTCATTGAACGAGAATTTAGTATTTCCTAATTCTAACTAGATAATGATGAACTAGGCAGACAGCTCCTGCCCTTGTATAATTTACATTTTTGTTGGGAAGAGAGACAATAAACATAAACAGTGAAATACATACTGTAAGTCAAGTTGTGATAGGTACTATGAATAAAAACAACCAGGGTAAAAGAGAGAGTGCTCGGTGCTCTTATTATTATTATTATTTTTATTTTTATTTTTGAGACGGGGTCTCACTCTCTTGCCCAGGCTGGAGTGCAGTGGCACGATCTTGGCTCACTGCAACCTCCACCTCCTGGGTTCAAGCAATTCTCCTTCCTCAGCCTCCCGAGTAGTTGGGATTACCGGTGACCACCACCATGCTCGGCTGATTTTTGCATTTTTAGTAGAGATGGGGTTTCACCATGTTGGCCAGGCTAGTGTTGAACTCCTGACCTTAAGTGATCCTCCCACCTCAGCCTCCCAAAGTGCTGGGATTACAGGCATGAGCCATCACAGCTGGCTTATTTTTGATAAGATAGTGAGGGAATGCCTCTGAGGAGATAATAGTTGAGGTAAAACCAGAATGAAGCAAGGGAGCAAGTCATGTACATATTTAGAAGAGTTCCTTGTAGAGGGAACAGCCAGTGTGAAAGCACAGAGTCAGGATCATGCTTGGCAAGGAATATGGATGTGATACGAAGATTTGAATATCATCGGTGAATGTGGTTAAGGTGCATAACCAGAGAATTCTTTTTAATATGTCTAGTTAAACATAAATGAGAACCTTATTAAGAACTTGTCAATTTTTCATTGGGTTGATAGAAATTGCCCTCTTGAAACGTATATCTAAGAGGGACATGGGCCTTAGAGCGGCCTTCCCCTCCTTCAGTGTACTGTCCTAGAGAGATGGTTGCATTCGACACAGCCTAGGGAGGAAACAAATTTCAAGGGTGTCTGTGTTGGTCATGGGTAGGAATGGGAGAGGGAATAGTGGACTAATCAGTAACTGTAAAACTTTGTGATACATGTAAATGGTAGAATCTTTCATGTTCTATGAAAATAAATGATTGAACAATTACCATAATCTGGAGGTGATGTATGTTAATTAAAACTTCTAAAAGGAAGTGGCAGCTCAGGGTAAATTTTGATCAGTCATTTTTCAGTAGATTAGAGGAGGGGAATTTTAGACTGCTGGAAGGTAGAAAGAGGATACTAGGCATCTTTCTAGTAAAAAGAGAGGTTTTGTTTTTGTTTTTGTTTGTTTTGAGAGGAGGTCTCACTCTCACACAAGCTGCAGTGCAGTGGCATGATCATGGCTCACTGCAGTCTTGATCTCCCAGGATCAAGCGATCCTCCCACTTTAGCCTCCTGAGTGGCTGAGACTACAGGCACATACCACCCTAGGTCTGGCTAATTTTTTATAGAGATGGGATCTCACCATATTGCCCAGACTGGTCTCCACTCCTGAGCTCCAGTGATCTTCCTGCGTAGGCCTCCCAAAGTGCTGGGATTACAGGAATGAGCAAAAGAGCTAGTCAGCCAGAGAGGTTTTTCTTTTCTCTTCTCTTCTCTTCTCGTCTTCTCTTCTCTTCTCTTTTCTTTTCTGTTGAGACAGGGTCTCACTCTGTCCCCCAGTCTGGAGTACAGTGGCGCAGTCACAGCTCCCTACAGCCTTGACCTCCTCAGGCTCAGGTAATCCTCCCACCTCATCCTCCCACAGGTGCAACACCAGCATTCCCAGCTCATTTAAAAAAATGTTTAGAGACAGGGTTTTGCCATGTTGTCCAGGCTAGTCTGGAATTCCTGGGCTCAAGCAATCTGCCCTGTCCTTCCAAAGTGCTGGGATTACTGGCGTGAGCTACCACCCCTACTTGAGGTTTCTCTTAATAAATATTTTGCTTAGTGTCCTGGTGAACCCAGTTGTCAGTAAGAGCCATTTGCCTCCTGCCTTGGTTAGTAGGTGGAGGAAATAGATGCCTCATATGCTCTGTAAGGAAAGCAGGGCTGGGTGCAGTAACTCACACCTGTAATCCCAGTGATTTGGGAGGCCAAGGTGAGAGTATTGCTTGAGGCCAGGAGTTTGATACCAGCCTGGGCAACCCCATTTGTACAAAAACAAACAAAAAAAAACAAACAAAAAGCAGGATACAGCTCAGGTTAAAACTTTGGTCAGAGGCTGGATGCAGTGGCTCATGCCCAACACTTTGGAAAGCAGAGGCAGGAGGATCATTTGAGGCCAGGAGTTGGAGACTAGATTGGGCAGCATAGCAAGACCTACCACCTCTACAAAAATAAAAATTAGAAAACATTGGTCAAATCCATGGAGTACATACAAATAATATCAAAGGTAATTGATCTGTGTAGCTGTGGTTTGTTCATTCCATAAAAATCTGAGCATTTATGCTGTACTGGATACCATTTTAAATTTCAGGCTGGGCACAGTGGCTCACACCTGTAATCCAAGCACTTTGGGAGATTGAGGTGGGTGGATTACCTGAGCCCAGGAATTTTAGCCCACCCTGAACAGCATGGTGAAACTCGTCTCTACAAAAAATAAAAAATAAATACCTGGGGGTGGTGGTGTACGGTTTTAGTTCTAGCTACTCAGGAAGCTGAGTTGGGAGGCTTGCTTGAGCCCAGGAGGTTGAGGCTGCAGTGAATTGAGATCGCACCACTGCACTCCAGACTGGGCGACAAAGCAAGACCCTGTCTCAAAAAAAAAAAAAAAAAAAAAGTATCAGTGATACAATAGTGAATATGACAAAGTTCTTAGACTTTGGGGCTTATATCCTGATGGATGAATACTGACACTAAAGACATAAAGAATACACTTGCATAGTTTTTACTGGTAATTAGGGCGGTAGCGAAAACAACGTGATAAGAATGTTCAAGGCCGGATGCGGAGGCTCACGCCTGTAATTGCAGCACTTTGAGAAGCCCAGGTGGGAAGATCGCTTGAGCCCAGGAGTTCAAGACCAGTCTGGGCAACATAGTAAGACCTCATCTCTACAAAAAATTTAATAATTATCCAGGCATGTTAGTGCATGCCTGTAATCTCAGCTACATGGGAGGCTGAGGCAGGAGGATTGCTTGAGCACAGATCAAGGCTGCAGTGAGCAATGTTTATGCTGCTGCACTCTAGCCTGGACGACAGAGTGAGACCCTGTCTCAAAAAAAAAAAGTGTTCGGAAGGTGGAGCCACTATTTTACTCACTTATTTACAACAGAAAATAATTTTTCCCCAAAAAACTGCTTTTGACTATTTTTTGTTGAATGTTCTTTTTCTTCCTCATGTTGACATTTCAGCCAGATCCTATAGCTTTCCTGGGCTTTTCTTAAAAGTCTGGTTATTCCAAATTAAAATTTCAGTCTCATAGCCAATCAGAGTGTCTCTTGTACCATCTCAAGACTTTGTCTCTGGATGTGCAGAGAGGAATGGAGGAAGGGCATTTTTCTTAGGTTGGTTTGGGAGGCCTGAGGTGGCATTGGAGCTGAGACCTGAATGATCTGCATTCTAAGGCAAAGGTCTTGAGGTGCAGTGATGAGCTTGGCCTGTTTGAGGAACACCTTTAAAAGGTTGCTGTGGCTGGAACATAGAATTGCAGTAGTAAGAATTACTGGTATTCAAATATATACAATCAGCCCTCAGTATTCATGAGTTCCATGTCTGTGGATTCAACCAACCAAAGATTAAAAATACTCAGAAAAGGCTGGGGGTGATGGCGCATGCCTATAATCCCAGCACTTTGGGAGGCTGAGGCAGGCGGATCATGTGAGGTCAGGAGTTCAAGACCATCCTGGCCAACATGGTGAAACCCCATCTCTACTAAAAAAAAAAAAATACAAAAATTAGCTGAGTGTGGTGGCACATGCCAGTAGTCCCAGCTACGCAGGAGGCTGAGGCAGGAGAATCACTTGAACCCACGAGGCAGAGGTTGCAGGGAGCCGAGATCACGCCATTGCACTCCAGCCTGGGTGACGGAGTGAGACTGTGTCTTAAAAAAAAAAGAGAGAGAGAAACATCACATATATGCACTTAATGTGGCACCCGCACACATTTATTTTTATTAAGCCACCTCACTTTTGTTGAGATAAGAAAGATTTTATGAATCCCCTATAGATGCAAGTAGTGTACTTGCAATGTAACAATGGTTATGAGCTCAGCCTCTGCAGCCACACTGCTTGGGTTGGCCTCCAGGTTCTGCCATTTGCTAGCTGTGTGGTATTGGGCAAGTTACTTAACATCTCTGTGCCTCAGTTTCTATATCTATAAATAGCAGTGATCTCAAAAAAACCTCAGAAAAAAATTGCGTCTGTATTGAATATGTACAGACCTTTTTTTCTTATAATTCCCTAAACAGTACAGTATAGCAGCTGTTAGCATTTACATTATAGTAGGTATTGTAAGTAATTTAGAGATGGTTTAAAGTGTATGGGAGGATGTGCATGGGTAATAAGCAAATGCTATGCCATTTTCTATCAAGGACTTGAACATGTATGGGTTTTGGTATCCCGATGGGTGGGGGTGGGGGTGGGGTGGGGTGGATCCTGGAATCATTTCCCCACAGATACCAAGGGACAACTGTACAGTAGTTTGATTCTTTTGGTTAGTGGGGATTGGCAAATGGGGTTTTAAAATCACATAACTGGGAGCAATAGTGGCTTCATAAACAGTAAGGGAACCCACACATTCAAATAACTAACCTCATAATTCACATGAATTATCTAAAATACGACAACTGAGTTCCTTTGGTAAAGTTATTAGAGTGCCATTAATTGGATATACAGTCATTTACTGCATATTGATGTTTTGGTCAACAACGGATCACATATATAATGGTGGTCTTATAGGATTATAATGGGAGCTAAAAAATTCCTATTGTCTGGCAATGTTTATTGTAGCCCTTGTAACGTAGTAGTGCAATAACACATCACTCGTGTCTGTGGCGATGCTGGTGTACATAAAACTATTGTGCTGTCACTCTTATAAAAGTCTAGCACATATAATTGTATACAGTACATAATCCTTGGATAATAGGATAATAAAATTATTATCCTAATAATAATAAGTGACTGTGTTACTGGTTTATGTATATCTTAGTCCATTTGTGTTGCTATAAAGGAATACCTGAGACTGGGTAATTTATAAAGAAAAGGTTTATTTGGCCCACAGTTCTGTAGGCTGGTGAGGTCCTCAGCCTGCTTCTACTCATGGCAGAAGGTGAAAGGGATCCTGTGTGTGTAGAGATCACACGGCAAGAAAGGAAGCAAGAGAGTGGGGAGAGGTACCAGGCTCTTTTTAACAACCAACTCTCAGGGAACTAACAGTGAGAACTCACTCACTGCTCACCACCCTGCCCCCACCCCCACTGGCATTCATCTGTACATGAGGGATCCACCACCATGACCCAACACTTTTCATTAGGCCCACTTACAACATTGGGGATCAAATTTCAACATGAGGCTTGGTGGACAAACATCCAAACTGTAGCAGTACATTTACTGTTATATACTTGTTTTTGTTTTTAGTGTGTGTACCCTCTAATAAATTTAAAAGTTAACTGTAAAATAGCCTCAGTCAGGTCCTTTAGGAGGCATTCCAGAAGAAGGCGTTGTTACCATAGGAGATGACAGCCCCATTCAGGTTAGCGTTCCCGAAGACTTTCCAGTGGGACAAGATGTGAAGGTTGAAGACAGTGATGATGATCCTGACCCTGTGGAGGCCTAGGCTAGTGTGTATGTGTGTCTTAGTTTTTAATGAAAAAGATTGAGAATAAAAAACCTTTTTTTAATAGAAAAGTTTATAGAATAAGGATATAAAGAAAGTAAATATGTTTGTGCAGCTGAATGTGTTTGTGATTTTTTTTTTTTTGTTTTTTGTTTAAAATAGAGACAGGGTCTCACCACGTTGCCCAGGCTGGTCTCAAACTCCTGAGCTCAAGTGATCTTTGCACCTCAGCCTCCCAGAGGGCTAGGATTAGAGGCGTGAGCCACTGTGCCTGGCCTTGTGTTTGTGTTTCACGATAAGTGTTATTTACAAAAAAGTCAAAGTTTCCCAAAAAGAGGAAAGGTTTTTAAAGTAAAAAAGTTACAATGAGCTTATATTAATTTATTATTGAAGAAAAATATTTTTGGATAATTTAGCATAGCCTAAGTGTTTATAAAGTGTACAGTAATGTCCTAGACCTTCACATTCACTCACTACTCACTCACTGACTCACCTAGAGCATCTTCCAGTCCTGCAGGCTCCATTCATGGTGAGTGCCCAATTTAGGTCTACCATTTTTTATCTTTCATACTGTATTTTTACTGTACCTTTTCTATGTTTAGATACACAAATTCTTACCACTTTGTCCTAATTGCCTCCAGCTTCAGTACAGTTACATGCTATATAGGTTGGTAGCCTAGGATAATAGACTATACCATTTAGCCTAAGTGTATAGTAAGTAGTCTCTACCATTAGATTTGTGTAAGTACATGCTGTTATTTTCACACAACGATGAAATTGCTTAACGATGCATTTCTCAGAATGTCATTAAGTGACACATGGCTCTAATCCACAATCAGTATGGCGGGAACTTCACAAATCTTAAAACAACTAAACTGGTTGTGTGGTGTTCAAAATGTTATGGGCGTGTAAAAGTAAGGTGATAAAAAAATTGCCATTAATTCTATGGATGCCATTATTTCTTGCTCTTCCTTCAGCTTGTCTTTTCATCTTAGCTTTTCTTACACCTTTGTCCTAAGCAAGATGTAGCAAGATATACAGCAATAATAACAAATTCTTTGTTTCCTTGTATTATTTTTAAATTTTATTCATTTTTTAGAGACAGGGTCTTACTCTGTCACTCAGACTGGAGTGCAGTGGGATTATCATAGGTCACTGCAGCCTTGAATTCCCGAGCTTAAGCAGTGCTCTTGCCTCAACCTCTGGAGTAGCTGTTGGGACTACTGGTGTGCACCACCACACCCAGTTAATATTTTATTTTATTTTTTATTATTTTATTTTATTTTGTTTTTGTAGAGATGGGGTCTCACCATGTTGCCCAGGCTAGTTTCAAACTCGTGGCCTCAAGTGATTGTCCTGCCTTGACCTCCCACAGTAATGGGATTATAGGCATGAGCCACACCGCCCAGTTTATTTATTTATTTTTCAGAGACAGGGTCTCACTTTGTTCCTCAGGCTGGAATGCAGTGGCATGATCATAGCTCACTGCAGCCTCGAACTCCTGGGCCCAAGCAGTTGTCCCGCCTCAGCCTCTGGAGTAGCTAGGACTGCAAGTGTGCCCCACCATGCCCATCTATCTATCTGTATCTATCTACCTATCTATCCATCGATCCATCCATTCTTAGAGATGGGGTCTTTCTTTGATGCCCAGGCTGGTCTTGAAATCCTAGCCTCAAGTGATCCTCCCACCGTGCTGGAATTATAGGCATGAGCCCTCTCTGTTTTCTTTTAAATGCAACATTTGACATCATTAAAATATTGCCATAATATTGTTTCTATAATTTGATGTGGTATGTTTTGTCCCAGGCGTTATGTAGGGATTTCTGGGTGTTTTCGGGGCGAACCAGTAGGTCAACATTTGTATTATTTTGTTGTAAAGTAAGTGAATTATTTAAAAATGATTCTATTGAATCATTTTGCAAGCCAGTGGATTTTTCTATTTTTGTTTACATTCTTGTGTTTAAACATTTTTATTTTTTAACATGATAACAAATACTGTATTTCTACACCATTATATATCTGCTCCTTTACTCATGACCTAGTAAAGTGGGATTGTTACAGATACGCTAATTGCTTGAAAATGCACTCCTAAATTTCAGTGGGGGATATGCATTTTTTTTAAGCAGTGATATGTTCTAGAAAGATCTATGTAACATCTTATATTTCTGGCTGATAACACTTACCCCCAGCCCAAACACATTTTCTTTTTCCTAAGCCAATTAACACAGGACCCAAACGCATTTTTAAAAATTAAGTTATTCTTCTGTAATCCACCCTCCCTCCTTGGTCTGGGCAAATGATGGTACAGTATTTAGGCCTGAAGCCTTAGCTGTGTGCTTTTGAGATATAAATTTTTTAACTTTCTCTGAGCCGGTGGTTCAAGACTACAGTGAGCAGTGATGGTGCCACTGCACTCCAGCCTAGGTGACAGCAAGACCCCATCTCTAAAAAAAAGTCAATTATAAAATTGAGTTGTTTTGCTTTTCTTATGGACTTTTTAGTTCTTTACATATTCTGGATGAGAGCCTTTCTTGGATATACATATTAGAAATATCCTTTCCTGGCCCAGCGTGGTGGCTCACGCCTGTAATCCTAGCACTTTGGGAGGCCAAGGCAGGTGGATCACCTGAGGTCAGGAGTTCGAGACCAGCCTAACCAACATGGTGAAACCCCACCTCTACTAAAAAAAATAGCCGGGCATGGTGGCACATGCCTGTAATCCCAGCTACCTGGGAGGCTGAGGCAGGAGAATGAGAATCACTTGAACCAGGGAGGCAGAGGTTGTAGTGAGCCACGATCTTGCCATTGCACTCCAGCCTGGGCAACAAACAAAACTCTGTATCAAAAACAAAACAAACAAAAAAAACGCAGTATCTTCTCCACTCTGTGGGCTGCCTTTTCACTCCCTGAATGGTGTCTTTTAATGGCTAAAGTTAATTTTAATACAGTGCAATTTATACATTTTTTTCCCTTTATGGTTAATGCTTGGTTTTAAGGTCATATGAGTAGTTCAGATTTCTACTTGTATTAATATTTTGTTAGATTTTTAAAAACGAAAACAAAATTTTAAAATTCCTTTTATAGATTGAGTCTTAAGAATGTATCCTGGGTGTCTGGTTGAAGTTGTTGTTTGAAAAAAGAAAAAAAACAAAGAATATATCCTGGGACCCTTCGGGAGTCCATGTACTACAGTTTAAGGAACACTATACTAGAATGTGAATTGCTTGAGGACTTTTCATTTATGTGCCCCAATGCACAGTAGAGTCTCAGATGTTTGTTCAATGAATAAATGTAATAAATGACAAGCTCCCCAAAATAAGTTTAAACTCTTCTGTCAGTTTTATTATTCTTGCTTTTTCCTTAAAATTATTTGTTTGGGTTTCAAAAAATACAAGTATTGCTAGAATTTGTTTGAAATTTTTTTCTTTTATAAAAGGAACCTAAAAGTTTAAACAGAGTGTGGTATGAAATTTTTTATTTCAGTGGAAAGAGATATTTAACTTCTTGGAAAACAGTGTCCTCTTCCTCCTCCTCCACCATGTTTGAAAAGAAATGTCTTTTACGTAGTGATGTTTCCGCCGTATGGTTTCTAGATAATTGTCACTAAATTTTTATAATCATAGATCTTTGCAGTTTACTCTCTAAGCCTGATGAAATTAAGCCAAGGGCTGGATCTGGCCCATGGATTAGAAGCCCATTCATTCCTTATCCAGGAAAGGACCAGAGAATAGTTAATTAAGAATGTGGCTTTAACAGAGCTAAACTGCTTGGATTTGATTTCCTGCCCTGCCACTTACTGCCTATAATTTTTGACAAATAATCTAACTTAATCTCAGGTTGTACAGTGTGCATAAAATGGGAATAGGCCAGGCACAGTGATCATGCCTGTAATCCTAGCAGTTTGGGAGGCTGAGGCAGGAGGGCCACTTGATCACTTGAGGCCAAGAGTTTGAACATGCAGTGAGCTATGATTATGCCACTGCACTCTTGCCTAGGCAACAGAGCAAAATCTTGTCTCAAAAAATAATAATAATAATAATAAAGGAATAATATCACTGAACACATAGGATAGTTGTGAAGATTAAT
Source organism: Homo sapiens (assembly GCF_000001405.40). Taxonomy (NCBI): domain Eukaryota; kingdom Metazoa; phylum Chordata; class Mammalia; order Primates; family Hominidae; genus Homo; species Homo sapiens. Next base: position 108,024,491 of record NC_000011.10, read on the forward strand.
TCATACTTGTAAAGTGTTTGGAACAGTACAGCACCTAACATGTAACAGTCAGATATTATAAAGTAAAATAATCACAGTGATTCAGTGATTTACACATCTACGCTGAAGATTATAGTGAAGTTAATAGAAGATACAAATGCTGAACTAAAATTTATTTACAGATGTCAGATATTCAAACCATTCGTGGAAATGTAAGGAAAATCAAAAGAAGTCTTTTGTACAACAGATACCACATTACAAAATTTGTTGGCCTTTATAATCCCCAATTAGTGAAATGCCATATATTTGCAATAAAAAAAAATAGTAGAAAATCTTGGAGTGGAATGATTAAACAAAGACAGTAGAAATGAGAAATTTTTGCTAAATTCCATCCTTCCATAATCTCAATTTCAAGCATCCTACTTGATTACCTGTTACCACCCTGTCTTTCTGACTCTCTCTAGTGCTTTTATTCCAACAGTCCACCTCCACTACTAAAGCCTTCAGTTCAGTGACTCTGCTACCTCATTGTTTAATGTCTTATATCTGTGGTTTATAGTTTTTATCAAATTAGAAAACATTTTTGCATTTTTCTTCAAATACTCTCTACACCCTTACATCAAGATTCCAATTATGTGTACGTTAGGTCATTTGATGTTCCACAGCTTACTGATACTCATTTAAAAAATATTTCTATGATGTTCATGCCATCCCATACCTTTTTGGTCATATAGAATATGTATAGTAGCTGACTTAATGTCCTTGTTTACTGAATGTAACACCTGTGTCATTTCTGGGTCAGCTTCTTTTGGTGATTTTTTTTGTCTTGGTGATAGTTTATATTTTCCTGTTTCTTTGCATGCTTGGTAGTTTTTAACTGGATGTCAGACATTGTGAGTATATGTTTTAGGGGCTTGATTTTAAAATTTTTCTCTAAATAGTTTTGGATTTGGCTGTGATGCAGTTAGGTAACTTGGAATCAGTTTGATCCTTTTGAAGCTTACCTTTAAGTTTCGTTAGAGTGTGTCCAGAATATCACTCGGGGTAGGGCTACTTTGGCTCCACTATAGACTCAATAACTTTCTGTGGACTCTACCCAATGCCTGGCACTTTAAAGGGTGTTTCCACTCTGGCTGGTAGCAACACTAACTGTTTCTGGCCCTGTGTGCACTCTGCTGATTGTTCTGCCCATTCCCATTCCTTCCTAATGGTTCTTTCCCCAGTCTCTTACAGTTTTCTCACACCCAGGTACAGGTTAGTACTCAGCCACAGGCCTCAGGGACCTTCTGTATAGATACCCAGAGCTCCCTTGATGCCACAAATTCTAGTCACCTCAGCCTTTTCAAACTCTGAACTCTGCCTCTTAAATGTAGTGAAACCCCTAGCGGCTGTTTGGGTTTCCCCTCCTTGTGATGAGGCCTGGAGACACTCTCTAGGCAGTATGTTTGGACATTTGTAGCGCTCACCTCATTTGTTTTTCTTTTCTCAGGAAGCGCTGTCCTGCACTGCTTTTGGTTTTCTAGTTTGTTTAGGCAGGAGGGAAAATCTGGTTCCTGTTATTCTGTCATGATGGGAAGCAGAAGTCTCTTTCTCTTTTCACCTTGAAGTCCATTTTCTCCGCCTTACCCAACATAAATTCTCTTCTCAATCATTATAGTTGTTCCCTTCAATACACTTTTTGCTTCCTTGCCCCTGTCTTGTTCTGCTTGGGAAAAGTGTACAACCCTGGTTAAATCTGTCTCTTCACTTTTCAGTGCCAGTACCTGTGCAGCTGAATGTCACTCGAGAAAAAGACACAACCGTGCTATTTGCACCTTAAATCCATGACCACAATGAGGCCAGTCATACTGCATTTCCAGAGTCACTTATTCTTCCACTTTCCTAGATGTATTTTTCACATCTTTTCTGTCAACATTCTAACATTTCCTCCCCGATCTTCTCAGACATTGTCGTTATTTCCACATCACTGGGAAATTAAAGCAATAAAATATGAACTTCTCAGAGTCGTACGACATCTATCCTTGTACCAGCACCTACATGTACATTCTTTTGCCTTCTCCTCTTAGCCTGTAGTCACTTCCTCCACATATGCGCTAGATCCCATTCCCTCTTGCCTATCCAGTGCAATTTAAATTCACTAGCAGTTTCTCTCCCTTTCCCCACATCATCAACATTTCATATCCTGGAATGTTCCTGTCAGCATACAATCATACTGTATCCTAGCTTTAAAAAATTATTTGGCCAGGCGCAGTGGCTCACGTTTGTAATCCCAGCACTTTGGGAGGCTGAGGTGGGCGGATCACGAGGTCAGGAGTTCGAGACCACCCTGGCCAATGTGGCGAAACCCCATCTCTACTAAAAATAGAAAAATTGGCTGGGCATGGTGGCGGGCACCTGTATTCCCAGCTACTCGGGAGGCTGAGGCAGGAAAACCACTTGAACTTGGGAGGCGGAGGTTGCAGTGAGCAGAGATCACGCCACTGCACTCCAGCCTGAAAGACAGAGTGAGACTCCGTCTCAAAAAAAAAAAAAAAAAAATTATTATTTTTTCACTTCCTCTCACCCTATCAATTACCATGCCATTTCTTTACTCTCTTATACAGGAAAAATTGTGAAGGGTTGTCTGTACTCTTTCTAGTTTTCTTCTTATTTATTTTTGTTTTTATTTACTATTTGTTTTTTGAGATAGGGTCTCACTGTCGCTGTCGCCTAGGCTGGAGTGCAGTGGCGCCATCATGGCTCACTGCAACCTCCGCCTCCAGGCCTTAGTAGCTGGGATTATAGGCGCCACCATGCCCAGCTAATTTTTTTTTTTTTTCTTTGAGACAGTCTCCCCCTGCTGTCCAGGCTGGAGTGCAGTGGCACAATCTTGGCTCACTGCAAACTCCGCCTCCCAGGTTCAAGCAATTCTCCCACCTCAGCCTCCTGAGTAGCCGGGATTACTGGGGCCTACCACCACACCCAGCTGATTTTTGTATTTTCAGTAGAGACAGGGTTTCACCATGTAGGTCAGGCTGGTCTCGAACTCCTGATGTCAAGTCATCCACCCACCCCGGCCTCCCAAAGTGCTGGGATTACATGTGTGAGCCACCGTGCCCAGCCAAATTTTTTGTATTTTTAGTAGAGACAGGCTTTTTCCATGTTGCCCAGGCTGGTCTCGAACTCCTGGGCTCAAGTGACCCGCCCGCCTCAGCCTCCCAGTGTTGGGATTACAAGCATGAACTATTGCGCCTGGCTCCTCGTTTCTCTTAATTCCACTCTTCATTCCACTCTAATCTGGTATTTGTCCTTACTACTCTGCAAAAACTTCTGTGGACAAAGTTTCAGTAACTTCCATATTGCTGTTTCAGTGGTTATCTTACCTGATCTGTCAGGAGAAATTCTTAAAATTGATTATTCTGTCTTTCTGACACACTTTATTTACTTTTTGTCCAGAATACCATACTCTTGGTTTTCTTGCCACCTGTGCTCTGGTTGCTCTCTTTGTCTCCTTTGCTAGTTCTTACTCCTCTCTCCGCCTCTTAATGTTGGATATCTAAAACCTCAGGCTTGGGTCTCCATCTTTATGTATCACTTCTCTCACAGTGATCTCATCCAATAACAGGTTTTAAAACCCATCTGTATTCTGATGACTTCAAGTTTTTATTTTCTGATAGGCCTTTTAAATTCTAGATTTCCATATTGGACTGCCTATTCAACATTTTCATATGAATGTATAATAGATATGTTAAATGTAATACATCTAAAACCAGTCTCACAAGCTTTCCTTAATAAGCCTGTCAAATCTTCTTTTATTCTAGTTGATGGTAGTGCCACACTTACTGGACAAAAGCCTTAAAGTCATGCTTTACTCCCATTTTCTCATATCTCAGATGCTTACTGTTAGGAAGTCCTGTTAGTACCACCTTTTGGGCATCTAAAATTGAACCACTTCTCATACCTCCTACCTCCATTGCTATCACCTCAGTCCAAGTCACCATCAGTGCTTCCTAATCCTACACCCAGTTTTAACCCTTGCCCCTTATAATATATTCTCAACATAGTAATGAGGGAGATTTTAAAATGTAAATAAGATTATGACACTTCAGGCCAGGTGCGGTGGATCACACCTGTAATCACAGCACTTTCGGAGGCCGAAGCGGGCGGATCACAAGGTCACGAGTTAGAGACCAGCCTGGCCGACATGGTGAAACCCCGTCTCTACTAAAATACAAAAATTAGCTGAGCGTGGTGGTGCACACCTGTAATCCCAGCTAGGGCAGGAGAATTGCTTGAACCCAGGAGGCAGAGGTTGCAGTGAGCCGAGATCGCCCCATTGTACTCCAGCCTGGGCAGTAGAGTAAGACTCCATCTCAAAAAAAATAAAAAATAAAAAAGATTATGACACTTCTTGCTCAGAATCTTTTAATGGCTCTTCATCTCACTTATAGTAGAAACCAAAGTCTTTATAATGGCCTTCAGGGTCCTACAAGATCCAGCTCAGTAAGATCCAGTAAGCTAAGTTACTTCTATGACCTTATCTGCTCTCTCCACTTTGTTTACTTTGCTCTACCTTGAATACATTAAGCATGTTTCTATCTTATGTTCTTTGCATTGGCTGCTTTCTCTGCCTAGAATACCCTTTTTCCAGGTATTCCCCCATTGTCAACTCCCTGTTGGCTTCCCCACGGCCCATTTGTGTGAGAAGAAGAGTGCCTGTGAAGGGATTAGTTGTGCTGTAAGGAGTGAAGGATAGAATACCTTTTTCCAGGTATTCCCCCATTGTCAACTCCCTGTTGGCTTCCCCACGGCCCATTTGTGTGAGAAGAAGAGTGCCTGTGAAGGGATTAGTTGTGCTGTAAGGAGTGAAGGATAGAGGGGCAGGAGTATGGCAAATGTTGTAGTTCTCTGAAGAGCCAGTGAATGAGAGAATTGTAGACCTACTAGCAACTGTTGAGTCCAGCTTATTTGCTATTCTGAATAGTAATGAAAGAATTCAAGAGGCTTTGTAGCAAGTTAATAGAGATGAGGCAGCCTTCAGTCAGTCAGTGAAAACGTACATAAATCAAGGTTCATAGTCTGAAGATTCTTTTTCTTATTAATAAGGCATTCTGTTTTGTAGATAGTGGATTTGGTGTCCTGCCACTTAGTTATGATTTAATGATATGCTCTTCAGTTTAATAGAGAATAGGTCAAGGAACTACTTGAGCATCATTTTTGGAATCTATTATAAAAGTTTAATAGAAAACAATTAATTATTAAATTCCTTTTAAAATTGAGTATTAGGGAAACGTGTTTATTATGTGTTCCATCAAAAAGGAGAGCAAAAATATGTTTCCTGGTACTTAACAATGTCTATTAGGAGATTTCAGAGCCTAACCAGTGTTTAATTTATCTCCAGTACCTGTCTACTCTGGTACTCTGCACCTTTTATTTTTAATTGCAGGACTTACACTATATTTAATTTTATAAATTAGCAAAAGTGCTTGTGGAAATAGACTTAATTGAAATTAGAAAGTATCCTCTTGTTAAGAAGGTATTCTTTTTTCCATGTCAGTCAAGAAAAGTGTTCTTTCTATGGTTCTTTCATATTTGTTTATTTGCACACCTCTTCCTCATAGGGAAGAATAAAAGAAGAAAATGAGAGTTACAGGAAAATAATAAAAAGTAGAAAAAGTAATGTGAGGCCAGGCATAAAGTTATTGTACAAAGTATATGCCGCAGCATCACAATTCTGACTCTGAATTTCCCAGTAGCCAACACTAAGAGGAGTGCGAAGTTACTTACGTGATTCATTTAAGTCCATAAGGTAAAAAGAAACTAGTTGTTCAGGAGAGAAGCGTAGCTAATCCCAGTACTAAGTTTTTAGTGGATATCTCCCATGGGTCCTTATGATAAGAATACAGTGGCTGGGTGCGGTGGCTCACGCCTGTAATCCTAGCACTTTGGGAGGCTGACGTGGGCAGATCACCTGAGGTCGGGAGTTTGAGACCAGCCTGATGAACACAGAGAAACCCCGTCTCTACAAAAAATACAAAATTAGCCAGGCTTGGTGGCGCATGCCTTTAATCCCAGTTACTCGGGAAGCTGAGGCAGGAGAATCGCTTGAACCCGGGAGGCGGAGGTTGCGGTGAGCTGAGATCGTGCCACCGCGCTCCAGCTTGGGCAACAAGAGTGAAACTCTGTCTCAAAAACAAAAAGAAAAAAGAATACAGTGTGATAGAAGCAGGCATCTGGAGCAAGACAGTATATTAACTTTTAGGATGAACTATGTTCGTGAATATAAGCAGGATTTATAAGAGTATGATGTTAATTTGTGGTTCTTAACCTAGTTTGGGTCATAGACCATCTAACATTATTTTTATGTAATTTTATCATGAATTTGATAAACATGCAGATTGTGGACTAACTTCAAGAGATTCCGATCCAGTAGGCCTGAGGTAGGTTTTAGGAATCTGTATGTGTAATCACCACCTCAGATGATTTTCACGTAGGTTGTTGTCAGATCATATGTTGACAAACTGTTTCAGTGTTATAATTTCAGGGAGTTTGCATATTCCATACAATCACTGTATGCATCTCAGGTTCTTAACCTGAGCAATATCAACAGATTTGTATAACTGAAAAATAATCATGAGTCTGGGCCTGGTGGCTCATGCCTGTAATTCTAGCACTTTGGAAGGCTGAGGAGGGTGGATCATATGAATCCAGGAGTTCGAGACCAGCCTGGGCAACATGGCGAAACCCCGTCTCTACTGAAAATACAAAAATTAGCCAGGTGTGGTGGTGCGTGTCTAATCTCAGCTACTCGGAGGCTGAGGCATGAAAATCACCTGACCCTGGGAGGTAGAGGCTATAGTGAGCCAAGATTATGCCACTGCACTCCAGCCTGGGCAACAGAACGAGACTCTGTCTCAAAAAAAAAAAAAAAATCATGAGTTTCATAGGGTGTTTGGTGCTGGTGTACTAGAAAGTTAGGTTTTACATTTAAGTCTTTAATCCATCTTGAGTTAATTTTTGCATATGGTATAAGAAAGGGGTCTGGTTTTACTTTTCTGCATATGGCTAGCCAGTTATCCCAGCACCATTTATTGAACAGGGAGTCCTTTCTCTTTTGCTTTTGTCAGGTTTGTTGAAGATCAGATAGTTGTAGGTGTGTGGTCTTATTTCTGGGCTCTATTCTGTTCCATTGGTCTTTGTATATGTTCTTATATCAGTACCATGATGTTTTTTGGTTACTACAGTGCTGTCGTATAAAGACACATGCACACATATGTTCATCACAGCACTGTTCACTCTAACAAAGACGTGAAATCACCCCCAATGCCCATCAATGATAGACTGGATAAAGAAAATGTGGTACATATACACCATGGAATACTATGCAGCCATAAAAAAGAACAAGATCATGTCCTTTGCAGGGACATGGATGGAGCTGGAGGCCATTTTCCTTAGCAAACTAATGCAGGAACAGAAAACCAAATATTGCATGTTCTCACTTATAAGTGGGAGCTAAATGATGAGAACACATGAACACATAAAGGGGAACAACACACACTGGGGCCTACCAGAGGGTGAAGGGTGGGAGGAGGGAGAGGATCAGGAAAAATAACTAATTGCTTAATCCTGGATAATGAAATAATCTGTACAACAAATCCCCATGACACAAGTTTACCTTTGTAACAAACCTGCACATCCTACACATGTACCCCAAACTTAAAAGTTAAAGAAAATCGTGACTTTTGTTGAAATTTACTGGCCAAAACAAACCAGATGGTCCTAGTTCAGTGGCTTACTGCTATAACCTCAGCATTTTGGGAGACTCAGGTGAGTGCATCAGTTGAGCCCAGGAGTTCAAGACCAGCCTGGGAAATATAACAAGACCCCATCTCTACAAAAAAATACAACAATTAGCTGGGCATGGTGGTGCGCACGTGTAGTCCCAGCTACTTGGGAGGATCAGGCAGGAGAATTGCTTGAGCCCAGGGGATCAAGGCTACAGTTAGCTATGATCACTCCACTGCCCTCCAGCCTGGGTGACAGAGCAAGACCCTGTCTTAAAAACAAACAAAAAACAAATCACATGGTCACATTTAACTTGAAAAGGAGTACTAATGACTAACACATATGGGGTCTCTCTCTCTCTCTCTCTCTGTTTTTGGCAATGTAATTGATCATTATTTTTCCTAATATTGCACTACTTTTACATTCCAGAGATAAACTGTATGATTATGAGGTCTGATTGTTTTGATATGACACTTGTTTGATTTGATAATATTTATTTAGATTTTTGCATCTTTGTTCTCTGGTAAGATTGGCCTGGAGTTTCCATTTCTTACGCTTTTCTCAGCAGTTCAGTGTCAGGGTTTTTTGTTAGCATTATAAAAGGAGATGAGTATTTTTCTGTTTTTTTTTTCTCCTCAGTTTTCAGAGTTTACATAGATTTCCAATATACTTTTTGTGAGTTTAGGACAACTACAAAATTAGATGATACAGTCTCCATATAAGACTATTCTCACTTCTGACACCAACTGTAAGCTTGGGGGATTCCCAAAACCACTCTCAGGTTTGATAATTCATTAGAAAGGCTCATAGCATTTAGTGAAAGCTGTTGTACCCATAGTTATGATTTGTTATAGGGAAAGGATTCAGATAAAATCAGCCAAAGGAAGAGACTCATAGGGCTAAGTTTAGGAGAGTTCCAAATGCGAGCTTATCTTGCCCTCTCCCCATGTGGTCAGGACACATTTCTCTCCCGGCATCAATGTATGACAGTATGCACGAGTACCATCAAATAGGGAAGCTCACCCAACCTTTACTGTTGAGTTTTGATGGAGCTTATTCACATAGGTGTGATTGATTACTTGCTCACAGGGATTTCAGTCTCCGTGTTGAGTGACCCCCTGTGACCCCAAACCCGTATCTCAAGTTGTATTGTTCGTCTTCCCAGTTGGTGAGCCTCTACATAGGATTATATAGGTGTGGACAGTCCCCTCCCTGAATTGCATTATTAGCCAATCCAGTATGACCCAAGGCCTCCCAAAGACATACTTTTTAGACGTAACTTTCTAAGTGTCCAGAGATTATCTACTAGAAGCCAAGAAGAAAGACCAGACTGTCTCCTTGGACAAGGCCAAATTCTTCACTAAACACATTTGTACAATTTTTCTCTTTTATGATTGTCTTCCTGTGATTCCTCAATAACGGATTAAGCCTGTAGGGATTCCATTATGGAAAACTGGTTCATTTAAATTTGAGCCCTTCATTTCTCTAGCTGTCTCATAAAAATTACAGGATACTTTTTATTTAACTGCATTTAAATTAAACTCCCTTTTATCTTTTTTTTTTTCAAGAATAAAGGTTCTCTTCAGTTTGAAGACAAATGGGATTTTATGCGCCCGATTGTTTTGAAGCTTTTACGCCAGGAATCTGTTACAAAACAGCAGTGGTTTGATCTGTTTTCGTAAGTACCCCACTAATTCTGTTTGCTAGCATAAAGGAAATTTTAGTGATGTCTTTCCATACCCAAATGGAATGTGTAACTCTAAGTTTATCTGTTTACCTATTAAAAAGTATTACTAGTTACATTGAGGGTCTCCAAGACCTCTCCCAGGTATGATGATTTGCTAGGGGGCTCACAGGACTGAACATACAATCATACTCACAGCTTTGAGTCATTACAGTGAAGGGATCCAAAGCAAAATCAGCAAAGGGAAAAGGTACATGGGGTGAAGTGCAGGAAAAAACAAGCACATGCTTCCAAGAAGAGTCCTTTCCCAGGGGAGTCACACAGGACACACTTAATTTTTCCAGCAATGATTGACAGCGTGTGATATGTTGTCTACCAGAGAAGCTTATTGGAGACTCAGTACTCAGGATTTTTATGGGGGCTGGTCACATAGGCAGTCTCTCTCAACATGTACCAAAATCAGTGTAAACCATATTGTTTATATAAACAGTTTAGGTACAGTGAGCCACTGTTATTTCAGGAAAGTGTAGGAAACTGTTGACCATTCAAGTTCTCAGATGCCAGCCAAAGGCTAATCTTACAAGCAGGCATTTCTAGGGGATGCAGTCTCAGGGGTGCTGGTAGTTGGTGCTGTTAGGTATGATTGTAAGTTCAGCAGTCAGGTTGAATTAAAAGGACTCATGGCAGCTTGGAAAGGGAACCCTGAGAGATTTCCTTTAGGAAAAGGGGGAAAGCTTTCAGGACTAGTTGTGAAAAGCAAAAATCATTAATGTCCTCCTCCTCCGCTGTCTCTTCCCAGCTGCTGTGTTTTGTTTTTTCTTCCTAATAAAATCAGTGTATCCCTTTCAGTAATGAAAATTTCATGTCTTCTCAATCATCCAGACCTGCATGAGGGACAAAAGTCTTTTTCACTAAAAAACATTTTTAGACAACTTAATTAGAAAGACATATTATATTTAGGAATTGGTCAGGATGAAATCCTGAATTTTTAAAACTTTTCAAAATGGGCTTATGTTATCTCCCACCCCTTTTGTCCTGATCATTTATCTAGTGGGTAGCCTAGAAAACATCAGTTCCTTTCTGGGGACAGCTGCATTTAATAACCAGACTGACTTACTGAGGTGTGTGTGTACCAGGAGGGGTGACAGGAAAGAGAGAACTAGAGTCAGGTTATTAAATCTGTTGTTGCAAACTGTAACCAATCCAGAAAGGCAAACACAAGTCAGTAGCAGTGAGACATCTCAAGAAGGGGTCAAAATCTAATCTGTAAGAAGTGGGCGAAGGGGCTACACTCTTTGTGATGTGCCCCCTCCCAACTACAGCTTTTGGTAGGAACCACCAGTTGGGAATACTGTTAATCTCCATATCAGATACATAAGACCAATCAGCAGCTTGATTTTGGATAGTCCCATCAGAGAATAAGCCTTTTTCTTTGGTTATCTGTGAGTGGTTGAGGTGGTCCAGCCAGAATCCATGATGTTTTCATAGTTTCTGGCTCCACAGGAGGATATCTTTTAAATATTCAGTAATCTTTGACGGCCAGACAAAGTGGCTTACGCCTGTAATCCCAGAACTTTGGGAGGCCAAGACAGGGTGATCGCTTGAGCCCAGGAGTTCAAGACCAGCCTGGGCAACATAGTGTGAGACCCTGTCTCTTAAAAAAAAAAAAAAAAATTATCTGGGTGTGGTGGCACATGCCTGTAGTCCCATCTAATTGGGAGCTGAGGTGGGAGGATTGCTTGAGCCCTCAAGCAGATTGCTTGCTGCATTGAGGCTGCAGCAAGCCGTGACTGTGCCACTACACTCCAGGCTGGGTGACAGCAAGACCTTGTCTCAAAAAAAAAAAAAAATTGAGGCAAAGTCCTGTTTATTGAGTATATGCCTGCTTTTGGTTCAGCACAGCTTGTGTTGAGGTTGAAATAGCCCAGTAGCAGAGTGTCAGGTTTCAGCCTAGCCTCAGATCCAGGTAATTGAGATCTGTGATTTCAGGATTCCAAAACAGTTAGTGTCTTGTCTTTGGCAGCAGTAAAGCCAAGATACTGCAGGCTCGCAGCCATATTTCAAGTCCGAGTGATCAGCGAGACTGTCCTAAGTCCTTTTTACCTTGTCTTAGGATCCAACTTGATCTGCTCAAAAATATGCACATCAGGCTGGAAAATCATCAGCTTCTAAGGGTCAGACATCTAATTTCACAAGAATTCAATAGCAATGAAAAACTGCATTTAAAATTCCAAAAGTGTATTTCTTCCATCTGGAGATTTCGTTTGTTTTCATGTTGTCTCTCTTTTTCCAGGGTCATCAGTAGTTAAAAAAGTCATAGTAAATATCATCCATTGTGGAGATTTATTCTGCTCCCAATACTCAGAGAGTTTAAATTCCAGTCCCTTCAGCAGAAAAAAGCAAGAAATTTTGTCTCACTAACTCTTCCTGATTGGGACAATCCCTCTAGCATTTATGAAATGACTAGCAGCATATTACATATTATGTCAGTTTTGATTATACATCTAGATGCAATAGCTGCAAAGTACAAAGTCATCTTTCAACCCCCCACTTTACTTTAAATTTATTTATTTATTATTGAGACAGAGTCTTGCTTTGTTGCCCAGGCTGGAATGCAGTGGCACAATCTCAGCTCACTGCAACCTCCACCTCCCAGGTTCAAGTGATACTCCTGCCTTGCCTCTTGAGTAGCTGGGACTACAGGTACCCACCACTGTGCCAGGCTAATTTTTGTATTTTCATTAGAGACAGGTTTTCACCATGTTGGCCGGGATGGTCTCGAACTCTTGACCTCAAAGTTACCTGCCCACCTTGGCCTCCCAAAGTGTTGGGATTACAGGCGTGAGCCACGGTGCCCAGCCATCCTTATTCCTTATTTTAAATTTAATCAACCCCCAGCAGTAAATTCAGTGTTTATAAGAGTAACACATTACAGCTGCTGGGAAATCCTGACTGGAATGCAAGGTGTAGGGAGGAACTGCAGGCAGCAGCAGCTAGTCTGAAGAAACAGCTGGAGTGGTTCACTCTCCCCACTCCTGTTTCTCCCCTAGTTTATCTAAAGCTTTGCTCCAGCCCTGGGCTCTGATCTTGCTATTATTTTTTCCTATTTAGAGGAGAGAGCATACAAACTTTTAACATTTTTGGTCCACCCAAAACTCACCTTTGGGAACTTTTGGGCCTCTTCCCACCTGGAGGCAAGAAAAAAAAAACAAAAACAGAGACATCATCCAGACTCTGTTTTTTCTCTCTTCACTTTAGTCAGCATGGCCAGAAACTGCCAGGGGAATGAGGTAGCCAATTTTCCTGGTTTAGAGCTATCATTTTCAAATTTCATAGGTAATTTTTACCTGTCACAACAGACAGAAGCTCAGCTGCTGTTTCATACTGTGAATGATTTTATAGCCACCCAAGCAGCAAATGTTTGTCATCCTACTGCTTCTTCCCTCTTCATGAGTCCAACTTCTAACACCAGCTGTGTTGGCAATCCCAAGGTCACCCCTAGGCTCAGTGATTGCTGGGAGTATTCATGGGACTTACCATGTAGTTGTATTCATGGCTATGAATTATTACAGTGAAGGAAGCAAAGCAAAATCAACAAAGGGAAAAAGTGTGTGTGGCAAAGTCCAGGAGAAACGAAATCCAAACTTCCAAATGTCTTCTCGCAGAGGAGTCACACATTAAGCTTAATCCTCCAGCAACTGACAGTGACAACACATATAAAATATTGTCTACCAGGGAAGCTAATTAGGGGCTCAGCACCCAAACTTTCTACTGGGGGCTCGTCATGTAAGCAGCTTCTGCCTGGCACATACCAAAATTCGAGACTGGCAGAAGAAAAGGAAGTGTTCAACGTAAGTCACACTGTTTGTGTAAACAGTTTGGAAATGTAAAACATTCTCATTAAGGAATGATGGGAATCCTCCCAAAAATCCAAATTGCCACATCCTAGCCAAAGGCCAGTCTTGCACACGGGTCTGTCTTAGGATAGCAGTCTCAGACACACTATTAAAATGCTGTATCAATGAATTATAGATGTATAATTGCATAAGCTGTACACATTGGGCTATTGTAATCGTTTTCTCTCTTTATCACTTAAAATATTCTAATTTCCGAAATGATGTAGGACCTTGCTGCATACTATCAATTAACTTATACTTCTTGCCTTTGGGAAATTAAAGTTTAGTAAGAAACAGCTGAGGCCTTTTAAAGCTTTATTACATTCATGTATACATATATTTTTTGTAAATTATTCAATTAAACTATTTTATGAATGATATGTTGGGTGTGGTGGGGTGTTTTGTTGTTAATGTTGTTTTTGCCAGTCTGTGTTGATAAGATTTATTATTGAGAATAGTGCTTGTTCTCTGAGTACTCCTGACTTAGAAAAGGAGCATAGCCCTACTAAAGGGGACTTCAAAGTAGAAATCGTCAATAACCTTTTACTTGCTACAGTTAGTGGCCTCAACATGATGTTTTTAAAGATCTTTTGGCCAGGTGTGGTGGCTCACACCTGTAATCCCAGCACTTTGGGAGGCTGAGGTGGGTGGATTACCTGAGGTCAGGAGTTCGAGACCAGCCTGGCCAACATGTCTACTAAAAATACAAAAATTACCTGAGTGCGGTGGTGGGCCTCAGTAATTCCAGCTACTTGGGAGGCTGAGGCAGGATAATCACTTGAATCCGGCAGGCAGAGGTTGCAGTGAGCCAAGATTGCACCATTCCACTCCAGCCTGGGAAACAAGAGCAAAACTCCATCTCAGAAAAAAAAAAAAAAAAGATCTTTCATCTCCTTGGAGTACCTAAAGCAGTTCAGTGTATCGTCCTTTTAGGTAAAGGGATTTCTGACTGACAATAATTAAAACCCTTGTAAATTTTAGCCATATTTTGGCCATGTTAATCGTTAACATTTAGGTTGCTTATATCTTTCTAAATCTTAGTTACTAAATAATGTATTGATGTTAAGGTACATTGACTGAGATTTTCCCCCCTTTTCTCCTAATCTATATTCTTTCTCTATTGAAGTACTCTTGGTATTTTGGGTGGTATAAGAGATTGTTCTGCATGTTGTGCAATATTTATCACTTCTGTCCTTCACTCTTTTTTTTTTTTCTTTTTAAATTGAGATAGAGTTTCATTCTTGTTGCCCAGGCTGGAGTGCAATGGCGCAATCTCGGCTCACTGCAACCTCTGCCTCCCAGGTTCAAGCAATTCTCTTGCTTCAGCCTCCCAAGTAGCTGGGATTACAGGCATGCACCACCACACCTGGCTAATTTTTTGTATTTAGTAGAGATGGGGTTTCTTCATGTTGATCAGACTGGTCTTGAACTGCTGACCTCAGGTGATCCACTCACCTTGGCCTCCCAAAGTGCTGGGATTACAGGCATGAGCCACTGTGCCCGGCCTGTCCATGCTTATGAACTCCAGTCATGAACACTCCTTCTGTGTCTTTCTCCTCACCCTTCTGTGTCTTTCTCCCCACCTTGCATTATAAAAACAAAGATTCTCACATGTTTCCAGATACCCTTCTAGGGGAACAATACCTTCCTTAGTTGAGAACTGCTGCTCTAGATCCATTTACAATTTTACCCATTTTTAAGTGTACAATTCAGTGGCATTAATTATATTCACAATGTTTTGCAAACATCAACACAGTCCATTCCCCAAACGCTTCATCATCAGAAACAGAAGCTCTGTACCCATTAAACAATAATTCTTCATTCTTCCTCTCCTCAGCTCCATTTTAGTTTCCATCTATGAATTTGCTTATCTAGATAACTCATATAAATGGAATCGTATAGTATTTGTCGTTTGGAAAGACATACTGTTTTTTAATGGGCTTGGTTATTCAGTTCAGGTTTAATGTTATGACTGATATTCTTGCTTTTGTTGCTTCTATAACTTTATCATGGATCTGATGTTATTGTTTCTTCATTTTCCCTTTGTTTTTATTAATTTTAAAGTTTATTTCCATTAGTGGTTGCCTTCGTGTTTCTTGGTCTTAGTTAGAAGCATGTGATTGTCCTACTACTTGGAAACAAAATACATATCATTTTATCACACCAGGGTCACACTATTTCTTGTTCTCTTCTACACAAGGAAATCAAAACCTCTGGAATAGTTTTTACTTCTTGCTGCTTTTCCTGTCGCTTCTGTCTGCCTCCTTAAGACTTTTGAGAAGCTTCTATTTCCTCCCTCTCCTATTTCCCAACTCCTAGATTTTTCTAATAAAGTTTTTAAAAAGATTTACCTTATAGCATGTTCCCTTTTAAAAGCACTTTGGGGCTGGATGTGATGGCTCATGCCTGTAATCCCAACACTTTGGGAGGCCGAGGCTGGAGGATTGCTTGAGGCCAGAGTTCGAGACCAGCCTGGGAAACACAGTGAGATTCCATTTCTACAAAAAATTAGCCAAGGCTGGGTGTGGTGGCTCATGCCGGTAATCCCAGCACTTTGGGAGGCGAAGGCAGGTGGATCACCTGAGGTCAGGAGTTCGATACCACCCTGGTCAACATGGTAAAACCCTGTCTTTACTAAAAATACAAAAATCGGCTGGGTGTGGTGTTGTGCACCTGTAATCCCAGCTACTTGGCCAGCTGAGGCACGAGAATTGCCTGAACTTGGGAAGCAGAGGTTGCAGTGAGCCACGATTGTGCCACTGCACTCCAGCCTGGCTGACAGAGTGAGACTCCGTCTCAAAAAAAAAAAAAAAAAAAAAAAATTAGCCAGTCGTGGTGGCACGTGCCTGTAGTCCCAACTACTCAGGAGGCTGAGGCAGAAAGATCCTTGAGCACAGGAGTTTTAAGTTACGAGCTTATCATGCCACTGCACTCCAGGCAGGGTGACAGGGAGAGACCCTGTCTCAACAAAAAAAAAAGTACATTGAGAACATTCTTCCCTGATACAGCAAGGCAGAGAAGTAACTGGTGATTGAGAAAAGAGAGCTGGAGAAGATGTACCAAATCCCTTCTAAATTTGACTCTTCTTTTGATAAGATTTCTAGGGAATTATCTAACTCCACCCCCTTTTACCACACCATTCCCTGTTATCCTATGAGACTCAAGTCCTGTTTGAACCTTTCTGACATATATGCAAAAGTGATTTGAGTACGGCAGGGTTACAAAGGTAGGTTTGTTTTTGGGATGCACAGGTCTCCTCTGATGGGTGACTTTGGCTCCAGAATTCTTCAACAGCCTTACCAACCTTTCTTAGAACTGTGCTGATTCTTACTGCTCAAGCTTCCTTTCTTGTCTCCTCTACAGGGATCACACCTACACCCAGCTTTCTGTAGCCCATTTTCCTTCACAGGTGTTCCCTTAGTAAATCTCTTATATTAATAATCTCATTAGCTTCTTTTGTTTCTGTTTTTTCTTTTTTTTTTTTTTGAGACGGAGTCTCTGTTGCCCAGGCTGGAGTGCAGTGGCATGATCTCGGCTCATTGCAACCTCTGCCTCCCAGGCTCAAGCGATTCTCCTGCCTCAGCCTCCCAAGTAGCTGGGATTATAGGTGCCTGCCACCGTGCTGGCCAATTTTTGTATTTTTGGTAGAGACGGGGTTTCACTATGTTGACCAGACTGGTCGCGAACTCCTGACCTCAGGTGATCCACCCACCTCAGCATCCCAAAATGCTGGGATTACAGGTAGAGCCACCATGCCCACACCCGGCCTGGTTTTTTCTTTCTTTTTTCTTTTTTAGACAAAGTTTTGCTCTTGTTGCCTAGGCTGGAGTGCAGTAGCGTGATCTCGGCTCACTGCAACCTCTGCCTCCTGAGTTCAAGCGATTCTCCTGCCTCAGCCTCCCAAGTATCTGGGATTACAGGCACCTGCCATCAAGCCTGGCTAATTTTTCGTATTTTTAGTGGAGATGGGGTTTCATCATGTTGGCCAGGCTGGTCTCGAACTCCTAACCTCAGGTGATCCACCTGCCTCGGCCTCCCAAAGTGCTGGGATTATAGGCGTGAACCACCGCACCAGGCCCCATCAGCTTCTTAAAAGGCTTCTTAAACTAACACCAGTCAATGTGGAATGTCTGGCACATAGTAAGCAGTTAATACATGTTACTTTTGTTATAGTAAACTAAATAAAAGATGATGGGGACTATCATGGTAATGGGAGGGAAACGTCCACATTAGAGAGACATTTGCATGATAAATATAATAGGACTGTGATTGAATATAAGGGATAAAAGGGGGTTAGTTTGCCCAATTTTTTTCTTATCACTTCACATTTTCACATTTTACTTTACAGGGTAGCCACATTGATGTGCTTATAGTCCACTGCAGTTACCTTAGTCATCCACAATTCTTTTTTTTTTTTTTTTTTTGAGACAGAGTCTTGCTCTGTTGTCCAGGCTGCAGCGCAGTGGTGCAGTCTCGGCTCACTGCAACCTCCACCCCCGGGTTCAAGCAATTCTCATGCCTCAGCCTCCCAAATTGCTGGGACAACAGGCGTGCCTCACCACACCAGGCTAATTTTTGTATTTTTTTTAGTAGAGACGGGGTTTCACCATGTTGTCTAGGCTGGTCCTGAACACCTGGCCTCCAGTGATCCACCAACTTTGGCTTCCCTAAGAGCTGGGATTGCAAGCTTGAGCCACTGCACCTGGCCCACAATTCTATATACTGTCGATTTTTTTTGATAAAATATCCTCTCTCCTATTTTTGTACACCTTTGCCTGGCAAACTCCTATTTTTGGAGATTAAGCTCAGGAACCAACTATTCCAGGAAGCCTTTCCTTTTCCTCTCTACCTCTCACTCACCCTTACCCTGTCCTTGAGTTCCTAAACCATCTTTTGTTTATATGCATAAAATAGTTGTAAACATATTATAATCAATTTTTCTATCAGTTTCTTTTTTTTTCTTTTTTGAGACAGAGTCTTGCCCTGTTGCCCAGGCTGGAGTGCAGAAGTGCAGTCTTCGCTCACTGCAACCTCCGCTTCCAGGGTTCAAGCGATTCCCTTGCCTTAGCCTCTTGAGTACCTGGGACTACAGGAGCGCACCACCACGCCTGGCTAATTTTTGTATTTTTAGTAGAGATGGAGTTTCGCTATGTTGGCCAGGTTGGTTGCGAACTCCTGGCCTCAAGTGATGTGTCCACCTCGGCCTCCCAAAATGCTAGGATTAAAGGCATGAGCCGCCATGCCCGGCCTGTTTCTTTTTTAAAAAAATTGTTTTTAGAGGCAGGGCATTACTCTGTCGCTCAGGCTGGAGTGCAGTGGCACAATTGTAGCTCATTGTAACCCTGAACTTCTGAGTTCAAGTGATCTTCCCTCAGCCTCCTGAAAAGCTAGGACTACAGGCATGTGCCACCATGCCCAACTAATTATTTTATTTTATTTTTGTATAGATGTGGTCTTGCCATGTGGCCTAGGCTAATCTCGAACTTCTGGCCTCAAATGATCCTCCTGCCTTGGCCTCCAAGAGTGCTAGGATTACAGACATGAGCCAATATGCCTGGCCCAGTCTCTTCTTTTAGACTCTAGATTCTTTTAGTCATTAGATGAGACTGTATAGGTATGCAGGAGTCATTTAATCATTTTGTAATTTATTCTAAGAGTATTGGGAAACCATTAGAGGATTTAAGTATGGGGTAATATGATGTGACTTGAGTTTTGTAAAGATCACTTTAGCTTCTTGTTTAATAGATTGGAGGGTTTCAAGAGTAGATTTGGTTTAGTGTGAGTTCTGGAGCCTGATTTCCTGGCTCCACCATAAACTTAACTGTATAATCTTGGATTGTTTTTCCTTCAATTTCCCCATCTGTAAAATAAGGATAAAATAGTAGTACTTTAGAATTGCTATGAAGATAAAATAAGTTAAAAGAACTTAGAATAGTATCTGGCTGGTGCCTCATGCCTGTAATCCAGCACTTTGGGAGGCCAAGGCAGGTGGATCACCTGAGGTCAGGAGTTCGAGACCAGCCTGACCAACATGGCAAAACTCCATTTCTACTGAAAATAAAAAAATTAGCCAGTGGTGCATGCCTGTAATCCCAGCTACTTGGGAGGCTGAGGCAGGAGAATCATTTGAACCCAGGAGGCGGAGGTTGCAGTGAGCCAAGGTGGCGCCATTGCACTTCAGCCTGGGCAACAAGAGTGAAACTCCATCTCTAAATAAATAAATAAATAGTATCTGGCACATGATAAGCAGTCAGGTGTTACCTTTTATATTGTTATTTAACAAATATTTGTGTGCTTATAGCATCCTAGGCACTGGACCAGATACCATTATCAAGCTGAATTGAACCAGTGAAAAAAGCATTCAAATTAATATGGAGACAAAACTTTGGGCTCTACTAGTGTCTCTAAAAATTGGAATATAGGCCAACCCCAGTGGCTCATGCCTATATGCTGGCCCTTTGTGAGGCTGAGGCGGGTGGATCACTTGAGTTCAGGGGTTCATGATCAGTCCAGACAACATAGGGAGACCGTGTCTCTACAAAAAATAAAAAATTAGCCAGACATGGTGGCACATACCTGTGGTCCCAGCTAGTCGGGAGGCTGAGGCAGGGTTGAGCCCAGGAGGTTGAGGCTGCAGTGAGCTGTGTTCATGCCACTACACCTCAGACTGGGCAACAGAGTGAGACAGTGTCTCAAAAAAAAAAAAATTAGAATATAAAACAATTTGATTATTGACATGTTGTAATTCTGGAGTTGTTTTATTTGGATTTCTTTGACTTTTTTTAATACTAGAGGCTCCATTATGAATTGAATGAATCAC
The DNA here is from genome assembly GCF_000001405.40 of Homo sapiens. Lineage (NCBI taxonomy): Eukaryota > Metazoa > Chordata > Mammalia > Primates > Hominidae > Homo > Homo sapiens. The sequence goes on from NC_000011.10 coordinate 108,044,634, forward strand.
TGGGGAACATTTTTTGAATGAATGATTCTTCACTATGACCCTGTCCTTTCGTTGTTTCTCTGATTTACAACTTGGTCATTTGATTTACAACTTGGTAATTTTTTTACTTTTTTTTTTATATTTTAATTTATTATTATTATTTTTTTGAGACACAGTTTCACTCTGTTGCCCAGGCTGGAGTTCATTGGTGCCATCTTGGCTCACTGCAACCTCCGCCTCCCGGGTTCAAGTGATTCTCATGCTTCAGCCTCCCAAGTAGCTGGGATTACAGGTGCACACCACCACGCCTGGCTAATTTTTGTATTATTAGTAGAGATGGGGGTTTTACCATGTTGGCCAGGCTGGTCTTGAACTCCTGACCTCAAGTGATCTGCCCACCTCAGCCTCCCCAAGTGCTTGGATTACAGGCTTGAGCCACTGCCCCTGGCCTACAACTAGGTAATTAAGAAATTAATTTTCTGAACATGCTGTACTAGTATTAAATATATTTCTATAATGAAGAACTTTTTTGTAAACTATGTCAGCTTTATAAGTTCTGAGTTTTTGTATATCAATTTATGATAGCTTTTGTTTTTGTTTTTTTGTTTAAAGGAGAAACAGTAATTGATGTGTAAATGGGTAATATATGGGGAAGCTAGGAGATATGCTTTATTGTGATTTAAGTGACTAATTTTTTTAAAAAGACAAAATAGGCTGGCCCACAATCCCACCATTTTGGGAGGCTGAGGCAGGAGAATTGCTTGAGGATTTGAGTTCAAGCCCAGACTGGGCAACATAGCAAAACCCCATCTCTACCAAAAATTTAAAAAACTAGACAGGTGCATGCTTGTAGTCCCAGCTACTCAGGAGGCTGAGGCAGGGGGATCCCTTGAGCACAGGAGTTTGAGACTGCAGTGAGCTATGGTTGTGGCACTGCACTCCAGCCTGGGTGACAGAGTATATAACAAAGCTGGGCATGGTGGCTAACACTTTTAATTCCAGCACTTTGGAGACTGAGGCAGGAGGATCCCTTGAAACAAGGAGTTCAAGACCAGCCTGGACAACATAGCAAGACTGTTTCTACAACAAAATTTAAAAAAAAATTAGGCGTGGTGGCATGCTCCTATAGTACCAGCTCTTAGAAGGCTGAGGAGGGAGGATCGCCTCAACCCAGGAGGTCAAGGCTGCAGTGAGCCGTGATTGTGCCAGTGCACACTAGCCTGGGCAACATAGTGAGACCCTGTCTCTAAAAAATAAAAATAAAAAAATTTTTAAAAATAATTAAAAAGGACAAAATAGTATACATCTATTGTGTTAAAGAATTAAAAGGATTTGTAGTTGTTTTTGCACAGGAAAATATTAATAGCAGTTAACTTTGGGCAGTGACATTGGGAGATGGAGACATGCTTTCATAACTAAATTTTATGTGGTAAGTAGCAGAGAATTAAAGAGGAAAACAATGGCTAAAGAAAATAAAAATAGAAACAAATGTGTATGTGAGGCAATTACAAGCGTACTTGGTTTATATGAGTGAATTCAGACACCATTTACTTGGTTCTAATATGGCCCATGGAAACTGTACTGAAATAGAATTTAAGATGTTTTGTTCAGTTCTTGTTTCATTATTAATGTTTGTTTACCTACTTTATATTCACAGGGATGTGCATGCAGTCTGTCTTTGGGATGATAAAGGCCCAGCAAAAATTCATCAGGCTTTAAAAGAAGATATTCTTGAGTTTATTAAGCAAGCACAGGCAGTAAGTTCTACATGCTTATTTTAGACTTGTTTTAAAACTACTCAGATAATATCATATTTTATTATTTTGAAAGTAGAACTTCTTGAAGTAATTTCAAAATATTGCATTGACTTTTGACACATTTGTTAAATAAATTTATTAATGAAATGATCGTCATTAGTTGGATTATTTTTTTCCCACAGTGATACTTCTGTCAAGAGAGTACATATTATATTTAATTAAAAGATGCTATAGCGAATTCAGTTTTTTATATTTTTTGGGAGTCCCCACCACCATTATTTTTTGGCTACACATCAGTCCACACAGATCTTTTTTTTTCTCTCATGACTAATACCTCTTCTCAAGTTGACAGTAATTTCTTCAATTCCAGATCCTTCTCCAATTGTAATTTATTTAGACTGTCCTTTGTATTGCTGTTGCTGAGCTGAAATTCAGCACTCTTACATTGCTGTTATGTATAAATCAAAAATTTTGATCAAAAATCAAAAGCTCATTTAGGCATTAGATCAGTAATGCAAGAGTTAGTTTTGTTTTGTTTTTTTTCTGTGACACCTTGTAATGTTGTTTCAAATCAGCCACGGCCTCTCTTATGAATAAATCCCTTATCATTTTGAGGAGGACCCTAAGGACGTGAGATTATTTTCCTTTCTATAACATGAGGTCTGGGACAGGGCACAGTAGCTCAGGCCTGTAATCCCAGCACTTTGGGAGGCTGAGGCAGGCAAATTGCTTGAGTCAAAGAGTTTGATACCAGCCTGGGAAACATGGTGAGACCTTGCCTCTATACAAAATAAAAAATTACCCAAGCATGATGGTGCACACCTGTGGTTGCAGCCACTCGAGAGGCTGAGGCAGGAGAATTGTGTGAGCCTGGAAGATTGAGGCTGCCGTGAGCCGTGATCATGCCATTGCACTCAGCTTGGGCAGCAGAGTGAGACCCTGTCTCAAAAAAAGGCAAAAAAACAAAAAGGTCTGGTCTGATGGCTAGAAGGCTAGGCTAGAATTTCTTATTTTTTAGTTGGATCATTCCATTAATGTCTTGTACAACATTAGTAAAAGTTGTTTGTTAAATCGTGTTATTAAATACTAAAAGGTGCTTAGCAGTTGAAAATTAAAACTGAGTTTTTTCTATGTATGACTTAAGATATTGAAATCAAGTATATGATTGGCATATATTTTAATTTTGCTAGTAGCCACTACCATGATGGAGTAAGACTAATCTATTGGATATTACTTAAGAAATTAAGTGTTTTATTGATAGTTTCTTGACAAATTTTTTAAATTGTAGTTTTATAGGAAGTTATCTTTTAATGAAAATCTGTTTTCAAGCACTTAGAAAATTAAATGTTTCAGTATCAATTTAAAACTATTTTCTTAGAACTAATTTAGAGATACAGTTTCTACTTGCATTGGGAAATGTACCACGTTTTCTTTTTATGACTTGATAAAGATAAATTATGTTTATTTCAGATAGATAGAGCTTTATTCTTCAGTTTCTGGAAATAAACTTATGAAGAATTACCTTGGATGTTCTTAACAGATGTTAAAAAATATGCTGAACACTGGCAAAAAAAAGTAGGGGAGGGTTTCACGGTAACATGACTGAATAAAGTCTGGAAATGTAGACCTCAGCAAGAACCCAAGAATGGGATTTAGCACCACTAATTCTGAGCAGTTAATAGGAGTAGCAATGCCAGACATGGGTCTTAAAAAGACCCATCTTAAAAAGATTTTTAAACGCTTAAGAAATTTTTTTTTTTTTTTCATGAATCATTTTACTTAGGCAATCTTCAGTTGAACATACCTTGTTAGGAAGGACCAAATCTCCCAGATGGTTGAAAGGCAATATGCATTGAAATGTTTATAACATTTTTTAAAGAACAAAAAAAAAAGTAAAAATAATAAACATAGGTGGAGTCTTTTTTGTTTAACCTAGATTAACACAACTGTTTTATTTGTTCACAATTCTGTGGCTTAGCAATTTGGGCTGGTCTCAGATGAATTTGCCTAAGCTTATTAATGCAGCAGCAGTGGGCTGTTGGACATGGTGGTCTAAGAGAGCATTAAAACTCATATATGGTTTTTGATGTGGCTTTCTTTTCACTGTGTGGTTTGTCATTCTCAAGGAGACCAGCCTTTGAGATGAAAGTGGAATCTACAATACCTATTCATGGATAGACTGAGAAATCTTTCACTGTTACATCGGTGGCATTCTGTTGGTCAAAGTAAATCACAGGACCAGCCCAAACTCTAATAGTGGGGAAATAGACTCCACCACCTTTTTTTTTTTTTTTTTTTTTTTTTTTTTTTTTTTTGAGGTGGATTCTCACTTTGTCGCCCAGGCTGCAGTGCAGTAGCGCGATCTCGGCTCACTACAACCTCCGCCTCCTGGATTCAAGCGATTCTCCTGCCTCAGCCTCCCGAGCAGCTGAGATTACAGGCGCATGCCACCATGCCTGGCTAATTTTTGTATTTTTAGTAGAGATGGGGTTTCACCATGTTGGTCAAGCTGGTCTCAAACTCATGACCTCGTGATCTGCCCGCCTTAGCCTCCCAAAGTGCTGGGATTACAGGCATGAGCCACCGCACCTGCCGTGACTCCACCACCTTTTAAAAACTTGAGATATAATTAATATACCATAAAATTTACTCTCTTAAAGGATATGATTCAGTGGGTTGTAGTATATTTCATAAAATTGTGCAACCATCACCCAATAATCCCAGAATATTTTCATCACCCTAAAAAGAAATCCTATACCTATGAACAGTCACTCCCTTCTCCCAACCCACTAAATCACTAATCTGTTGTCCCTATGGATATGTCTATATTTGACATTTTCTGTAATTGGAATCATAATATGTGGCCTTTTGTGACTAGTTTTCTTTCACAATATTTGTTTCTCTTTATGGCTGAATAATATCTATTGTTTGGATATACCATATATTGTGGGGTTTTTTGGTTTCTTTTTTCATTTGTTTAGTTTTTTTTCAAGCCAGGGTATTGCTCTGTCGCCCAGGCCAGAGTGCAGTGGTGCAATCATGGCTCACTGTAGCCTCAACTGCTGGGGCTCAAGCAATCCTCCCACCTCAACCTCCTAAGTAGCTGGGACCACAGGCACGCACCAACACACCCAGCTAATTTTTTGTATTATTTGTGGAGATGAGGTCTTGCTATGTTGCCCAGGTTGGTCTCAAATTCCTGAGCTCAAGCAATCCTCCCGCCTCAGCCTCCCAAAGTGCTGGGACTACTGTATGAGCCACCACGCCTGGCCCATATATTGTTTATCCGTATTTCAGCTAATGGATATTTGGGTTGTTTCTATTTTTTATCTATTTTGAATAATGCTGCTGTGAACATTCGTGTACAAGTTTTTTTGTGAACATGTTTTAATTTCTTTTGGATATAAGAGCTTGTACAATAATTTAAAAATTATGTACAATTTAAATTTTGGCATGAATATGTTCTTAATTTTTCAAAGCAACTGCATTTATTTCAAATTGGTACACCTCTTTTTTTCAGCGAGTACTGAGCCATCAAGATGATACGGCTTTGCTAAAAGCATATATTGTTGAATGGCGAAAGTTCTTTACACAATGTGATATTTTACCAAAACCTTTTTGTCAACTAGAGATTACTTTAATGGGTAAACAGGGCAGCAATAAAAAATCAAATGTGGAAGACAGTATTGTTCGAAAGGTAAGACTATTTTTCTCCTTGTTTTCCTAATATTCTTCAGAAAGAGGGTAATTTGGAAGCATTTGAAAGTAATTTGAACTTTTAAGTGGGTTTTTCTACTTCACATGTCAATTGCTTTTCAGCTCTTAACTAGATTTTATTGAATAATATTCTTTTTTGTCTTTAGCTTCAATCTTCTTTCATCTTTTTATGTGGTCTTAAGCTATAGATCTGCATCTTCAACCATTATCTCCTTTACTTTTCCTTTTTACTTTCTCCTTCTCCTGGTATTCAGTATTTTATTTCTCTATTCTTTCTTTGTACTCTTTTTTTTTTTTTAAACTGGAGTGTCACTCTGTCGCCTAGGCTGGAGTGTGCAGTGGCGCAGTCTGCTCACTGCAACCTCCGCCTCCTGTGTTCAAGCAATTCTCCTGCCTCAGCCTCCTGAGTAGCTGGGACTACAGGCACGTGCTACCACACCCGGCTATTTTATTGTATTTTTAGTGGAGACCAGGTTTCACCATGTTGGCCAGGCTCGTCTCGAACTCCTGACCTCAGGTGATCTGCCTGCCTCAGCCTCCGAAACTGTTGGAATTACAGGCGTGAGCCACTGCACCCAACCTATACCCTTACTAGAAATTAAATTACTTTTCTCCCTGTCTCAAAAATCCCCTTTTATTAGGTTACCTTCTGATATCTTTATGTTTAATTGTGGCTAAACTGCTATCTTTATAATTTCCCTTTTACTTAACTCTTCTATTATAAATTCAGTATATACTGTGCTTATTTTCTATTTAAAAATTGTGTCAAGTAACCAGTCATGATTTAATGGAAAGAACTCAGTGCTGAATATGAAGGGTCCTAGGTTTCCCTTTCAGCTCTTCAAACTCCGTCCTCATTTTCCATATATCTTTCCACTTGTAAGAATAAAATGGGACCGTAGATTTGAAAAGTAAAAAATGCCATTTGAACTTTAGTCAATTTACTGTTTACTGTGATGGTTACAGTAAAACACTCAGGCATTACAATAGTGTAACCTGGGCATTGTTGCCCCATCCCAGCCTTAAAATTTGATCTGATGTTGACAGGGATACTGTAAATTTAGATACCCAGTGGTTCTTCAGTGATAGAAATCACTGCAATATGGGAAATTTGTGCCAAGGGAAAAAAAAAAGTGAAAAACACTTCTGGCTGCGATTTAATTTGTAGTCTCATAATCTTGTCCTCTTTTTTTGGCCATTCTATTGGTTGTGGGAAGCAGCATCCACTTAGTGATTAAGTGTATCAATTCTGGGGCCACAGTTTTTGGATTCAAATCTCAGTGTTGCCACTGATGAGGTGCATAAATGTGGAAAGTTAGCTTTGCTATCTGTACCCCAGGTTTCACATATCTAAAGGGGGGATAATCATAGTACCTATATCAAGATTATGAGGATTAAATGAGTTACATGCAGACAATACATAGAGCAGTCCCAGGTATAGAATGAGTGTTATAAAACTGTTAACTCTTGTTGTTATTGTTGCTGTCATTAATGTATCTCCTACATCTGACCAAGTTTCTTGGAGTACTGATATAATCACCAATGTTTATATACCATTTTTATCATTTTAATGGAACATCTAAACAGTAGATTTGCAGACCTTTTATAAGGTCCAGTATCAGATTTTCAGTTGGTCCTTTTTACATTTTTTATGTGTCTTTACAAACATATGCATATGTCTATTTCAAACACACCAATATATCTGAAATTCAACCATGGAACTATAGGAGAATAAACATTTTCCATGTATTATCATAGTTAATTTTTACAACCACTGAAATTTGCACTATTATTTTGACCATTTTATACATAAGAAAGCAGATAAATAAGTAACAGCTGGGATTCAAATCCAGTTGGATTCTGAAACACTTGTTCTTTATTTACTTTTGTTTTGTTTGAAATGGGCTCTTGCTGTGTTGCCCAGGCTAGAGTGGAATAGTGTGATCTTGGCTTGCTGCAGCCTTGCCCTCCTGGACTTAAGTGATCCTCCCACCTCAGCCTCCCAAGTAGCTGGGACTACAGGCACATGCCAGCATGCCTAGCAAATTTTTGTATTTTTTGTTGTTGTTGAGATGGGTCTTACTGTGTTGCCGAGGCTGGTCTCAAACTCCTGGCCTCAAGTGATCCTCCCACCTTGGCCTCCCAAGGTTTTGGGATTAGACCACACGCAGTCGACCCTTCTTTACCATTATGCTAAATATACTGCTTCCCCGAAGTATTCAAGTGAATGCAACCTAAGTTATTTTGAGACAGGGTCTTACTCTGTCACCCAGGCTGGAGGGCAGTGGCGTGGTCTCGGCTCACTGGGACTACAGGCGTGCACCACCACACTGGGCTATTTTTTTTGTATTTTTTTGTAGAGACAGGATTTTGCCCTGCTGCCCAGGCTGGTCTTGAACTCATAGACTCCAGCGATCCACCTGCCTCGGCCTCCCAAATTGTTGGGACTACAGGCGTGAGCCACTGCACCTGGCCCAGGCCTACAAATTTGATTTCCTTTTTTGGTGTTTGTACATGATACTTTGTATATTAATAATTGAAAATTATGTTACAATTTGTTCTTGTTTTCCTAGCTTATGCTTGATACATGGAATGAGTCAATCTTTTCAAACATAAAAAACAGACTCCAAGATAGTGCAATGAAGCTGGTACATGCTGAGAGATTGGGAGAAGCTTTTGATTCTCAGCTGGTTATTGGAGTAAGAGAATCCTATGGTATGTTCTGAACTTTTATGATCATAATTTCTGTTTCATGGAAATTGTAGAACAATTATGGAATAGCACAATCAAAGTTAAGTTTATTGGCATACAAAGTTACATCTACTTTTTGTACTAGATACTTTTTTTGAGAGTAAGCAAATGATAATTCTGCTTAAAAGAATGTATAAAAATTCATATTAATGTGGTTAATATTTTCTTCATGCCATTAATTTCTTGGCAAGTCGTTTTAGTGAACTAAATTAGATATATAAATTTGAATGTGTAGCTCATAAAAGGTAACTAGTTCATTAAAAGGTTAGGTATTTATGTTTTCAGGAAGTAAGTTACTTCCATGAAAAGGAGAGCATGTAGGAGTACATTCTCTCTTACTTCTAATTTGTTTCCTGTGACTTAGAGTATGCTTCTTCCCCACGCTTCATCCTCCTCCTGGAGGCCTTTCTTAATTCCCAGAGTAAGTTAACTTCTCTCATTTAGTGCTTCACAGTACCTGTGCCTCCTTGGCATAGTACTTTTGTTTAATTGTGTTGTTAGCACCATGTCTTTACTGAACATAGAATGCATGGCACAAAATCACTCTAGGTAGGTATTTATTGAGTTAATGAACCTATAGAGTTACTTTTGACTGGCTTTTCTTCATGGCCCCCATATTCTTTTAGTTATCAAGCCTTTAGATTTTCATTAGCAGTGCTCCTGAAATTTGTTTTTAATTGAACTGCCACCAGACATTAAACTTCACATGCAGAGTTTTGAAATAGTCGTCTTATAATCATCTTATTGCTGTTGTTTAACCCATATGGTGTTCATAAGATTAATGTTTAAGCACTATTTTATTGGTATTTTTTCTACTTACCCCTTAAGTGGTATACCATGCTTTTTTTTTTTTTTTTTAAGAGATGGGGTTTTGCTCTGTTGCCCAAGCTGGAGTGCAGTGGCGTGATCATGGCTCATTGAGCCTCCACCTCTCAGGCTTAAGCAGTCCTCCTATCTCAGTGTCCTGAGTAGCTGGGACTGCAGGCATGCACCACCACACCTGGCTAATTTGTTTCTTTTTTTTTCTTTTTTTGAGACAGAGTCTCACTCTGTCACCCAGGCTGAAGTGCAGTGGCATGCTCGCTGCAACCTCCACTTCCCAAGTTCAAGCAATTTTCATACCTCAGCCTCCAGAATAGCTGAGATTACAGGTGTGTGCCATCACTCCCAGCTAATGTTTGTATTTTTAGTAGAGACGGGGTTTTGCCATAGTGGCCAGGCTGGTCTTGAACTCCTGACCTCAAGTAATCTGCCCACCTTGGCCTCCCGCAGTGCTGGGATTACAAGTGTGAGCCATTGTGTGCAGGCTTAATTTTTCTGTAGACACATGATTTTACTATGTTGCCCAGGGCATCTTCACAACCATTTGTAATTTACCATTCTACCTTACCTTCTATTAACCTTGCAATCCACTTAGACAACCTAGTCATATTTTCTTGTGCTTTTCTGCTTCTGAATATTTACTTACCTTACTAATCTCCGTTTATGCAAATTCTAGTTTATTCTTTAAGATTCAGTTTAAATCCCATTGCTTCTGTGAATGTTTTCTTGATTATTCAGTTAGAAGTCAGTTTCTTACCTATGCAAAAATAGTCTATATTATCTGTATTATTTATTTGTTACTTTACTGCTTTATGCTGTTATCTTTATAAGTTTCTTATGGAGAAGGATTTTGTCTTATATAATTATATGTTCTCTTGAGCATTGTTACCTTGCACATAATGACTCCTCAATATTTATTTCATTTATTATACTCAAAATACTGATTTTGATCATAATTGGAGTAATACTTTATTTTCTGTTTTTCAGTTAACCTTTGTTCTAATCCTGAGGATAAACTTCAAATTTATAGGGACAATTTTGAGAAGGCATACTTGGATTCAACAGAGAGATTTTATAGAACACAAGCACCCTCGTATTTACAACAAAATGGTGTACAGAATTATATGAAATATGTAAGTTAGAACTTAGTATATGTGATAATTTGAGCAATTCCCTTGATATTCTTAAAATGATTGCTATTTTGCTTCTGGACAGGCAGATGCTAAATTAAAAGAAGAAGAAAAACGAGCACTACGTTATTTAGAAACAAGACGAGAATGTAACTCCGTTGAAGCAGTAAGTAATTTTGTAATTGTACATTTTATGGGATTATTTGAAATACGGAAGCATAGGAATGGCAAATAAACAACATAAATAATATTATTTAACAACCAACATTGTTAATTGATTTTAGTTCTTTTTGCCTATGAGCCATAGCACAACTTTGTAGGAGGTATCTTGTTTAGAACACATTGTCCTTTGGAGCTGGTATGCAAGATCAAATCTATTTGCCATACCTGTTCTAGACTTTATTTAATATAATTAATTTTTGGTAAGTTTTCTTTTATTATGTTTTATGCATATCTAAAGTTAGCCATTTTGTGATTTTCATGTTGCAAGTAATATATGCTCCCTTAGGGATACAGTTGACTCTCTTTTTTTGTACCGGTTATGTTCTCTGAAGTGGCTGCAAACACCAAATTAGTGAATAATGAATCATTTATTCCTAGGGGATATTTCTTCTCCTTCTGGGAAGATGTTTCAAACTTCATTTGTCATGAGGTAAAAATATTAATTATTATTATTTTTAGAAACAAAGTCTTGCTCTGTTGCCTAGGGTGGAGTGCAGTGGTGCAATTATACCTCACTGTAACTCCTGGGCATAAGGGCCCCTCCTGCCTCAGCCTCCTAAGTAGCTGGGACTACAGGCACACGTCACCCTGCCTGACTAATAAATATATATATATATATACTTTATCTTTTTTTTTTGAGACAAGGGCTCTCTCTGTTGCCCAGGCTGGAGTGCAGTGGTGCAATCTCGGCTCACTGCAACCTCTGCCTCTCAGGCTCAAGCAGTTCTCCTGCCTCAGCCTCCCAAGTAGCTGGGACTACAAGCGCATGCCACCATGCCTGGCTAATTTTTTTATTTTTAGTAGAGATGGGGTTTCACCTTGCTGCCCAGGCTGATCTTGAACGCCTAAGCTCAGGTGATCCACCTGCCTTGGCCTCCCAGAGTGTTGGGATTACAGGCGTGAGCCACTGCACCCGGCCACCTGGCTAATTTTTTTATTTTATTTTTCATAGAGAGCAGGTCTTGCTATGTAGCCCAGGCTGGTTTTGAACTCCTGGCCTCAAGCAATCCTTCTTGCTCAGCCTCCCAAAATGCTGGGATTATGGGCATGAGCCACAATACCTGGCCTCAAAATATTAAAAAACAAAAAACTAGTCAGTGACAGTACCATGGTAGGTGTTTTCTTTTACGTGGAGGACTGACCTTAGGGTGCTTCAGTATAAGGAAAGTTAGAATCTAGTTGGGACAGTCTTGGAATTGTTGAAACACAACAATAGTATTTCCTCTGGTTCCTTTCAGTCTTTGGAGCCTTGATTTAGATTTGCATTCTCAGGAATAACATTCTAGCTTGCCCATAATCAAATATTTTTCAACTCTGAATGGGATTTAAAATTTTTTTTTACTTTTGACTTTTCTTTGGCTTTGTCCATCTTAAGTGGTAGTCGTGTTTATTTTATTCTTTGTTCAGAAATCACACCGAGTTGGATGTCTTTTCCCTTTGGTTCTTTTAGTTTTTGTTTTGCTTGTCCTTGATTTGCAGTATGTATCCTCTTTGGTTGAAATAGTTTTGATATTGGCAAAAGGAAGGATAATTTAGTGGTTATTTATAGAAGTTCTTTATAGTGATATAAATTCAGGTTTGGGCTACATTCAGAAGGCCGGGAAGGCTGTTGACTTTTTTTTTAAACAGGTGGGCCACAGAGTTGTCCCTTAGGAAGATTAATCTGGTGACAGGAAAGATGGAAGACTGGAATGGGGAGGAGCTGGGAATAAGAAGTAGAAAGCATTTGCAGTAATTCAGGCAAGGTATTAGGCAGACCAAGTAGAGTTACAGAAGTGGGAATGGAAAAGACAAGGGAAGAGAGAAACTTCTTAGAGGTGGAACATTGTATCACATGGATGGGGCTAGATATCACAGAGAATCAAGCCAATAATGTTCTGAGGTTTCAGCCAAGGAGAACTGTGCTGCTACTGAGAGATTAGGTATAAAAATAAGTCTTAGTGAGGGAGAAAGGATGAGTTCATTTTGGAGGATTTGGGTATTTGTTGTAGATTGACGTACATTTAGCACCTGGATGGGAATGTTACAGTTTTATAAGGTGAAATTGTTCTGATCTCCTACTGCAATTTGTATGTTAGTCATATCATAGCCACATTAAACTTATGAACTTTCAACTGTAAAAGGCCAACTAAAAGAATAAGTCCAGAGTAGCTGGGACTACAGGTACGTGCCACTACACCTGGCTAATTTTTTATTTTTTGAGATCACGTCTCACTATGTTGGTAAGGCTTGTCTCAAACTCCTGGGCTCGAGCAGTTCTCCCACCTCGACCTCCCAGAGTGCTAGGATTACAGGCACGAGCCACGGCACTTGGCAGTAACGGTCAAAAGTTTGAAATGAAATAGGATATTTGCATAGTTTCAAAGTATCGTCCCCAAGATATTTACTAAAGGAGAAGCCTGAAGACACCATCTTAATTAAGTGATCAAGGTGAACATCACCAGTAGTAGGACATGCTGACATACCCCGTGATATGATGCACTAAGAAGAATACAATATTATTTCTGTTTTACTCTTGCCAAAAATGTGTAATCTTACTGTAATAATGAGGAAAGATTAAACAATCGCAAATTGATAGCCTACAAAATGACTAATATTCTTCAAGGTGTCAAGACTGTAACAGACTGAAGGACAAAGGAACTGCCACAGATTGTATGAGAGTAGGAGAAATTACAACTATATGCAACATGGGCTTGTGGATAGGATCCTGGAATAGGAGAAGGATATTAGTGGAAAAACTGGTGAAATGAATAAGACCTAGAGTTAAATTGATAGTATCGTACCAATACTATTTTCCTGGTTTTGATAGTTGTACTATAGTTATGTAAGATGTTAATGTTGGGAGAAGTGAGGTGCTATTTTTCTGCTAACTTTTCTGTAATCATTAATCAAAGAAGTTGAAAAAATAAAGAATATTGGCTGGGTGCAGTGGCTCACGCCTGTAATCCCAGCACTTTGGGAGGCCAAGGCAGGCAGATCATGTGGTCAGGAGTTCAAGACCAGCCTGACCTACATGGTGAAACCCTGTCTCTACTAAAAATACAAAAATTAGCCGGACGTGGTGGCGTGCACCTGTAATCCCAGCTACTCAGGAGGCTGAGGCAGGAGAATCTCTTGAACCTGGGAGGCAGAGGTTGCAGTGAGCCGAGATTGCGCCACCACACTCCAGCCTGGGCGATAGAGCAAGACTCTGTCTCAAAAAAAAAAAAAAAAAAGAATATTATGAAGAGTGCCTTTTTTTTTTTTTTTTTTTTTGAAACATAGCCCTGATGTGTCACCCAGGCTAGAGTGCAGTAGTGCAGTCTCCGCTCACTGCAACCTCTGCTTCCCAGGTTCATGTGATTCTCATGCCTCAGCCTCCCGAGTAGCTGGGACTACAGGTGCCCACCACCACACCCGGCTAATTTTTTGTATTTTTAGTAGAGACAGGGTTTCACCGTGTTAGCCAGGATGGTCTTGATCTCCTGACTTCGTGATCTGCCCGCGGCGGCCTCCCAAAGTGCTGGGATTACAGACGTGAGCCACTGCACCCGGCCCAAAGTGATTTTTTTTTTTTTAAATGAAGTAAGAGTAATACTATAGAGTGTATTGGTGGTGGTAATGCTTCTCCTGCTGCTTTTACTTTATGGAATATGGTCAGAAAAGATCTCTGAGGGAATGATATTGGAGTTAAGACCTGAATGATAGGGAACTAGCCTTGTGAAGATCTGAGACAGTTAAGTGTTGCATTAGATGTCTGAAGCCCTACTCTTACAGTTTTATTTTTACTTATAGGAGAGCCACTTAGACCCTACTTAGATCTGATTTTACATACAATTCTAATAAGCTTGATTATCACTCGCTGGGCCTATAGCAGATGAACAGAAATGTATTGAATGTATTTAATGTAAAACAAGGTAAGAGGCTTCCGAGCTGTGCTGCTGAACAGGCATGTTGACAGCAAAAAGTAACACAACCATAAGAAAAGAGCAAGAAAAAAAATTAAGCCAAATGCCTTTTGTGTTTTAAGAGGCAGAGTCTCGCTATGTTGCCCAGGCTGGAGTGCAGTGGCTGTTCACAGGTTTGATCATAGTGCACTGCATTCTCGAATTCCTGGCCTTCAGCAGTCTTCCCACCTCAGCCTCCTGAGTTGCTGGGACAGTAGGCGCATGCAACCACACCCAGCTTTAAGCCAAAATGACTTAAAATTTGTGTTTGGTTTTTAGTTTTTAGGTGATAGTCCTGCATACCTTAGTATTTCCTGGGGAAATTCAATTAGTATTTATTATATACCCACAGTGTGTCAGGCATTATGCTAGTTGGGGATAATAAGATAGACCTAGTCCCTATCCTCAGGATGACACTAGAATAAAATGGATTGTTTATACAATAGAGGAATAGAAAAGTGAATTGGTAGTGTAAGTCTTGATCACTTCAGAATGACCAGGGCACCGATAGGGAGGGAGTGTATTACAGTGGTTAGGGTCATACATGTTGGAATTAGATGAGGATTTGAATCCCACAGATGTTATTTTACCAGCTGTCTGCGTTTTGGCAAGTTATTCAACCTTTGTAGTCTCTCTTTTCCTAACTATAAAATGGAATAGGCCGGGCGCGGTGGCTCACGCCTGCAATCCCAGCACTTAGGGAGGCCGAGATGGGTGGATCATGAGGTCAGGAGTTCAAGACCAGCCTGGCCAACACGGTGAAACCCTGTCTCTACTAAAAAAAAAATACAAAAAAATTAGTTGGGCGTGGTGGCACGCACCTGTAATCTCAGCTACTCGGGAGGCTGAGGCAGGAGAATCGCTTGAACCCAGGAGGCGGAGGTTGCAGTAAGGAGAGATCACACCATTGCGCTCCAGCCTGGGTGACAGAGCGAGACTCTGTCTAAAAAAAAAAAAAAAATTGAATAATACCCTTTTGTATTAGCAGAATTAAATGAAATATGTTACATTAAGCATTTGAGCACTGTGCCTGGCATGATAGCTTTTACTGTTAGGCACTGGTTCAGAGAAAACTGCTTACTAATTCTAAGACAAGTAAAAACTATTTTACCATCTGTGCAAAACTGATTTAAAAAGCTGAATAAGCAACTAGGTCACAAGTTATAAATTATTAACATTAAAATAAGCACTTATTAACCTTCAGTATTTTGGTATTTCAGGCATGGTATCCTCTCCACAGAGGAGGTCTAAAATTAAAAAAAAAAATTAAGCTTGGTGTTCAAAAAGACAAGGTGATCCAGACTTTTGTAGTGCCACTAATGATAGTAGTACAGAAAGAATCTTAGTCAAACTAGAAAGGCCAGGAAATTAATTATTGAATACATTACAGATATCCTTGTATGGTTAAGGGCCTGATAATGATAGAGTAGAATCATAAAGTGGGGGAACTTAAGATAATTTTTAGTTCAACTCTTACGTTGTAGCTGAGGCAAAGCAAACTATTCCTTATACAGAGCTATATAACTAATGAAAATCAGAAATGCTTTTTTTTTTAAACGAAATTTGAGCGAGGTAGAAATAATTATGCAAATTGAATACCACTAAAAGAAGAATCTGGCTGGATGCCGTGGCCCACGCCTCTAATCCCAGCACTTTAGGAGGCCGAGGCGGGTGGATCACCTGAGGTCAGGAGTTCAAGACCAGCCTGGCTAACATGGTAAAGCCCTGTTTCTACTAAAAATACAAAAAATTACCCGGGCATGGTGGTGCGTGCCTGTAATCTCAGCTACTCGGGAGGCTGAGGCAGGAGAATCGCTTGAACCCGGGAGGCGGAGGTTGCAGTGAGATCGCGCCATTGCACTCCAGCTTGGGCAACGAGTGAAACTGTCTCAAAAAAAAAAAGAATAAGAATCTACCATGTCTCGTAGCCTACCTGTCTCACCTTTCATTTTCCAGACCTATGAATTCATTCATTCAACAGGTACTTATTGGAGTGCCTGCTGTGTTTTATAGCAGGCATTATTTTTGAAGAGTTTATAGTCTTGCTGTAGAGGAGGTTAAAACATCAAGCACATTGATAGTTAAAGTGTTTCACCTTGCAGACCTCTGGGGAGAGATTGCTATGGATTTAGAAGTTGTGCTCATCTCAGGCAAACATACAGGAGTTGATGGCATATGGCAAAAAGTTTTTTTCTTCACGGAATCTAGCAAAAGGAGACAGAAAGGGAATACAAGGTGAGAGAGATGGCTTATCACTATACTTTCCATTCAAGATGTATTTTCAAATAACAAGTTATATATTTAGGATCAACTATGTATATAGTAATTTGGTAAATGGGAAGAAATACAAAAGAGGAATAACATGATCTCTGTCCTCAAGAAACTGACTCTCTTAGGACAAGACTCATTTGAAATAAGGAGAGAATTCTATCTAGCAATCTCCCTACTTTTTGCCTAGGTAAAATAATTTTCTGGAGGATTTTTTAATATATAGAAATCTATACCATAATTGTTCTCTTCATTTTTTAAAAAAGCTTTGTAATGAAAGTTTTAAAATATTTACACAAGTAGAGAAAATACTATAATGAACGCTACCCCCATACCCAGTCTTCCAGATTCAACAGTTATCATTATTTTGTCATGCTTGTTTTGTTGATCCTTCTGTTTGTTTTCCTTTCTTTTCCATTCCTTCCTCTCTATTTCCCTCCCCGTTTTGCCTCCCTTCCCTCCTGCATTCCTATATTTAAAAATAAATTTATGATGTTGCTCATTTTTACTCCACACACATTGTATTAGTCCATTTTCACACTGCTATAAAGATAACTACCTGAGACTGAGTAATTTGTAAAGGAAAGAGGTTTAGTTGAACCAGTTCCACATGGCCTGGGAGTCCTCAGGAAACTTAAAATCATGGCAGAAGGCAAAGGGGAGGCAAGGCACATCTTATGTGGCAGCAGGAGAGAGAGAGAGAGAGAGAGAATGTGCAGGAGAAACTGCCACTTTTAAAACCATCAGATTTTGAGAATTCCCTGTCACAAGAACAGCATGGGGGAAACCTTGCTGATCCAATCACCTCCCACCAGGTCCCTGTCTCAACACGTGGGAATTACAATTCGAGATGAAATTTGGCTGGGGATACAGAGCCAAAGCATATCACAATCTATATTATAATGTAACCTATATGCACTGTAGTATTACTAACCAGTTCTCTAATGATGACCATTTTCATTGTTTATAGTTTATTTCTTATAAATAGTGCTTTCTGGAATATCCTTAAATACCTCTATCTTTTTAACATCCTTGTGTATACATCTTTTCTCACACTTGGCTTCCTCTTGGAATAGAATCTCCTGGAAATTAGATAGCTGAGGTAAAAGTCCCTGAACCTTTTACAAATTGCTACACAATAAATACCAAACTGACTTTCAGGAATGTAGTCCCATCAACAGTGTGCTTGTTTATCCATATCGTTGCTGATCTGAGTTTTGTCAGTCTATTGATTCCTACCAATCTGCCAGTATCATAGATTTTAAAATATTTTTTGTGTGCATTTAAAAATTAATGAATATTAATAATTGTAAATATTAAATATAATTATAAATATATAAAATTATAAATAATTAAATATTTATTTTATAAATATAAAATATTTTGTGCATACATACATGGTGTATGTAGTTGTATGTATTTATGGGTTACATGAGACATTTTGATACAGGCATGCAACGCATGATAATCACATCAGGGCAAATGGTATCAATCACCTCAGGCATTTATCCTTTGTGTTACAGACAATCCAATTATATTCTTTTATTATTTTTAAACATAAAATTAAATTATTTTTTACTGTAGTCACCCTGTTATGTTATCAAATACTATGTTTTATTCATTCTGTTTTTGTTTTTGTTTTTGTTTTGTTTTGAGACGGAGTTTTGCTCTTGTTGCCCACCCAGGCTGGAGTGCTGTGGCGGGATCTCAGCTCACCGCAACCTCCGCCTCCTGGGTTCAAGTGATTCTTCTGCCTCAGCCTCCCAAGTAGCTGGGATTACAGGCATGCACCACCACGCCCGGCTAATTTTGTATTTTTAGTAGAGATGGGGTTTCTCCATGTTGGTCAGGCTGGTCTCGAACTCCTGACCTCAGGCAATCCACCTGGCTCAGCCTCCCAAAGTGCTGGGATTACAGGTGTGAGCCACTGCACCCGACTATTCATTCTGGTTTTTTTGTACCCATTAACCATCCCTATTTCTCCCCCACCACCTCACTACCCTACCCAGCATCTGGCAACTATCCTTTACTCTCTATTTCCATGAGTTCAATTGTTTTAATTTTTAGCTTCCACAAATGAGTGAGATCGTGTGAAGTTCGTCTTTCTGTTCCTGGCTTATTTCACCTAACACAGTGTTCTCCAGTTTCATCCATGTTGTTGCAAATGGCAGGATCTCATTCTTTTTTTATGGCTGAATAGTACTCCATTGTGTTTATGTACATTTTCATTATCCATTCATTTGTTGGTGGACAGTAAGGTTCCTTCCAAATCTTGATTATAAGTAGTGCTGCAATACATGTATACATATGTAACAAACCTGCACGTTGTGCACATGTACCCTAAAACTTAAAGTATAATAATAATAAAATTTAATGTTAATTTTATAATAATAATAAAATTTAAAGTATAATGATAATAAAATTTAATAAATAATAAAATTAATAAAATTTAAAAAAAATAAATAAATAGTGCTGCAGTAAACGTGGAAGTGCATCTATCTCTTCCTTTCTTCCTATGCTCATTTCCATTCTTTTTGGTATATAGCCAGCAGTGGGATTGCTGGATCATAAGGTAGCTCTGTATTAGTTTTTTGAGGAACCTCCAAACTGCTCCATAGTGCTTGTACTAATATTACATTCCCACCATCATTATACGAGGGTTCCTTTTTCTACACATTCTCACCAATATTTGTTATTGCCTGTCTTATAGATAAAAGCTACTTTAACTGGGATGAGATGATGTCTCGTTGTAGGTAATATCATCTGCAAACAAGCGTAGTTTGACATCTTCCTTTCCAATTTGGATGCTCTTTCTTTCTCTTGTCTGATTCCTCTAACTACAACTTCCAGTATTATTTTGAATAAAAGTGGTGACAGTGGGCATCCTTGTCATGTTTGAGATCTTAGAAGAAAGATTTTTAGTTTTTCTCCATTCAGTATGATACTAGCTACGGGTCTCTCATGTGGCTTTTATTATGTTGAGGTATGTTCGTTCTATACCCAGTGTTTTGATGGTTTGTATCATGCAGGAATGTTGAATTTTATCAGATGCTTTTTCAGCATCAATTGAAATGAACATACGGATTTTGTCTGCCATTCTGTTGATGTGATGTATCATTTGATCAATTTGTGTATGTTGAACCATCCTTGCATCCACGGATAAATCCCACTTGGTCATGATGAATGATTTCTTTAAGGTGTTGGTAAATTTGGTTTGCTAGTCTGGGCTCAGTGGCTCACGCCTGTAATCCCAGCACATTAGGAGGCCAAGGCAGGTGGATCACTTGAGGTCAGAAGTTTGAGACCAGCCTGGCCAACATGGTGAAACCCCATCTCTACTAAAAAAAATACAAAAATTAGCGGGCGAGGTGTCAGGTGCCCGTAATCCCAGCTACTCGGGAGGCTAAGGCAGGAGAGTTGCTTGAACTTGGGAGGTGGAGCTTGCAGTGAGCCAAGATCATGCCACTGCATTGCAGCCTGGGCAACAGAGTGATACTCTGTCTCAAAAAACAAAAACAAAACAAAACAAAAATTTGGTTTGCTAGTATTTTGTTGAGGATTTTTGCATCAATATTCATCAGTGATATTGGCCTGTAGTTTTCTTTTTAAAATGTGTCTTTGTCTGCTTTTGGTATTAGGGCAATACTGGCCTCATAGAATGAGTTTGGAAGTATTCCCTCCTCCTCTATTTTTCAGACAGTTTGAGTAGAATTGATATTAGTTCTACTTGAAATATTTGGTAGGATTCAGCAGTGAAGCCATCAGGTGCCAGGCTTTTCTTTGTTGGGAGAAATTTTATTTCATTTTATTTATTTAATTAATTAATTAATTTTTTTTTGAGACGGAGTCTTGCTCTGTCACCCAGGCTGGAGTGCAGTGGCATGATCTCGGCTCACTGCAAGCTCCGCCTCCTGGGTTCACACCATTTTCCTGCCTCAGCCTCCCAAGTAGCTGGGACTACAGGCGCCCGCCACCACACCCGGCTAATTTTTTGTATTTTTAGTAGAGATGGGGTTTCACCATGTTAGCCAGGATGGTCTCTCTCCTGACCTCATGATCTGCCCACCTCTGCCTGGCAAAGTGCTGGGATTACAGGCATGAGCCACTGCACCTGTTGGGAGAAATTTTATTATGGCTTCTATCTCATTATTTGTTATTGCTTGCCTAGAAGTTACAGTCCTTGTGGCCTAGACTGCCTTTCAAGTTTATTTGGAGCCCCAGAGTACTTTAGCTTATAGTGCGAGGCTTGCTAGAACTCAAGTCCTTACCACTGGAATGGGCGATTCCCCTCTGTCTAGGGCTGGTCTAAATGCTCCCTCCATGGGCATGTGTCAGCTGAGTTCATCCTACTTTTGCTTTCTGCTGTGAAAGGGTGGTGGTGAGTTCAATGCAGTATCTCACAGTTGCTGCTCTCTCCCTCTCCCAAGCACACAGATTCTCCATGCCATACAGCTGCTGCTGGGGGATGAGGGAGGGGTAACATTGGCGATTCAAGACTATCTTTCCTACCCTCTTCAGTGCCTCTTGCAGTGACATGAAGTTAAAACCAGGTACTATGAGTGCCCACCTGATTTTTGGTTCTTATGAAGGTGTTTTTTTGTGTGTAGATAGTTGTTAAATTTGGTGTTCCTGCAGGAGGAATGATCGGTGGAAGCTTCTATTTGGCCATCTTGCTCCACTCCTCTATTTTTTATTATTTTTTTTAGAAACAGGGTCTCACTATGTTGTCCAGCCTGGTCTGCATATTTATTCTTATTCCTGACCATTTGTATTTATTCTTTTGTGAATTCAGGATAATCTTTCATAAACATCACTTTTATTGTTTTACTTTTCTATTCAAAAACTAGAGTACTGGCTGGCCGTGGTGGCTCACGCCTCTAATCCCAGCACTTTGGGAGGCTGAGGCAGGCAGATCACAAGGTCAGGAGATCAAGACCATCCTGGCTAACACGGTGAAACCCTGTTTCTACTAAAAATACAAAAACAAACTTAGCCAGGCGTGGTGGTGGATGCCTGCTGTCCCAGTACTCAGGAGGCTGAGGCGGGAGAAATGGTGTGAACCCAGGAGGCAGAGCTTGCAGTGAGCCAAGATCACGCCACTGCACTCCAGCCTGGGCGACAGAGCGAGACTCTGTCTCAAAAAAAAAACCAGAGTATCATTATTTCATACCCCTGATTTTTAAGACCCTTCATAATTTGACCCTAACCTATTTTTCTAACTTAATATTGTCCAGCAAGAGTCACTCTACTCCAATAAGAAATATTTTTTTATTCATACAACTCACTCTGTTACTTTTTTTTTTGGATTCATTTTAGCAGTGTTTTCTTCTGCCTACCCAAAATCTTGCAAGGATTCTTTTAACTCACCTTGTAATAAAATTGTAATAAAGTAGCTCAGATCATCTAGCCTTCATCAGTTTCTTCCTATTTGAATTCCCGTGGTAACTATTGTTTCTACCACTAGGTTTAGGAGCAAATTATAGACTGCCTTGTATTTCTTATCAAGCACCAGCTGTGTGCCAGGACACAGCACAGTCTTTATAGCTGTGGACAGAGCACAATCTTTGTCCTTAAGTTTATAGTATAGTAATGATGCATTTTCCAGTTATTTGCTTATTAGTGAAGATCTTCTTTTCATACACATCTGTACATATGAACCATACACATGTTTTTAGGTATATAGTTTATGGGTTTCCAACTGGATTGTAAGATCATTGAGGGCATGAACCATGTTTATACTTCTCTATTCCTTAAAACACGTAACTCAGTTCTGAGCATGTAGCCATCACTAAGTATGTACATGCTCTACTTCTGTAGTAAGAAAAGTTGGAGGCTATGGAGATACATACCTGGCCTCAAATTATAACTCAAGACCTTATGAACCAACTGTGCAACATTTGGAAGTTATGTGGCTACTCTCAGTCTATGTCCTCATAAAGTAAGTATCTGCCTCATGAGGTTGCCATGTGGGTTAAATGAGATCTATATGTAAAGCATTTAGCATAATGCCTGGTACAAAGTAAGTGCCCATTAAAGGATACCTGTTATAATAATTTGTTTAACCTCTCAAGCTAGAAATGGATTCAACATCCTTTTATTTCCCTAATCCCTTTCATTTAAGCATTTACCAAATTCTTCTCAGTTTACTTTAATTATGTTGTCAATTTAGCTCTCCTTTTAATCCTCGTTGTAACCCACCATAAGAAATACATTTTATATTGTGGCTTAGAATATACTGTTTATTTGTACATATCTGAAACAAAAGTCTTATGAAATAATATTCATTGTTACAATATGTGATACACTCTGATATTTTTTGTTCTGTCCTATGTACATTTTTTTTTTTTTTAAACCTGGTCACAGCCATTAAAACTGATTTCACAACATACAGTCTGAAACACACTGGTCTGGATTTTTAGAATCTGCAAAATTTCAACTACCACTGAACAGGATAATGTTCAAGTGAAAGTTTTCAATGAAATAGAAAACACAGAGCTTAGAGTTTATTAGGATTCCACTTTGTCTTTGTTCTCTATTAGTTATATATTGTTAGATTTACCTATGCTCAATCTGGTTTCACTGCTTAAGGTGGAAGTGTTTAGTTGGGCCTATTCCAGTGATGTTATAGAATAAGATTACTCAGCAGTTGGGGCAGAGATTTCCACCTTGCAAGGAAAGAGTTTCTTAACCATTTTATATGTGTAGTCTTTTCTTTATTTTTCTTTTTTTTTTCCTTTTTTGAGACGGAGTTTTGCTCTTGTTGCCCAGGCTGGAGTGCAATGGCACGATCTCGGCTCACTGCAATCTCTGCCTCCCAGGTTTAAGCAATTCTCCTGCCTCAGCCTCCCGAGTAGCTGGGATTACAGGCACCCACCATGCCCGGCTAATTTTTAGTAGAGATGGGGTTTCTCTGTGTTGGTCAGGCTGGTCTTGAACTCCTGACCTCAGGTGATCCGCCCGCCTTAGCCTCCCAAAGTGCTGGGATTATAGGCTATGAGCCACCACGCCCAGCCATGTGTATTATTTTCTTAGGACAGAAATATACATGGATATATGCATTTAAAAGTCATCAGCATCATTCTTGTAGAGGAGCCTGAAAAAACCTTTTTTTTTGTTTTGTTTTGTTTTGTTTTGTGACAGTCTTGCTCTGTCGCCCAGACTACACTGCAGTGACATGATCAAGGCTTACTGCAGCCTTGACCTCCTGAGCTTAACTGACCCTCCCACCTCAGCCCCCCAACTCGCAGGGACCACAGAAAATTCTTTATTCGGAAAATTTTAAGCATTTTTACAATGTAGGAAGAACAGTATAATGAATCCCCATTACCTAAATTCAGCTTTAGTAGTTACCAACATTATGTCAATTCCAAAGGAATTTTTAATAAAAAATTTTTAAGGGACACATAATTGCCTCCCTTAATTTACAGATAGATGATTTGTTTTTCAGAAGAAATATATCAGCCTTATTGTACTTAACTTTAGTCCTCACAACCTATTAATTTCATCTGATCCCCAAAAGAGAAGTAAATAATTACATGACACGAGGGAGCAGAGATGACATGATATCTTCTGCCTCATTTAGATTTTCCTGATGGCCTCCTAGAGCACTAGACCCTTGCTATCTTACCTGAAATAGTTCAACAGCCTCGTTACCATATCCCAACCACCCACTCCTTACCACCTGCCTTACTACCATTATACTGATCTTTAATAATGACTTGAGGAGAGGAGAATCTCATTACATTTATCCTCTGTTTAAAACTTCCTTGGGGCCAGGCCTGATGGTTCACACCTGTAATCCCACACTTTGGGAGACTGACAGGGGGATCATGTGAGACCAGGAGTTTGTGACCAGCCTGGGGAACATAGCAAGACATCATCTCTACAGAAAAGTTTAAAAAATTAACCAGACTTGATAGTACATCCCTGTAGTCCTAGCTACTCAAGAGGCTGAGGCAGGAGGATCACTTGAGCCTAGGAGTTCAAGGCTGTAGTGAGGTATGATAGTAGCTATGTAGTAATGCCACTGTACTCCAGCTTGGGCAGCAGAGCAAGACTCTGTCTCTTAAACAAACAAAAAAACCTTCCTTTGTTCTTCCTTCCCTACCTATGAAATAAAACCCCAAATCATAGATTTTCATTCATAATCTGGTTGCAGCCTATCTTTCTAGCCTTCTCTTCCACTGTCTGTTTCTTCTCTACCATTTTAAGCTTCCTGGTATTCCTAGAATACGTAACCTATTTTAGGGCTTGTACTTACTTTACAGGATCCCATTTAGATACCAACTTGTGGATGAGGCCATTTTAACTACCCTAGAAAAAAGTAGTTTCTAAGTTTTTTTTTATTTTGTGTGTGTTTGTGTATGTGTGTGATGCCACTTAACTGAGTTATATTTAGTTAGCAGTGTAGGTTTACTGCCCTCCTCACTCTCAATTAGACAGTGATCTCTTCGAGAGCAGGAATTATATCTTATTCTTGTCTCTTAAATACTTCCTTAGTGCCTGCACGTAGTAGGCATCCAATAATGGTTTGTTGAATGAATGTATTCACACTTCTAGAATTTTATAACCTAATTTTAAAACAGGTTCTCTCCAGACAGGAAGAGTTAATCAAAGTTTGGTTTTGTATATTTTTCTCTCCCCTCCTTGAGGACTTTTGTTAAAATTTCTAAAGAGAGTCTAGTTCTATAGTTTTTTTCCTTAGGGGAAAATACACTTTGGTAAACTAGTATAGCATATCCATCTTCAATAATCCTATAGTTAAGGTAAGTGAAATCTACTTTCAGTATAATTTTTTTTTTGTTGAACAATATTGTTTTATTTTGTGAGTTAGAATAGATTTGTGCTATACAGCTTATAGTAGCCTTGACTAATTTTTGATATATTTCAGCTCATGGAATGCTGTGTAAATGCCCTGGTGACATCATTTAAAGAGACTATCTTAGCTGAGTGCCAAGGCATGATCAAGAGAAATGAAACTGAAAGTAGGTAAAACATCACATAAAGTTATCATAATCTTCTAAGAGGGTATCTTTGAAACAAATCACTTACTAAGTTGCTCTTAGTTAATTCTTTTCCACATAGGTATATGTGGAACTGTTAGAGTGAACTATACTTAAGGAAATAGATAAAATATTTAACACAGAGGCACTGCTAAGAGTATATAAACTTAAATTTTAAGCATTTTCCCTCTTAGCTATCAACATCTGTGTATGTGTATGGTGAATTTCTACTTTTTTCTCAAAAGCAAGACACTGCTTTTAAAGGCCAGTTTAAACTGGAAACATATGTTATAGATTAGAACCAGGTATTTGACTTTTGTGTGGAACCTTGTGATGAATCTTTTTAGAATGTAATAAAACACTCCCTGTTAATAGTCATCTCTGTCCCCCAAAATACTTTATAAGATTTCTAAAGGATTTTTTTATTACTTCAATGTTTTCTTAAAAAGATGTGTTTTGAGAGGTAGCAAGTATATAACAAACTAAAAAAAAAAATTGTACATATACCTACTACCCCAGTAAAACTGCTTTTAACATTTTTTTGCTTTTGTTTTTTAAATAACGTACTTCTACTGAGTTTCCAGGTTTTATTATATCTAACTGCAAGGTCCTGTTTAATCTCTAGTTGCATTTAAAGTGCATATTTCAATTCACTTAAGTTCATACACTTTTTAGGAGTAATTCAGTAGTAAAAAGCAAGCTGCTTTATTGGCGTAAACAAAATACTTGTATTCTGTGTGCCAGTCTAATTAGAGTTATGTCTGATCTATGTTGCACTCTTTTCAAAAGGATTTATTTAGTGGTAATCAGTACCGTGAGGTAGGGTTTTTGTGAAGGTCAATAAAATGGCATAACATGAAAAAGTGCTTTGTAAATTGAAAAATTATTTATGAATACAGTTTTATATTCTAATCTCTAATATAGTTGCTTTCGTAATTATTACTCATGTTTTTTACCTTTTGATGATATGGCTGTATATGTAGTATTACAACTACCTTATGAAATAAACTAATCTTGTGTGTAAATAAATATTCCTTTGCACTGAAAACCAAATGACTCACCTTTTCTTTTGAGACTGGGTCTCGCTGTGTTGCCCAACCTGGAATTCGATGGCACGATCACAATTCACTGTAGCCTTGACCTCCTGGGCTCAAGCGATCCTCCCACCTCCCAGCCCACTGAGTAGCTGGGACTACAGCCGTGTACCACCATGCCTGGCTAATTTTTGTATTTTTTGTAGAGGCAGAGCCCCACCTTGTTGCCCAGGCTGATCTCCACTGCTTCTGGCCAAATGACTGACCTTTTAAAGAAAGGAGTTGGGTTTTGCAGTATTTGATCACTTTTTTTATTTTTATTTTTTGAGACCGTCTTGCCCTGTCACCCAGGCTGAGTGCAATGGTGCAATCACGGCTCACTGCAGCCTCAGCCTCCTGGGCTTAGGCATTCCTCACACTTCAGCCTCCCAAGTATCTGGGACCAAAGACATGCACCACCACACCCAGCTAATTTTGTTTGTTTGTTTTTGTGTAACGATGGGTTTTGCCATGTTGCCCTGACTGGTCTTTTTAACTCCTGGGCTCAAATGATCCTCCCACCTTGGCCTCCCAAAGTGCTGGAGTTACAAGCGTGAACCACCACACCCAGCCTGATCACTTTTAATTCGATTTTTTTTTAAACATAATTTTTAGACTAAGTACAGTGGCTCATACCTATGATCCCAGCACTTTGAGAGACCAAGGCGAGAGGATTGTGTGAGCCCCGAAGTTTGAGACCAGCTTGGGCAACATTGGGAGACCCTGTCTCTACAAAATTACAAAAAACATTAGCCAGGCATGGTGACATGTGCCTGTGGTCCCAGCTACTCAGGAGGCTGAGATGGGAGGATTGCTTGCGCCCAAGAGGTCAAGGCTGCAGTGAGCCGTGATCGAGCCACTGTACTCCAGCTTGGGTGACAGACTGGGACCCTGTCTCAAAAACAAAAAAACAACAACAAAAAAACGAACAACTACTCCTAATGGCATTGTATCCACAGAATACTATTAACATTACAAACTTAACTAATGTTTCTCTAAACTCTTACTCTAGTAAATGAAATGATTACATGAATGTGTTCTCTCCTTCCAGAATTACATTTAATGTTTTCATTGATGGACAAAGTTCCTAATGGTATAGAGCCAATGTTGAAAGACTTGGAGGAACATATCATTAGTGCTGGCCTGGCAGATATGGTAGCAGCTGCTGAAACTATTACTACTGTAAGTTTTTTTTCAATGGCAATGATAGATATATATCAAGGCTATTTTTTAAATGTAGGATTATTGAAAATAGTGAGCGGTTACCAGAGGCTGGGGGTTGGGGGAGCAGAAGAGGTTGGTTAGTGGGGTATAAAGTTATAGTTCAATAGGAAGAATAAGTTTTGGTGTTCTATTACCCATTAGGGCGGATATAGCAAGTAACAATGTAGTGTATATTTCAAGATAGAAGAGATTTTTTATGTTGTTACCACAAAGAAATTATAAATGTTTGAAGTGATGGATATAGTAGTTACCCCAATTTGATCATTATAGTATATACATGCATTGAAATATAACATTGTACCCCATAATATGTACCATTATGTGTTGATTACAAATAAAAACATTAAATTTTTAAAAATACAGAATTGAAAATTGAAAATAGTAATTGAAATTACTATTTTCTCTGTAAAACAGGGAGCTGGGCAAGGTGGCTCACGCCTGTAATCCCAGCACTTTGGGAGGCCGAGGTGGGCAGATCACAAGGTCAGGAGATCGAGACTATCCTGGCTAACATGGTGAAACCCCTCTCTACTAAAAATACAAAAAAAATAGCCAGGCGGGGTGGCGGGCGCCTATAGTCCCAGCTACTTGGGAGGGTGAGGCAGGAGAATGGCGTGAACCCAGGAAGTGGAGCTTGCAGTGAGCCGAGAAGGTGCCACTGCACTCCAGCCTGGGCGACAGATCGAGACTCCGTCTCAAAAAAAAAAAAAGGAAGAAAGAAAAAAGAAGTGGCAAAACAGTAATATTGGAACACCTTTTAGTTTTATTTTTAAGAAAAAATATCCCCAGTTTTAAATGAGTTTTATTAAAATTATGTTTATTTTCTCATTTTTTTGTGTTATTCTTTTTCTTTTAAAAACTTAATGTAAAACCTTTTGTTTCTAGGACTCTGAGAAATACGTTGAGCAGTTACTTACACTATTTAATAGATTTAGTAAACTCGTCAAAGAAGCTTTTCAAGATGATCCACGATTTCTTACTGCAAGAGATAAGGTATATATTCCTATATATATAAAAAACACTTTTAAAAGTTTTATTCTCATAATTTACTTCTAATAATCAATTTGCATTATTTTTCTATTAATTATAAACTTAAAAACCTAGCAACTGTTATTTTTCATCAGTGGAGAACAACTATATTCGTTTTGTCTTGGCTGTAAGCATTTGTTAAACATTAGATAGCCTTGTGAATTAGAATTTAGTTAGAAAGTTGCTTTTTTCTCATTTTTCCAAGAATGTTTTTCTGTTTTTGAATATTACTGATCTATTGAATTCCTATTCATCCTTCCATTAAGACCCAGCTCAAAGAATACTTCCCCTGGAGCTTCCTTGATGTCCTGCCTCCCTCCACAGCTCATCACCAGCAGAGTTGATTCCTCCATCCTCCGTCCTTTCATGGGACTCCTTCGGGAGTTATGTTATACTTATCCTTGTTTCCCAGGGAAGCATTTGTATTGCATACCATCTTTTTCCATCCTCACTAGTATAGGATAATGATAATAAAACACCATACTGTCCTTAGCATTGTATCTTTTTTAGTGTAATAAACCTATAACAAGAAATTGCTGTTAGTTTTTTCTCTTCTTTGACTACCTTTCGTTACTTCCCAAGTTTGAATGATTCTAAAAAGACAACTTTCTCCATTCTCCAGTAGGATTTTTTTCTCACTCTTTTTGTCTATTTTAATTTTTTTTTTTTTTTTTTTTTGAGACTGAGTTTCGCTCTTGTTGCCCAGGCTTGAGTGCAATGGCATGATCTTGGCTCACTGCAACTTCTGCCTCCCAGGTTCAAGCGATTCTCCTGCCTCAGCCTCTCGAGTAGCTGGGATTACAGGGACCAACCACCATGCCCGGCTAATTTTTGTATTTTTACTACAGACGGGGTTTCACTGTGTTGGCCAGGCTGGTCTCGAACTCCTGACCTCAGGTGATGGGCCCGCCTCGGCCTCCCAAAGTGCTGGGATTACAGGCCTGAGCTACTGTGCCCAGACTCTTTTTGTCTATTTTAAAACAAGTAAATAGGCCAGGTGCAGTGGCTCACGCCTGTAACCAGCACTTTGGGAGGCCAGGGCGGGTGGATCACCTGAGGTCGGGAGTTCGAGATCAGCCTGATCAACATGGAGAAACCCCATCTCTACTAAAAATACGAAAAATTAGCTGGACGTGGTGGTACATGCGTGTAATTCCAGCTACTTAGGAGACTGAGGCAGGAGAATTGCTTGAACCCAGGAGGTGGAGGTTGTGGTGAGCTGAGATCGTGCCATTGCACTCCAGCCTGGGCAACAAGAGCGAAACTCTGTCTCAAAAAATAAATAAATAAAAATAAAACAAATAAGTAGGTAAAGTAGGAAAGGAGTTAAGGGAGTATAGACATGGTGGGCGTGGTGTGAAGTCTTAAATTGAGTAGCCTGCAAAGGCTTCATAGGAAGCCAGATCATGTAAGACTCTGAGCCATGGGAAGGAGTTAGTTTTTACTGTGAGTAGGATGGGAAGTCATTTAAAAATTTTAAACAGAATGGTAGAATGTGATTTATGTATTAACAGGATCATTCTGGCTGTTGTAAAAAATATACTGAAGGGAAGAAGGAAGAAAGAATACCAGTTAAGAACTTATTTAAATAATTCAATTAAGTGATGATGGAGGCTTGTCCCAGAGTGATGGTAGAGGTGGTCAAAAGTAGTTCGATAATTTTTTTTTTTTTTAATGCAAGTAGCTTATTTGGGAAATGCAGGGACGATAGCGTGGCGTATTAGTAAGTCAGATCTACAGTGAGCTACTTGAACTTAATTCTGCAAGGAAACTTATTTAAAACCCTGCTCAAAATTACCTCACCTATCAAGTGTTGAGTTCTTGAAGTTTCCTGCCTGCCACTTGCATAGGCAACACATATTTCTGCAGTTTTAGGAAAAAACAGCTCTTTGGGTGCATGTGCAGATACTAATAGTGGGAAAAGTATAAGGGATGTGGGAAGGTTTGACAGCATTTGTTACACCAGGTATGTGGCTTGGAATTGGAAAATAAAAATGACAGCAGGCTCTAGAAGTGACTTGTCAGGGAAGTTCGCTGTGTCGCCCAGTCTGGAGTGCAGTGGTGCAATCATAGCTGACTGCAGCCTTGAACTCCTGGGCTCAAGCAATCCTCCCGCCTCAGCCACCTGAGTTTCTGGGACTGTGAGCACATACCACCACACCTGGCTAGGTTTTTAAAGTTTTTCTATAGAGACAACATCTAGCTATGTTGTTTGGGCTGGTCTTGAACTCCTGCCTTAGCCTTCCAAAGTTCTGGGATTATAGACGTGAGCCACCACCCCTGGCCCCCTTTCCCTTTAAATCATGTTCTTTGAGAACTCTTCACCCGCACTGATGTTGTCTCAGCCCTGTCATCTCACTGGTGAAGGAAATAAAGATATCCACCATCTGACATAGTTACTCATTTTCTTGTTTTGTTTTGTTTTTGTGGCAAGAGCACCCAAAGTCTACTTAGCATGAATCCAATATACAGTATAATTTGAATTTGTTTTGTTTTATTTATTTATTTATTTTGAGACAGAGTCTTGCTCTGTCACCCAGGCTGGAGAGAGTGCAGTGGCACAACATGGCTCACTGGAGCTTCGACCCCTCTGGGCTCAGGTGATCTTCCCACCTCAGCCTCCCGAGTAGCTGGGACTACAGGCATGCACCACTATGTTTGGCTAATTTGTAATTTTTTTTGTAGAGATGAGTTCTCAGTATGTTGCCCAGGCTGTTCTTGAACTCCTGGGCTCAAGCGATCCATCCACCACAGCCTCCCAAAGTGCTGGGATTACAGGCATGAGCCACCATGCCCAGCCCAGTATAATTTTACTACCTATAGTTCTCATGCTGTACATTAGCTCTCTAGACTTTTTCCATCTTGTGTGTCTGCTACTTTGTATCATGTCACCTACATTTCCTTGTTTCTTTCCCACCCATTTTGCCACTGGTACTACTCTTTCATTCCTCTTTCTGTATATTTGAATTTTTTTTAGGTTCTACCTATAAGTGAGATCATGCAGTATTTTTCTTCCTGTGTCTGGCTTATTTTTAAGGTCTTCCAGGCTTCCGTCATATATATGTACCAGTTTCTTTATCCATTGATGGACGCTGAGGTTGTGTCCATATTTTTGCTATTGTTAATAATGCAGTGAATGTGGGAGTGCAGTTATCTTTGTGAAGTGGTGATTTCATTTCCTTTGGGTATATGCCTAGAAGAGGGATTGCTGGGATTATGATTACATTATGAAGATAGACTATTCAGGATTTGCTATTGAATCAGAAGTAGAATGTGATAGAGACTAGTCAGGGATGACACTCAGATTCGTGTTCTGATCAATTAGAAGGATATGTTCACTGCGATAGGGAAGACTGTAAGAGAAATAGTTTTTGGAGAGATGGTTGCAGAGAGATCAGAAACTCGGTATTGAATAAGTTAACTTTGAAATATCTGTTAAACATCCATATGGTAATGTTGAGTCTGGAGCTTAAGAGAAAGAATGGAGCTGGAAAAATATGTTTGGCAGCTTCAGCATATAAGTGGTTTTTAAAGCACTGACACAGGCTCTAATCACCAAAGTAATGATTGGAGATAGAAAAGAGGACAGATCCAAGGATTGGCCTAGGGCATTCTGATATTTCATTGTTAGAAAAATGAGGAGTCGTCTTTCATGAGAAGGGAGAAATGATCCAAGAGAATGTTATGTGCTAGAAGACAAGTGAAAAAAGTACTTTCAGGAGGAGGGTGTGATCCGCTGTTTTTAAATGCTGATAATAAATAAGATGGAGATAAACCATTGTCTTCAGCAACATGGAGGTTGCCAGTGACTTTAACAAGAACAGTTGTGTAGGCTGGGTGTGGTGGCTTACGCCTGTAATCCAGCACTTTGAGAGGCTGAGACAGGTGGATCACTTGAGGTCAGGAGTCAACATGATGAAACCCTGTCTCTATTAAAAATACAAAAATTAGCCAGGCACGGTGGTGCGCACCTGTAATTCCAGCTACTCAGGAGGCTGAGGCAGGAGAATCGCTTGAACCCAGGAGGTGGTGGTTGCAGTGATCTGAGATCAGCACCACTGCACTGCAGCCTGGGCAACGAGTGAAACTCTGTCTCCAAAAAAAAAAAAAGAAAAAAAATCTCACTTGAGGCCAGGCATGGTGGCTCACCCCTGTAATCCCAGCACTTTGGGAGACCAAGGCAGGCAGATCACCTGAGGTGAGGAGTTTGAGACCAGCCTGGCCAACATGGTGAAACTCCGTCTCTACTAAAAATACAAAAGTTAGCCTGATGTAGTGGTGGGCACCTATAATCCCAGCTACCCAGGAGGCCAGCTAAGACAGGAGAATCACTTGAACCCAGGAGGCGGAGGTTGCAGTGAGTGGAGATCATGCCACTGCACTCCAGCCTGGTCGACAGAGTGAGACTTCATCTCAAAAAAACAAAACCAAACCAACAACAACAAAAAAACCTCACTTGAGAATATTGATAATTATAATATGACAAAGAACTTGCTAAAGTCTTTGACTAGGCAAATTCTGTTTGGCCAGATATACCATTAGAAATAAAAACTAACATATTTTTATGTGTTTTGGGATGTATAAAAATTTATCTGTATATTTTCAATATTAAAAATATTTTATTCCAAATTATTTTTTGCAGGCGTATAAAGCAGTTGTTAATGATGCTACCATATTTAAACTTGAATTACCTTTGAAGCAGAAGGGGTAAGTTTTTTAAAACCATACTTTAAAAATACTTAAATTTTCTTTAGTGTAATAGGGGTTAACTAGGTATACAAAGTACCCTGTTAGGTTTATTTTTGTTATTGTTAGTTTTGTGACTTTTGCAGCTTTTGGCTATTAAAGTTCATTTATAATTTTTTATTAAATTATTTTACAATACAAAAATTGACTTTATTTTTTCAGGTAAAAAAAAAATATTCCTAATCTTTTAGGATCTCTACTTGTTTTTCCCTCATTAGTCACTAAAAGTATTCTATTACCCATAGAAGCAGAGAAAATGACTCAATTTACCATAATGTTATAAAAAGAACTCAGTTTAAATGTAAATTTTCCTATTACCGTTTTAAAAAATTGTTCTATAATTGGTAAGATGAATATGCCTGTGCTAAGCCTAGCTTATAGAAAATCTGACAACTGGAATCTGAGCTAGTTATAGCACTTTCAGAGTAGTACTAAATAGCAATAAAGGTTAGTTAAAAAAAGTCTTTTGATGTGCTTCTAGCTAAGAATTACCATTTTAAAGAAATTTTATATATAATGCTAAAATATTTGAAAAATACTGAAAAATAACGTTTCTTAAGAAGGAAAAATAATCAGGTATTTTTCATTTAGTGTTTTCATTTTGTCTTTTCTGAGCAGTGTATGTTGCTTGAGTAATATTACAGTGGAAGACATCTGAGTCATACCATATTATAATATTGATATATTTTAGAAGGGAATATGTTCTCTTTTATAAACTGTGAAATATGTGAAACATATAGCACTGCATCTTGGCCATCTCTTCACATGAGTAGATAGATCTTCTTCTCTTTCACCCTAGCATTTTTTGTATTATTTATTAATTTTAATTTATTTATTTATTCGAGACAGGGTCTCACTCTGTCACCCAGGCTGGAGTGCAGTGGTACGACCTCAGCTCACTGCAACCTTTACCTCCCGGATTCAAGCAATTCTTCTGCCTCAGCCTCCCGAGTAGCTGGGATTACAGGCACACACCACCATGCCTGGCTAATTTTTTTGTATTTTTAATGGAGACGGGGTTTCGCCATATTGGCCAGGCTGGTCTTGAACTCCTGACCTCAAGTGATCCGCCCACCTCAGCCTCCCAAAGTGCTGGGATTACAGGCGTGAGCCACCGCACCCAGTCCCAAGCATTTTTTTTAATGAAAATGTTCAAACTTACAATAGAGTTACTATGGTTGCTTTATCAAATATGTTATCTCCTTATATACATTCGTCAGTCAACTTTTTAAGTGTATTTCTAAAGAAGTTGCAGGCATCAGTAACCTTTAGTCCCTAAACACTTCAGCATACAGTCATTTATTGAATTTAATGTTTATGTTTTTAGGCAAAATTTATATACTGTCCCATGCATAAATCTTAAGTGTACATTTGAGTCAGATTTGACAAATGCCTATACCCCTATTAACATGTATGATGTCTTTATCATCGTACAAAGTTACTTCATGTCTATTCCCAGTCGGTCCCACCCCACCTCCTTCCAGAGGCATCTGCTGTCCTGATTAATTCCCTCAATATAGATTAGTTTTGCCTAATCTAGGACTTTGTATAAATAGGATCATACACTGTGTACTTCTTGTGTAAAGCTTCTTTCATTCTGCATTGTGTTTTTGAAATTCTTTTATGTTTTGGCATGTAACAGTAGTTTGCTTTCCAAAGTGGTTATTCTCTTTTACACTTCCACCAATAGAGTATGAGAGTACCAGCTGACCCTCATTCTCACCAATGTTTAGTGTTCTTTTAACTTTAGTCATTTGGGATGTATGTAGTAGTATCTTAATGTTTTAATTCCCGTCTCCCTCATGACTCTTGATGTTGAGCAATTTTTCATCTTTTTTTTTTTTTTTTCCGGTATTCGTATATTTTCCTTTATGAAGGGTGATCATAGCTCACTGCAGCCTCCACCTCCTGGGCTTAAGCAGTCCTCCTGGTTCAGCCTCCTGAGTAGCTGGGACTATAAGCACACACCACCATACTTTACTAATTTCTTTTAGAGATGAGGTCTTGCTGCGTTGCTCAGGCTGGTGTCGAACTCCTGGCCTCAAGAGATGCTCCTGCCTCAGCCTCCCAAAGTGTTGAGCTTACAGGCATGAGCTACCATGCCCAGGCCTTTTGCCCATTTTTTTTGGTTGTTTGAGACGGGGCCTTGCTCTATCTCCAGGCTGGAGTGCAGTGGTCTGATCTTGTCTTACTGCAACATCCACCTCGTGGGTTCAAGTGATTCTCTTGCCTCAGCCTCCTGAGTAGCTGGGACTACAGGTGTGTGCCACCACGCCCAGCTAATTTTTGTATTTTTAGTAGAGATGGAGTTTCACCATGTTGACCAGGATGGTCTCAATCTCTTGACCTCGTGATTTGCCCGCCTCGGCATCCCAAAGTGCTGGGATTACAGGCATGAGCCACCATGCCTGGCCCTTTTGGCCATTTTTAATTGGATTCTTTCTCTTTGTTGTTGAGTTGTAAGAGTTCTTTATATATTCTGGTACTGGATCCGTATCAGATAGATGATGTGCTAATATTTTCTCCCATTCTGTAAGTTGTCTTTTCATTTTCTTGATACTATCCTTTGATGCACAAAAGCTTTTAATTTTGATTAAGTTCAGTTTACCTATTTTTTTCTTTTGTTGCTTTTGCTTTTGGTTTGGTTTCATATTTAGATCATGAAGATTTATCATTATTTATTTATTTATTTATTTATTTATTTATTTATTTGAGAGTTTTATAGGGCCGGGCACAGTGGCTCACGCCTGTAATCCCAGCACTTTGGGAGGCCAAAGCGGGTGGATCACTTGAGGTCAGGAGTTCAAGACCAGCCTGGCCAAGATGGTGAAACCCTGTCTCTACTAAAAATACAACAAATTAGCCAGGCGTGGTGGCTCATGCCTGTGATCCCAGCTACTTGGGAGGCTGAGACAGGAGAATCGTCAGAATCTGGGAGGTGGAGGTCGCAGTGAGCCGAGATCGTGCCATTACACTCCAGCCTGGGTGACAGAGTGAGACTTCGTCTCAACAACAACAACAAGAAAGAGTTTTATAGTTTTGACTTTTACATTTAAGTCATTGATCCATTTTGAGTTAGCTTTTGTATATGGTGTGAGATACAGCTCTAACTTCATATTTTTGCATGTGGATACCCAATTGTTCCAGCATTCATTGAACAGTCTTTTCTCCATTATCAAAAATCGGTTGGCTGCCAGGCGTGGTGGCTCACACCTGTAATCCCAGCACTTAGGGAG